>NC_000008.11:141453701-141755779 GCF_000001405.40 Homo sapiens | reverse complement strand
TCATAAGTTAACAAAAAATGAATTTCCTTTGCTCATTTTGCTGATACTGAGATCTAACATGCACTGTCTGTAGCATTAATATATGGCAACAATAGTTAATACCCTGGTGACAGCTCAGCCAAGAAACACACACCAGGAGGAGTCAGCATGGCCCCTGCAACCCTCAGCTGACCAGGAAGGCCCTGGGAGAAGTAAGGATGCCAGTCGCACCTTGCTGTTGCTGGTGAGGGCTATGGTGCTGGTTCCAGGGGAAGCCCACTCCACACACACTGGAGCCCAGACTGGGGAAAGAGAAGGACTAGGAGTCCAGATCTCGGGCCTGAGTCCAGTACTATTCATGACTGGTCATGTGATGGTGGCACAGCCCTGCCCCTGGGGAGCCTGAGCAGCCCTTTCTATAAAAACAAAGAGGTTCAGACAATCATAAACTGAGCAAAGACCAAAGCAGGCATTCACAGTAGGATTCCCCGAATGGCTAGGGAACAGCTGAAGACACAACCAATTTCAGCAGTTACCTGATGAACACATGGTAAAACAGCTGCTTTGCGCCCCCAGAAGGGCAACGATTAGGAAGGAGGACACGGCCGGGTGCGCTGGCTCACCCCTGTAATACCAGCACTTTGGGAGGCCGAGGTGGGCGGGCCATCTGAGGTCACGAGTTAAGGACCACCCTGGCCAACACGGTGAAACCCCATCTCTACGAAAAATACAGAAATTAGCCGGGCATGGTGGTGGATGCCTGTAATCCCAGCTACTCAGAAGGCTGAGGCAGGAGAATTGCTTGAACCCGGGAGGTGGAGGTTGCAGTGAGCTGAGATCATGCCATCGCACTCCAGCCTGGGCGACAGAGCGAGACTCTGTCTCAAAAAAAAAAAAAAAAGAAGGAGGTCACTACAAAGTGCTGGCAAGGGTGTGGAGAGAGAGGCTCTGTGCTAGTTACAGGGACTAGGCTGGCACAGCCATTCTGAAAAACAAGTTGGTCTTGGTCAAGTTCAGTTAAACCCATGCAGGCTAGGACTCAGCACCCTGGCTCCTGGGACATGCATCTCACAGGAATCTCGCGGAGATCCACAAGGTCACTGCAGCAGAAGGAGCCCTTCACAATGCTGTTTGTGACAGCCAGGAGTTTGCATCAATTAGCTCTGCCTCTCCAAGGAAGCAGCGTTAACTACCCCAAAGCTGCAGTGGCACACAATAAGCCTTAGGGAGGGGCAGGGGCTGGTGTGGGGAGGTCAGCTGCCATGGTCTGGGCTGGGCTTGCTCATGCGGCTGGGGTCTACTGGCTGTCCGTCTTGTTGGGATAATCAGGGTGAGCTGGTTCTGCCCCATGGGCCTCTCATCCTCTTCCTAGGCTCACCAGGCTGCCTGGTCACGTCTTCCTTATGCCAATGGACGGGGCAATGAACCCCAAGGCACAAGCTTGCTTTAAGCCTCTGCTATTAGACCTTATTTAAGTCTAACAAATTAGACTTTAAAATGAGGTCACACTGGCCGGGTGCGGTGGCTCACGCCTGTAATCCCAGCACTTTGGGAGGCTGAGGCGGGCGGATCACAAGGTCAGGAGATCGAAACCATCCTGTGAATGGTGAAACCCCATCTCTACTAAAAATACAAAAAAATTAGCCGGGTGTGGTGGTGGGCGCCTGTGGGTGAGGCGGGAGAATGGTGTGAACACGGGAGGTGGAGCTTGCAGTGAGCCCAGATCACACCATTGCACTCCAGCCTGGGTGACAGAGCGAGACTCCGTCTCAAAAAAAAAAGAGGTCACACAAACAATGGGACATATTTCGTGAGGCTTCACAGGTGCTGATGCACTTAACAAACCTATCAGAGAAGGTACCCGTGGCAAGTGGGAACAGCCCCGTGGGAAGCTGCAGGCAGGCATGGTCCATGCAGGGCTGCAGGACCCACTGAGAAGCAATGTGGATGTGTGGACTCTGAATGAACAAAAGGGGAGAGGCTGTGGGGCCCGAGATCCCTCAGTTCTCGCCTGGCCAGGACACCAGCGAATGCAGCCTGCAGGGCTCTCTGCACCATCACTCTGAGCCGGGTATGGACTGGTCTCGGGTTCTGATTTCACGGAGCAGCTGAGAGGCTGGAGCTCCCCCAGCACTGGGAGGAGAGCCCCGAATTGCCTGGCAGGGGAGGGGGACAGCGTGTGTGAAGATGATGGGTCTGGGAGTGCCCAGGACGGCCATCCCTAACTTCCCGGAAGTGCTGCCAACCCCACAGCCACTCCGATGCCGGGACTCAGGAAGGGCCTTGTTAAGCCACTCTGAGGTCCAGCCTAGCTTGCAGCTCCTGTGACCTGCTGGGGCAGGACTCGGCCTGCAGCCCAGGGCCTGTCTCAGCAGGGGAAGGAGACCCTGGAAGCCAAGTGGGGGGGTGAGAGAATGAGGGGGAAACCGAGGCACTGCCTGCACTGCCTTGCCTGGGGCAGGCCCTGAGAGTCAGGAGCAGTAACTCTGCCCTAAGGAGGATTCTCAGCCAGCCCTGAGAAAGCTGAAAGCAGGTTCTGAGTTTACAGAGGGCTGAGGCCGGCAGGGGCCTCCTCCAGCTGCAGGTGCTGGTGCAAGGAAGCACTCCTGGGGGTGGGCACGCCTCCAGCAGCCAGAGCGGAGCCCTCTAGGGCATCTCCCCACCGGGGTGTCCCATCTCCCCCAGCTGCATCCCTCTAACTGAACTTGCCCAGGCCCTCCATCCACTCCCAAAGGCGCCTCCCCTGGGCCCCGGCCGTCCCCCTCACATTTCTTCAACCAGCTTCTTTGGCCTCCAGAACCAAGTCCCAGGACTCAGTGACGCAGCCCAGGCCTGTGACGTCTGCATCAGGGCCCACCTGGCACATCATCTGCGCGTGCCCCACCCTCAGGGGAAGGACTTGAATCCCCAGTTTCCGGCTTCAAGTCACCCCCAGCTTTGCCACTGGCGCTCCCTCTGTCCTGGAAATGCTCTCCCGGCCTCTGTCCCTGTGGAGTTTCTGCAGCAGGGACCCCCGCCCCTGTCACCTTCTCAGACCCCAGCCTAGAGATCCAGCCTCCCTGACACCGGTGCTGACCCTGTCATGGCGGAGGGACCTTTGCCGGGCCAGCTACCCTCCTCATTTCCGTCCCCCTCCATCCCCTTCCAGAGATAACCACCGCAAGGAATCAGACGTTTATCACTTGCTTGTGTTTCCCACTTTTACTACATTTTTATGTTCCCATAAACAATAGAGAATGTTCTTTTGCAGGGTTTCAAACTTTACCGAATACCATGTTACTGTACTCACCTCCCCCAGCTAGAGGTTCTCACTCACAGTCATCTCTGCAATTTATCCTTATTGGTAGATGTAGCTCTAGTTCACATTTTAAATGCCTGCCCTCTTATTAAATACACTACAGTTGACTCACCAGTACTTGGTGGGCAAGGTAGGCTGTTTTCAATTTTGCCAGTGCAAGGATGCCACAGTGAGCAATCTTAGAAACGTCTGTCTGTGCATGCCATGTGGAACTTTCTAGAAGCAGTATTGCTGGGTCGTAGGCCATGAGCGGCTGCACCGGGTGGTGGTGGGAACGTCCACTCATGAGCAGTGGGTGGGACGGCTCGTGCCCCATATCCTGACCTCACTTGGTGCTGGCCAACTTCTAGCATTAGCCCATCTGCAGAGTGGGAAATGGCATTTCTTTGAATTAATTGTCATTTTTCCCAAGTAGTAGTGAGATTGAACTTCTTTTTATGTACTTACTTGCCATTTTGTTTCCTCTTTTGTAAACTGGCTGTTTAAACTCTTCATCTATTTTTCTGTAAAGGTTTTCTTGGTCTTTTTCTTACTGATTTGTAGATGCTCTTCATGTTCTGGATACTAACATTTTGTTGGTTTGTACATGGAAATCACTTTCTCCCGTTAGCAGAGTAGGGGAGTTTCAGGATTCTGTTTTGGACTGGCTCATTCTAGTCCACACAACTATTTTAAGATTGGTCCACACTGTTGCATGCGTTTCTGATCCGTTCCTTTTTATGGCTGAATGGTATTCCTCGGCATGGATGGAACACATCACCGTGGGTTATCCATTTGCATGTGGATGGCGGTTGGGCTGTTTTCATTTTTCAGCTTTTATAAATAAAGCTGCTGTGAATATTCGTGTGTAAGCCTTGCTGAGAGGCACACTTTCTTCTCTCCGGGGAAGTATGGCTGGATCCTATGGTAAGTGTATGCTTAACTTTTAAAGACACCATCAAACTTGTTTCCAAAGTTTGTAAATGTACCATTTCCATTCCCATCAGTAGGCTTTGAGAGCTCCAGTCCTCCCACATCCTCCCCAGCACTTAGAATGATCAGTCTTTCTCACTGCAGCCACCTGAGTAGGCAAGTAGATGCATCTCAGTGGGGTTTTAATTTACATTTTTTACGTGACTAACACTGTTGCACATCTCTTCATGTGCTTATTTGCCAGCCTGTTATCTTTATCGAAATGTCTATTCCTATATTTTGCCTATTTTTTATTGTTTTCTTATTACTGAGTTTTGAGAGTTCTCTATGTGTTCTGCATATGAGTCCTGTATCAGATATATGACTTGCAAATATTTTCTTCCAGTATTTAGCTTCCCTTCTCATTCTATTAACAGTGTCAATCAAAGAGCAGATGTTTAAAACCTTGTGAAATTCATTTCATTCTTTTACTATGTTTTTGGTGTCATATTAAGAAATCTTTGCCTAACCCACCTAACCCAAGGCTACAAAAGTTTTTGTTCTTATGTTTTCTTCCAAAAGTTTTATAGTTTTGTTTTTCATATTTAGGTCTATAATCCATTGTAAGTTAATTTCTGTGCATGGTGCAAGGAATAGATTAAAGCTCCTTTTTGAGTCGGTAGGGGTGTTGCATATATGACTAATTGTCCCAGCACCATTTGCTGTAAAGACTGTTCTGTCTCCACTGAATGGCTTTTGCACCTTTGTTGACTTTGGTTGAAAATCATTTTTTGTTGTTGTTGAAAATCATTTGTCCAATATATGTGGATCTGTTTTTTCACTCTTTATTCTGTTTCATTGATATACTTGTCTACCTTTGTGTCAATACCACAATGTTGTGATTACTGTAGTTTTGAAAGTCTGGAAATGAGGTAGTGTTAATCATCCAATGTTGTTCTTTTTTTTGAAAGTTGTTTTAGTTATGCTTGGACCTTTATATTTCTGTACAAATTTTATAATCAGTTAGACAATTTCTTTAAAAAGAAACTGCTTACATTTTCATTGGGATTGCATTGAATATACAGATCAATTTGAAGTAGGTTAATATCGTAACAATATTGAATCTTTTGATACATGAACAGGGTATATCTCTCCCATTTATATAGATCTTTAATTTCATTCAGCAATGTTTTGTTGTTTTCCAATGCACAGGTCATCCATATCTTTTACCAGATTTGTTCCTAAGTATTTCATAATTTTAATGCTACTTTAATTTTGATGCCAAATTGAACAAAAAATTCAATTTCCAATTGCTTTTTGGTAATACGTAGAAATAAAATTACTTTTGTATATCGATCTTACATCCTGCAACATTGCTAGACTCAGTTATTAGTTCTAGTAGGTTTGGGTTTTGTTTGTTTTCTTGTTTTTCAGATCTCCTTAGATTTTCTACAAAGACAATCATGTTGTCTGTGAATAAAGACAATTTTACTTCATTTTCTTTTCCAATTTGCATGACTTCTATTTTTTTTTCATGCCAGTTGAACTGACTACAACTTCCAGTACAGTGTTGAATAGAAATGATGAGAGTGACTATCTGTATTTCGTTTCTGATCATAAGGAGAAAACATTCAGGTTTTTATCATTAAGAAGGTGGTTTATTGCAAATATTTCATAGGTGCCTTTTATCAGCTTGAGGAAGTTCCCTTCTATACCTTATTCACTGAAGGTTCTTATTAAAAATATGGATGTTGGACTTTGTCAAATACTTTTTCTGAGCCTATTAGGATGATTATATAATTTTTATTTTTCGGTTTGTAAACTAGGTAGATTAATTTTTCAAACGTTAAATCAACCTTGCATTCCTGGTAGATAAACGCCACATCGTCATGATATATTATCCTTTTCATATATTGTTGAATTTGATTTTCTACAATTATGTTTAGAATTTATGCATCTATGTACATAAGAGACATTGGCCTATGGTTTTATTTTGTTGTAATATCTTTGTCTAGTTTTGGTATTAGGATAATGTTAGTTTCATAGAATGAGTTGGAAAGTATTCCATCCCATTCAATTTTCTGGAAGAATTTTGTATAGAATTGATATTATTTCTTCCCTAAATGGTTGGTAGAATTCACCAGTGAAGTCATCTGGGACTAGCTTCCTTGAGGGAGTTTTAACTCCCACTTCAATTTCTCTACTAGATAAAGGACTAATCAGGTAATCTGCTTCTTCTGACATGAATTTGTAGTTTTCACAGAATTTATCCATTTTATCAAAGTTGTCAGATGTATTGATGAAAGTTGGTTTTCTTTATTGTTCTGTTAATATCTGTAGGATCTCTAATGAGGTTACCTCTTTAAATCCTGATATCAGTAATTTGTGTCTTATCTCATTTTTTCACAACTGGTCTGTTTAGAAGTTTATAAATTTTGTTTATTTCTAAGAACTAGCTTTTGATTTCATTGATTTTCTCTATTTTTATACTTTCAATTTCATTTTCAGTATGTTTATAGTTTCATTTCTTCTGCTTACTTAGGATTTAATTTGTTCTTCTCTTTCTAATTACTGCTATAAATTTCCTCCTAACTTCTGCTGTAATGGCATCCTCAAAATTCTGATTTTATCTTGTCATGTCAATTTGGTTCAAAGTACTTTCTAACTTCCATTCTATTTTTTCCCTGACCCATGCATATTTTATAAGTGTCTTATTTAATTTTCAAATATTTGGAGATATCTCAGATATCTTTCCATTATTGATTTTCACTTCAATTCAATTGCGGTTAGAGAACATACTTTATAAGACTTGAATCCTTTTAAATTTATTGTGAATTACTTTATGGCCCAAAATACGGTCTAGCTTGATAAGTGTTTCACATGTTCTCAAAAATAACGTATACTCTGCTGTTGGTGCTGGAGTGTTTTATAAATGTCAATTAGATCAAGTTAGTTAATGGTGCTGTTTAAATCTCCTATACACTTAGTGCTTTTGTTGTCTACTGATTCAGTCAATTATTGAAAGAGGTGTATTAAAATCTTCATCCATAATTGTGCATTTTTCTACTTCTCCTTTCAGTTCTATCAATTTATCCCTCATATATTTCAAAGCTCTGTTATTAGGTGCATAAACATTTAGGATTTTGCTCTCTTGGTGACTTGACCCTTTTATTATAATGAAATGCTTTTTTTTTCCAGGTAATAGTCTTTGCACTGAAATCTAGTTAATCATATATTAATGTAGCCACTCCAACTTTTTTTTAAATCATTAGAGCATTTTACAGAAACGTTGAGCAGAAAGTACAGACAGCTTACATGTATCCCTTTCTATCATGTTTGATGTTTCCCCTTTCTCTCTGCTCACAGTTTCCCCTATTATCAACATCTTGCATCAGAGTGGTACACTTGTTACAATTTATATATAAAATTAATATATTGAGTATTGATATATTTTTATTAACTACATTCCGTAGTTAACATTAGGGTTCGCTCTGTGTTACACAATTCTATGAGTTTTGACAAATGTACAAAGTCATGTGTCCACCACTATGGTATCATACAGGATAGTTTTACTGCCCTAAAAATCCTCTGTGCTACATCTACTCATTTCTCCTTTTCCACATTTACTCTGATTATTTATATAGCCAAAATTAAATCTGACACCTTATTACTTTTTTCTAGTTGTAGAAATAAACTTTTTGTTCATTGTTTCTTTTTTCTCTTTTTCTGCCTTGTTTTGTGTTAACTTTTCTATGATTATATTTTATATCCTTTGTTGGCTTATTACCTATAAGTCTTTCTTTTGTTATTTTAGTGCTTGCTCTAGGATTTCTAGTGTACATTTTAAATTTATCACAGTCTACCTTCAAGTGATACCACACCACTTCACATATAGGATAAAAGTCTTCTGAAAGCATCCTTCCATTCTGGGCACTTTCAGCCTTGTACTGCACTGTTATTGTCTTACATTTCACACTTTTATGATGTTATATGTGCCTCACATCTACATACACAGATTTTGTTATCATTGTTACTATTTTTATTTAAAAGTCAGTTTTGGGCCAGGCATGATTGCTCATACCTGTAATCCCAACACTTTGGGAGGCCTAAGTGGGTGGATCATTTGAGGTCAGGAGTTTGAGACCAGCCTGACCAGCATAGTGAAACCCTGTCTCTACTAAAAATACAAAAAAAGTAGCCAGGCATGGTGCCATGTGCCTGTAATCCCAGCTACTCAGGTTGAGGCAGGAGAATCACTTGAACCTGGGAGGTGGAGATTGCAGTGAGCCAAGATCCCACCACTGCAACCCAGCCTGGGTGACAGAGCAAGACTCTGTCTCAATAAATAAATAAATAAAGTCAGTTTTCCTTTAAAGATATTTACAGAGTAAGAAAAATAATGTTATCTACGTATTCATGCAGTGCCTATTCCTGTGCTCCTCATTCTCTTGGGCAGATTCTAATTTCATTGTGTATCGCTTACCTACTGCCTGAAGGACGTTGTTTAATATTTCTTTTAGTGCAAGTCTGATGATGATGCCTACTTTTTGGCTTTTATGACTATCTAGAAGAATCTTTACTTTCTTTTTGAAAGACATGTTCACTAAGTATACAATGCTGGGTTGATGGCCTTTTCCCAGTGCTTAAAGATATTGCCCCCATTGTCTTCCCACCTACATCGTCTTCACTAAAAAACCAGCTGTCATCCTTGCTGTTTTTCTTCCAGATGTGTGTGACTCCCACTCCCTGAAAAAAGCTGGCTGTGTTGGAGATTCCCCTTTGTCATTGGCTTTGAGCAATTTGATTATGCTGTGCCTCAGCACAGTTTTCTTCATGTTTCTGTGCTTGAGATTTGTTGAGCTTCCTGGAGTTCTGGGTTTACAGTTTTCATTGACCTATAAATTTTTTGCTGTTATTTCTTCAAATACTTTTTAGTGCTCCTCCACTTGGGGGACTTCAATTTTCCACATATTCATCCATGTGAAGTTGCTCCACAGCTCACTGATTTTTGCTCATTTTTTTTAAATTCTCTTTCCTCTTTCAGTTACGTTTTGGATGGTTTCTATTACTGTGTCTTCAAGCTCATCCTCAAGCTAATCTTTTTGTCTTCACTGTCAACTTTACTATTAATTTCTTCCAGTATAATTTTTATCTCACACATTGAAGTTTTCATTTTTAGAAGTTCGAGTCATATTTTTACAACTTCTATGCCTCCACTTAACTATTTTGTTCCATTTATTAAAATTTATATTCATGAGTTCTATTTCTACTCAGGTTGTGAACATATATATATTCGAGTCCTGTCTGCTAATTTGAATATCTGTCTTCTGGATTGATTTCAACTGATTTTCTCCTCATTATGGGTTGTATTTCCTGTTTCTCTTCATGAGTGGTAATTTTTTGTTGGAAGCCAGATATTGTGAATTATATTTTGTTGGGTGCTGAATGCTTTTTGTATTCCTGTCACTTTTTCTTGAAACAGAATCTCACTCCCATAACCCCAGTGGGAGTGCAGTGGTGTGATCACACTCATTGCAGCCTCAACCTCAAGGGCTCAAATGATCCTACTGCCGCATTTTTTTGATTTTTTATAGAGACAATGTCTCACTATGTTGCCCAGGCTGGTCACAAGTTCCTGGGCTCAAGCAGTCTTCCCACCTCACCTTCCAAAATGCTGGGATTACTGGCATGAGCCACTGCTCCAAGCCTCCTATTAATATTTTTCAACTTTGTTGTGGATGTAGTCAAGTTACTTAGAAAGAGTTTGATACTTTCAGATCTTGCTTTTAACATTTGTTGTACGTGATCAAAGAAGACCTCAATCTACAGTGAATTATTCCCCACTCTTTGGTAAGACCTGCTGTATACTCTCGCCAATGACCCCATGAATTGTGGGGTTTTCCAATCTAGCTGGTGGGGATGGGCACTACTCCTGGCCCTGTGTAAACATCGGCACTGTTTCATCTAGTCCTTTCAGTTAGTTCCGTTCTCAGTTCTCCATTCTCAGTTAGTTCTTTCATACGTATGTGCTGATCAGTACTTGGCTGATTACTCAAGGGGGACTCTCTGCAGCTGTCCACACTTCCCTTTGTATCTTCTCTCTGGTACTCCGCCCTGGGAACTCTCCTCAACTCTCTGTCCCCTTTCTTCAACCCAGAGAGATCGCCAGGCTGTATTTCAGTTCCCTTCCTCCTGTGGCCTGAAAACTCTCACGCCCATAACTGGGGCAATTTTAGGGATCTCCTCATTCATTTCTCATATATCAGGGTCCACCTTTCATTACTGGACCCCCAGTGTTATGAAAGCTATTGTTTCCTGTTATGTCTGATTTGGGAGTTATTTCATGTGGGAGAATAAGTATGATTTCTGTTATTCCATCTTTGTTGGAAGCAGAAATGCTCTGATGGCTTTGAAGATTGCCTTTTGTATTAGTCAGGATTCTCCAGGGTAGGATATATGTAAATATGTAGAAAGAAATGTATTATGAAGGACTGGCTCATACAACTATGGAAGCCTGGAAATCCCACGATCTACTGTCTGCAAGCTGGAGAGCCGGTAGTACTGGTTGTGTAGTTCTAGTGCAAACCCAAAGGCCTGAGAACAAGAGGATCCAATATCTGAGGGCAGGGGACAATGGATGTTCCAGCTCAAGCAGAGAGAATTCGCTGTTTCTCCACCTCTTTGCTCTATTCAGGTCCTCAACAGGTTGAATGATGCCCATCCCTATTCATGATGGGGGTGTTCTTTACTCAGTCCACTGATTCAGATGCTCACCTCTTCCAGAAACACCCTCATGGACACACCCAGGAATCGTGTTTCACCAGCTCTCTGGGCATCATTTATCCCAGTCTAATTGACACATAAAATTAGCCATCACACTTCTTCATCCTCTATATTCTCCATTATAGCAATAAGGTACCATGGGGAGGGTATTTTTATTTATCTGACTCAGTTTCTCAGAGGGCTCTCCTAATCTGAGGACTAATGTGACTCTCCATTTCTGAAAAATTCTCAGCCATTATCTCATTAAAAATTGCTTTTCTGCTAGGCGTGGTGGTTCATGCCTGTAATCCCAGCACTTTGGGAGGCCAAGGCAGGTGGATTACTTGAGGTCAGGAGTTTGAGACCAGCCTGGCCAATATGGTGAAACCCCGTCTCTACTAAAAATGCAAAAATTAGCCGGCTGTGGTGGTGGGCACCTGTAGGCCCAGGTACTCAGAGACTGAGGCAGGAGAATCGCTTGAACCTGGGAGGCAGAGGTTGCAGCGAGCCGAGATCACGCCACTGCACTCCAGCTTGGGCGATGGAAAAAAAAAATTTTTTTCCCCCGTCTCAAAAAAAAAAAAAAATCCTTCTCTATTTCACCCAGTGGGAGGGTCTCCATCTCTCCCTCAACCCTATTGATTGCTTTTTCGTGTTTTTATATTTGTTTGTCTCTGTGATGTATTACGGGTGAATTCTTCAGCATGGTCTTCCAGTTAGTACTTCTCTCTTAATGACATCCTTCTTAGGTTTACATTATCTATTGCATTTCATTTTTGACAGCTCTATTTCTTTTTTTTCTTCTGTATCCAGGGTTTTTATTTAGTTATACATATCCTTTCGGTCTTGTTTTGTTTCTGCTTTTCTCTTTGCGTAATTTCTTATTCTTTCTGAATAACTGTACCTTTGCTAACCTCTTTAAGTAACCTAAACATACTTATTTTAAAGTCTTTCTCAGAGACAAAACCATCAGGAGAAGGTAAAGGGCATGCTTGGTTACTTTCACCCAATATCCCAGCATCATTCAAGTCTCTCTACCTAAAAGCAAAATGAGGAGTGAGGCAGAAAGGCAGCCCCAAGCAGTGTCAGCCAAACCCATGTCTTCCCACTTGGTCCTGGCCCTCAGTCAGTGCCCTCTGTCACAAGCAAGCCAGACACCTGGAGGTCACCCATGAGTCTCCACTTCCTGTTTCCCCTCAGTCACCACCCCTGTTGATTCTGCCTCCCAAATCACTCTCCACTCTTCCCCCATCACCCTTCTCCAGGGCCACACCCGTCATCTGCTCCTGTCTGGGACACTACTGCTCCTGAGCCTCCAATCCTCCAATTCTCCCAATCCTTCCCCATCAGCCTTCTCCAGTGCCACACTTTTCATCTGCACCTGTCCAGGCCTCTCCTGCTCCTGAGCCTCCAATCCTCCAATCCTCCAATCTTCCCAATCCTTCCCCATTACCCTTCTCCAGGGCCACACCTGTCATCCACACCTGTCCAGGACACTCCTGCTCCTGCGTCTCCAATCCTCCAATCCTCCCAATCCTTCCCCGTCACCCTTCTCCAGGGCCACGCCTGTCATCTGCACCTGTCCAGGCCTCTCCTGCTCCTGAGCCTCCAATCCTCTAATCCTCCAATCCTCCAATCCTCCCAATCCTTCCCCATCACCCTTCTCCAGAGCCACACCTGTCATCCGCACCTGTCCAAGACACTCCTGCTCCTGAGCTGCCTGAGCATTGTAGTTCTTCATGCATTTTGGAATTTTGCTTTACAGGTTCATAGAGAGTAGTGGGGGTTATGTTTGTCTGCCTTACTTTCATCTTTCTTCTTCCCTGTCTGGTTTACTGGGCACTTCTTCCCAACCCTCCAGCACTCCACACAGAAGCACAGAGCCAGGCTTCATGATGGCAGTGGAGGCTCCTGTGCCTCAGTCCCCTTACAGATCCCAGGGCCTGGCTGGGCCCCCAGGTGAAAGTCTCTTTCTGCATCTTCCCACTGACTTGCCTGTCTTGGCCCATGTGCAGCCCCAGTTGGCCCCAGCGAGTCTTATTTTGTGTGTTTGTTGCTGCCTTTTTCAAGTGGGGTGGAGGGGAGAGGGACAGCCCTGGCTTGAAGCCAGGAGGCCAGCCCCAGTCCTGCCATCCTGCAGAAGCTCTGAGTGCCATTAACCTGCGGGAGGTGAGCATCCAGCCCCTGCTGACTGCTGCCAGGCCCTGAGCCCAGGACACCCGTGGCTTCAGCTCTGTTCCCTGCAGCCGGCACATGAGGCCCCATGACGGGCCCCTAACCACCTTTCACACCACTTCCATCATCTTCCGCCAGCCCACTGCACCCAGCTCTGCTCCTGGCCTCATTGCCTTGGCTCCTGCTGGAAGCCCCTCCCCACTTCATCTTTTAAGACTCACATGGGAGTTACCTCCTCGGAGAAGCTCAATTGGATGTCTCTCCTCTGCACCGCCTAACTCACTGTGCACACTCAGGCCACTGTACTCAATGCACTATTTTCTATGTGTCTGTCTCCCTCTCTGGACCACCAGGCCCTTCAGAGACCTGTGCCTTATTCATGGCTGTGTCTCTGGCCCCGAGCACAGCCCCCAGCCTAGAGGAGCAGGTTCATAAATGATACTGCATGAATGCACACATGTCGGTCCTCCCATCAGGAGCCACTAGAGATCCCCAGGGCCCTCCCTGCCTCAGCCTCATGTGTGGATTGTGCCACCTCCACACCCCCTGCTCTTCAGTACCAGCTGAAATGCACCCCTGACAGTGCCGTCCTGGCACGCTCCCCCTGGGCATTTTGCCATTCTCCTAGGAGAAATCATTCAAAATGGCCCCTCCACCTTCCTGCCTGGACATCTGAGTGGACATCTCGGGTAGAATCCCAGAGCTCCGAGACAGCCTGGGCTCACCATGGAGGGAGAGGAAACTCTGGGAGCAGGAAGGAAGACAGCTCCTGGGTCAGAGGCAGGGTTGGCTAATGGAGAGGACCCTGCCAGAGGCCAAGGTGAGGTGGCACAGCCCACTCATCACATTCTGCCCCCCACGCAGGCAGCCCACATGTGGGCAAGGACAGACACTACCCGAGGGGCTGCTCCGGCTGGAGGGCACCAGAGACAGGTGACAGCCCCTGCAGACCCTCCTTCATGGGGCAGGAAACAGAGAAATGGTGGCATTCAGACGCACAGTGTGGAATAGCAGCTGCTCGGGCTGGGGCGGGGGTGTGAGTGTAGCCAGCAAAGGCCTCTCTGAGAAGGTGGGCTTTGTGCTGAGACCTAAAAGATGAAGAAAGCACCATGCATGGAGGTCCAGGGGAAAGCAGCCCACAGGACCCAGTGGGAAGGAACCAGTAGGTTAAAGAGGTAGACAGAAGTGGAGGCAGCTGGAACATAGAGAGGAAGGCCAAGGGCACCTAGTGGGACCCGAGTACAGGCAGAGATGGCAAGAGTCGGGGCATGGTCAGGACTCCATGCTGTTGGAGTCAGGGGTCTTGCTCCGGGGCCTCCTGGAGGGGCACAGAGACCTGCCATGAAGCCATTGCTGCCTCCAGGCACATGGGGGACCCCAGCCACAGGGAGGGCAGCCCAGCCGGGTGACAAATATGTCTCCAAGGGGCAGCTGGCAGCTGTGGATGCTCAGAAGTGGCATAGGAGGAAGTGTACTGTCACCATGAGCAGAGCCAGAGTCCCGGGTGCGTGGTCACATGATCCTGAGATGGGAAGGAGCAGGGTCCAGGAGGGGGACATGTCAGGAACTCCATCGAGACACTGAGTGGGCCACGGAGGCAGGAGCGGGATTGGAGGGAGGGGACCTGGCTACAGATGTGATTTTGAGGCACAGAGGTGGCTTTGAAAGGCACAGGAGACCCCAGGAGTGTATGAGGGTGGAGACGCTCTGCGGGCAAGGCCTGTGGCCCCAGCCATGGGCTCTGGTGGGACCTGAAGACCCCTTCCACCAGGAGCCAAGGTCTCTGGAGCTCGTCCCCTGCCTGCACTCCTGAAACGCAGACACCGCCTCTGGGAATAAGGAAGCCAGCCACCCACCCCGGAGGCTTCCGACAGCAATTGAGCTGCACAGCTGCCAGCCCTTGCACGCTCTTTAGGAACTGCAATTGATGCCCAGGCTGGGGTCTAATTGCTGGCCTGTTGCTGTGATCTCAGAAAAGGATGCCACCCGTGGGGGAGCCGAGAGTGTGAGGCTCGCCGCCTTCCCCAGATAAAATGAAGGAGGTTTTCTCTCTCCTCCTTTGAATGGTCTGCAGGCAGGAAACCAGCAATTATGCATCAAAGCGTCGGCGTTGATGTGGCTGGGACTGGTGGTGGAGGACTTACTCCTGAACACAGTCTCCAGCAGCACTGTTAGGAGGGCCTGGGTCACGCAGTCCAGCTCCCCCTCACCACATCTTAGAGAACCAGAGCTGTTGCCTGGACCCACGCGGCATGGGGAGCCAGCTGTCAGCTGCAGCCTCCGCCCCCCAGCGGTGCCACATGCACCCAGAGACTGAGGATGCAGTGGACGGGGTCTGATTCTTGGGTTGGAGCTCTTAGGACAGAGGAGGGGCAGTGCCCACGGGTGATAAGGGGGCACTGCTGTGTGGGCTGAAGCACCAGAGGCCTAGCTGGGAGCATCCTCTGAACCCAGGTCCAGACTCCAATGCTCCTAGAACCAGCAAGCCCAGGCTGAGGTGTATCCCCAACCAGCCCAGCCTCTCCACTCCACCCCCATCAGCATGGGGGCCCCAGGAGCAAGCCCAGCCCCCACCAAGAGGATGAGCCCCTGAGGATGGCGCCCTGGCCAGGCGTTACGGCAGACAAGGGAAGAGAACATGTAGGAGGATGAGATGGACAGCGGCGGGCTGTGGCACCCCTGGCCCCCAAGGCCAGGCTGCACCCGGGTCACCGCCCCTGCGTCCCCACCATCCCCCAAGGCCATGCTGCACCCGGGTCATGGCCCCCACCTCTCCTTTCAGCAGTGGGGCCTTGTGAGACCCTCTGGGGAGGAGGCACCTTGCTGGCATCTCCATCATTACCAACTCCAAGCTCCGTGCCTCCCCCACCCACAGGCAGCCTGGAAGGAAAGGATGGGTCGAGGGCTGCTCGTGGGAGAGGGTGACCCAGACTGAAGGTGTCGTCCACGAGGCTGGGCAGGAGCAGCAGCAGTCAGGGCTGGCCCAGCCTGGGACTCCAAAGCCAGGCTCCAGGCCATCAGCCCGACACTCTCTAAGACACATGCAGCCTCCAGTTCCGCCGAGGTGTCCCCTAGGATTTGAACCTCTCCAGTGCTCAGGGCAGAATAACCCAGCACTGGGTCCAGAGTCTATGCTGGGCCCTTTCATTTATTTGTTGGCTCACAGACTCAAAAGCAGCTGTTGACTTTCCAGCCCACTCTGACATGTGCAAGCTCTCTCTGTGGTGAGCTGAGTGGCCTCCAGCCGTTCCCTCGAACCTCTGTGAGCCTCATTCCATCGTCAAGTTTCCCTTGAACCTCTGTGAGCCTCGTTCCATTGTCGAGTGGGGACTATTATAGCCCCTCATGGGGTTGTTTGGAAAATTAAACGAAGCCCTATGTGTGTAAAACACCTCACAATATTCATTCCTGCCACGACTGCAGCTGCTGTCACCACTAGATCGCTGAGTACTCCCTAAGTCCCCAGCACAGGTGCAGCTCACTCACCACGAGGATCTCGTGGGGACCCGCAGCCACCCCGCACCCACGCGCATGGGGCCTGAGCCTCAGAGACGGGTTAGAGAATCACACAGCAGGCGGGAGCAGGGCTGGGCTGCAGGGCAGTTCACACCTAGACGGTGAGGCTTGCCATCCACTCACTCAGTAACCACCCACTACATACACACAGCCTGCCCGCCCTGGGTCACCCTACCCACTGCCGTGCCCACCAACAGCAGGTCATTCTGGATGGGCCCCAGGCTGAGACCAGGAGAGGCCAGCCTGGGAGACCTGGAGTACAGGACACGAACGCTGTTAATTCTTCACCCAACAAGAGTCCCGAGGACCCCCTTCCCCGCCACCTGCCGAGTTCCATCTCAGCCTGTGATTGACTCACAATTTCTAGACTGCCCTGTCAGGGGCCTGCCTCAGAAGGAGAAGCACACAGCTTCCCTTGTGTCTGTGTTCAGGCCCGCACAGTTTCCAGACCCCGCCCTTCAGCCATAAACACCCACTCTGCACACCCAACCCTGCCCAGGGAGGATGAAGTCTCGGTGAAACCCCTGTTCATAGCGGGATTATCTGGGAGCACGGCCTGCATCGGAGAGGCCAGGAGACTGGAGAGAGAGGGAGCTCTGCTGTGGGCTGGGGCGGCCTGGGGGCAGGAGCAGGGAAAGTCACAGCGGGGTGGGCATGGTGAAGTGTTTACCAGCCCTGGGCAGAGGGAGAAAGCACCTGGCTGTGGGCACGGCTCATTCCGTGGCTCCTGGTGAGGGCTGCCCCCAGCAGCCGGTGCCCGTCCTGCTCCAATCACCAGCACAGCTTGGCTTTGGCAGCTCCACAGCCGGCAGCCCCACTCTTCTCCCAGCTCCTGTCTGCCCATAGCAGTGTCACCTTCCAGGTGGCGCCAGAATGAGGACAGCCCAGCACAGCAGTTCCGCGTCTCCCACCCCCGGGTCGGCTCCTGGGTCCGCGGCACAGGCGGACAGCCCAGCGCAGCAGTTCCGTCTCCCCCCGGGGCTCCTGGGTCCGCGGCACAGGCGGACAGCCCAGCGCAGCAGTTCCATCTCCCCCCGGGGCTCCTGGGTCCTCGGCACAGGCGGACAGCCCAGCGCAGCAGTTCCGCGTCTTCCGCCCCTCGCTGGGCTCCTGGGTCCGCGGCACAGGTGTCAGCCTTATTGATTTCTACGACCCTGGTGCTCACCCCACGTGGGACTCATCAGGGTTGACTGGATGCAGGCAGTGAATGCTCTGAGCCACACCTGCCTTGTCCTTCTACATGAGCCTCAAAACAGTTACTGGGATCTTTGTCCCCGTGGACAGAAACAGTCAGGGAAGAGCTGGAGGGATTTGCCTGGGGTCGCAGGGCCAGCTAGGGGAGAGCCTGCACTCGAAGCCACCTCACAACCTCAGCTCCCGGGAGACATGCAGGACCACAGGTGCCACACAGAGAAAGAAGGCAGGTGCCTGCCCAGGGACACTCAGCAACACATGGGAAGAGTGTTCTCACTCAGAATAAGCCAATGCCCAGGCAGAGAGGGAGGCCACTCCAGGGGAAAATTGTCTGGGCTGGAGGCAGGCCAGTGTCTGAACTCCGTGGGACCAACAGGGGTCAGGCACCATGGTCGCAGGCCCCATGACCAGGTGGCGCTGACCACCAGATCCAACCCCCGTGATAACATGTCACTCTCCTGGTACCTCAATGTGGGAGAGAGATGCTCTCCCCTGGGAGGAGGCAAGTCCGGCCCTTTCCTGTCCCACCCCCAGGCCAGGGAGAGTGCAGGAATGAAAGGCAGCGGCGAGACTGGCAAAATGAGGGCTGGACAGGGGGAAATGGTGCCTCCGGGGCTGTGATTCCCGGCGCTGCTGGCCACATCATGCCATTTTTCCAGGACCTGTCAGCTTAGGGAGGCAGGGTGCATGCTGCTTCAGCCAGCATGGGGTCAGGCTGGTCCCCCAGAACCAAGCATCCTGCCTCACCCTGCACTCTTACCACCTGTCCCTGGCCAAGTCCAGGCAGGGAGCAGGTGGACTCAGGGCTCAGCCAGGGCGTAGCCTGACCGGAGAGAGAGGGGAGAGGGAGCACCGTCTGCGAGGCGAGGCCTGTGTCTGCAGGCCACCTGCCACTCGGCAGGACCGCCATCCTGCTCACCCTTGACTCAGGATCCTGACCTGCAGAGCGGTGATGGGAGCCCTGACTTCACAGGGGATTCCTGGAGCAACACAGGACAGCACTCGGGACTGTGATGTAGAAACGGGCCCACCAGGTGACGGTGAGGGCAGGCAGGGGCGGGAATGAAGGCCCAGAGAGTCGGCCAGGCCACCCCTGGAGAGACCTGCCTCAGGCGCCATTTTTCCCAGGGGTGTGGCTGACCTGTGAACCCAGTCGGGATCCACGTGGCATGCCCTGATTCTGGAGGGTTCCCAAGGTGGATGCGTGGATTCCCTTTCTTGGTGCAGCCCTGGGGCCTGGTGCTGGGCAATTCAAGTTGCCTGTGCACTGAATGGGGTCAGCTCCAGGGCTGCTGGGTGGCAGTGGCATGAGGAGGGTGAGGAGTGTCAGGAGGTTGACCAGAAGGATGTGGCGGCCCTGGCTCAGGGGGCGTTGGCAGCACAGCTGGGGGTGTTTCGGTCTGGGCCATGGTGACGCCGGAGCTGGCCATGGTGATGGAGTTGCCGAAGGTGACGGTGGGAAGCGGAATGTGAGAAGGACGAGTGTTTCGGGGCCCCAGCCCTCGGGGGTCCTTCCCGGTCCTGTCTGCCTGCAGAACTTGTCAAGGTCTGGGGAGCCGCTCCAGGTCCAGTGTGGCATCTGGATCCAGATCACCACAAATAGGACCAACAGGGCAGGGGTATGTTCATCCCCACTCTATCCCACGGCACCGCGTGGATCTGAAGATAAACACTGTTAAAAATAGGGATGAGTCAGGAATCTTCTTCCCTCTAGCAGAGTCTCCCGGACAGATGGCGGAACCTCTCTGATGGATTAGAGGCTGTGCCGCCCCTCCCGGCTCCTCGTGGCCCAGTGAGACTCATCTTCTCTCGGCATTATTTTTTAAAGATTATTTTTAGCATTCTTGGAAAGATCTGACTTCAAACAAGAAACCAGAGCGGCCTCCACTTTGCTCATTCTGTCTGTCCTGGACCCGCACCATCCAGCAGGGCGGCCACCAGCCGTGGGTGGCCATTTAAACGTAAGTGTAAGTAACAGAGACAACGTTCGCATTCCGTTCCTCCTGGCTGAAAGTGCACAGGCGCACACGTGGCCGGCAGCTGCTGTGTCGGACGGCACAGCCGTGGAAGGCTCACGTCCTTGTGGAATTGCCCCTGGACGGCCTGCTGTGGACATCCCACTCAGCCACAGGGACCCAGCCTCTGCCTCCAAGGCCTAGAGGGGCCCTGGCAGGTTTGTCTGAGTCATCCCTCCAAGAACCATGTCTCAGTTCTTCGGGGGCGGTCAGGAGGAGCATGGCATCTGGCCTATTCCCATCAGGTGCGCGGGAAGCCCTTGGGCATTCCCCAGTTTCTGCCAATCTCGCCAGGCCCGTCGCTGGGTGTCTCAGAGCCTTCCTTTCTGCCAGGTCACCCTAACAAAGATTCACCTTTCACCATGGCAGGGTGGCCAGCAGTGGCAGGACTCAGCAAGCACACCCGCCCGTTGCACAAGGGATTTCAGTGTGTTAAACCCCAAAGAGGCTCTAAGAGGAGTCATTTCAGGCACCGACAGGAAATAAGGAAACGTTTCCGGTGAGCCTTTTAACCCACCTTCTGATCAAGTCATCTGTGCTTTGAGTAAAATGCTAGACCGGCTGCTCATGTATTCTCACCCTGGGTATTTCCCAGCGGCAGCTGTGCCCCAGGCTCTGCATCGGATGCCGGGATACACAAAGCGACACCAGGCGTGGCCCCCAAAGCCCAAGTACACAGTCCGGAGCTGGCTGAGGGGCGCAGCCTCCCAACCCCCTCTTCTACGAGCGAGAACAGGAAGGCTGTAGAAAGAATGATTAGATGAGAGGAGCTGACACACAACAGAGGGGCTGTCTCAGTCACCAAGGGGAGGGGTCCCGGGCCCTGTCTCTGGAGGTGGGAGTAGGGCTAGGTCAGGAAGCCCATCTGTCAAGGCTGTGGGGTGCTGAGCCCCTACCGCGCCCCAAGGCGTCCCTGCTAATGTGTGCCATGAATCACCCGCTACTCACAGATCCCAGTAACACACTTGGACTGAGCAAGCTCCACTATGTACTGGGCCTGGAGATAAGAAGGCAGCTCAGATGCACCCACAGACGGCTCACTGACCAGCCCAGAGGAGGGGCGGCAGCTCTCCTGAGTGCCTGGCAGCTGCTGTAAGTCTCATGGGCTACAGCCAAGGTGTGGGCCAAGGCTGTGGTCGTCTCAAGGCTCCACTGGGGAGGCTCTGTCCAGGCTCACCCACACGGCTGCTGACAGGATTCAGCTCCCCGTGGACTCTCAGACTGAGGCTTCACCCCTCTCTGGCTGCTGGCCAGAGGCTGCCCCTCCGTGGAGCAGCCAACTGCCTGGTGGCCACTTTGTCATAGCAAGTAATCCAAGGACAAGGAAGGGAAAGGCAGAGTCCTGGGGATTTGGAACCTAACCTGGGGAACATCCCTTCACTCTGGCTGTTTTCTGCTGGTGAGAAGCCAGTCACTGGGTCCAGTCCATCCTCAGGAGAGGATCACACAAGGACGTTAATGCCAGGAGTGGGGATCACCAGGACCATGCCAGGAGTGCCTACTATAGATATTGTCTGTCCTCATTCTACACATGGGGAAACTGAGGCCCAGAGATGGCGAGTGATCCACCCACAGTTGCACAGCTGGATACTGCAGATCTGGGATAGGAACCCCATCCAGGACTGTTTATCACCTCCAGATACCCATGAGGCCCCGTGGCAGCTTGAGCTGTCACTCTCGGAACACAGATCCACAGCTTAAAATGAGAAGCAATGTCTCCTGGTGCACACGCGGCCCAGGCAAAATGTAAGAGATTTCATAAATATGTAAATCACCTGGTCCGTCCCCAAGGAGGGAAGCACAGGCGCTTCTCCTCCTGCCTCGCCTCACGTCCCATCCACTTCACAAATGCTCTAAGAGGATCAGAGACAGGCTTTTTAAATGAAGTGAGAGTTGGACAAGGAACATAATCTCCCTGGGGTGGGTGGCCGCCCCGCCTCATTATTAGCCTTTCTGGTGCTGCGCCCATGGCATGGGAGCTCTGGGCCCCCAGGGGATGGGATGCACTTCAGTTCTGCATTCCCGGCAAGGCTGGGAAGGGTCCCAGAAGGCTTGGAAGGCATTGGCCCAGCCTTCAGAGTTGACAGATGAGGAAACTGAGGCCCGGGTGGTGCTATGACTTATGAAGAATAGAAGGCAGCTTGCTGCAGAGTGAGGCCTGGCGTCTATGTCTTTTGGCTCTGATCTTCCTTGCCATTATGTTAAAACAGAGATCCCCTAGCTCAGCTGAAATGCACCTGTCTCTAGAAGGCCCCAACTCATGCAGTGCTTTTCTACCTGTCATCTTGGTTCATCTTGCCGCCTTCACGTTGTCCAGGTGAAATAGGAAGATCGTCTCTACGTGACCAGTGCAGACATGGAGCCAGCATGGCTGGGCTGATGTGGGCCCTGCACTCAGGCCTCGAGGCTTTTTACACAGTCAAAAGTGAGAATTGGCCTGGAAATGAAGGCAGCGTTCTCTGGGTGGAAGCCAGGGCCCTCCATTCTGTCCCCAAATCATTTTCACTGCCCCATTTCCCACCTGGAGCCCCTCCACAAACTCCCACCCAAGCATGCTGGTCTGCCCTGACCCCACTATCTGCTCCGACCTCCCAAAGAGCCTGTACCTGTGCTCTTCTCAGCCCTGGGAGCTCTGTCCCTCCTGTCCGATACACCAGTGTCCTTGTGGTTCTACCCAGCACCAGTCCTTCTGCTCCAGCAGCCCAGCCACCCAGCCTGCCCCTTCCACCTTGCCACCCCCTTGGCCCTTCTGCAACCGGCACAGCAGCCGACCTCTGTGCGAACCCTCCCATCTTGCCTCGTGTTCACCGACTGAGAGCTCAAAGGGGACGGGAGAGTAAAAGTCGGTGCCAGGCGCTCCCTGGGGCTTCCCACCAGCCGATGGATTTCCACTCACAGCCGTGGCTTGCGGTCTCCCTCTTGCCCAGGGTACACAGCGTTTCTGAGGGTGGGTGCTGGACGTGCAGTGGAACGCTTGCTCAAGGAGAATGGAACACACAGCCCCGAGACTCAGCCTCGGGAAGCCTCACAGCCCTGGATGCCCAGAAGCAGCATCCTCCGGCAGCCCCCAGTGGCAGCCACAATGAAGAGTGGGGACAGCGGTACCAGGAATGCACCAGGTTCAGGGTCACACAGACCAAGTCTCAGACCCTCAATCTCCCCCTCCCATTCATGCTCTTATTCCTTGTTCAATAAGACTCATCTCAAGCCTGTAATCCCAGCACTTTGGGAGGCCGAGGCGGGTGGATCACGAGGTCAGGAGATCGAGACCATCCTGGCTAACATGGTGAAACCCTGTCTCTACTAAAAGTACAAAAAAATTAGCCGGGCGTGGTGGCGGGTGCCGGTAGTCCCAGCTACTCTGGAGGCTGAGGCAAGAGAATGGCGTGAACCTGGGAGGCGGAGCTAGCAGTGAGCCGAGATCGCGCCACTGCACTCCAGCCTGGGCGACAGAGCGAGACTCCATCTCAAAAAAAAAAAAAAAAAGAAAAAAAAAAACTCACCGAGGACCTACACCTGCTGTGGGCTGCTGGGAAGTTGGAGGTGAACAAAACAGATACAATCTCCACCCATCTGGAGCCTGCAGTCTGTGGGAGAGGCGCTGATCCTATAAAGAAGTGTGTAAACACATAAGGCACATTTCAGCAGCCGCATGGCAGACGGGGCAGGGAGCCCAGAAGGACAATGGGGGAGTCCAGGCTACAGGGGCGGGGCAGGCCCCTCCGAGGACGGGGCACGTCCGCAGAGAGCTGAGACAGCAGAGTCAGCCGGGGCGGCAGCAGAGGGAGTGCATCCACACACAGACAGGGACAAGGCTGAGGTGGACATGTCACCAAGAGGAAGGGCCACCAGACAAGCCCCGAGGCCCTGCAGGCCACGGAAGGCGCTTCTGAGGAGTAATTTGACCTGAAGGAAGTAAGGACCCCTCTCCAAGTCCCGCTTTTCTCACCTACAAAATGGAAAGTCTGGACTGAGGTTGGATGCCACCACGTGCACGAGGCACCTGGCTGGGCAACTTTATCCTATGTGGGGGACACCCATCCCCTCTGCACCAGGCCCAAGCTCAGGAAGCTAGATTTGCCTCCTTGAGCCCTGGCAAGCTCTGGGCTGCCATGAGCCCTCTGGTGAGCCCCATCACGGATCTGAGTGTCTCCTCTCCCACCGACTGGCATGGAGCAGCTGCCACAGAATCTCACCCAGTCCAATAACATGCACGGGACCCAAAGCACTTTCCACAGCAATGCAGTGAAGATGTGGGTTTCCATGTGGGGCTGTGTGTCCCAGCAGGGGTGGAGGCCCAGGAGCAGGACCAGGCTGGGAGCCCATGGCTGACATAGGGACCCCCCACACAGCAAGTGGGTCTGAGCCCCACTTCTGGGGATGGACAGTACAACCGGGGCCAGCCAGGGGCCATGGGGTGTGGGTGGACAAACCTGAGCCTCCCTTTTCTGGTCCTGCAGATCAGGCAATAATACCCACCCTGCAATATTGCTGTGAGAATTAAATGAGAAAATATATGCAGAGAAATTGCAGCTGTGTAATAGTAGGTGCTGAGCTAATAGCAGCAAAAGTGAGATTCTATTTGCCTTGGAGTCCTGGCTGGAAGTTGATCCCCTTGCCCTGGCCTTGCCTGGATTCTGTGCAGAGCAGGGGCTCCGGGCCTGAATCCCAGGGAGCACAGAGCCAGCATCCTCCTCCCTAGGCCCATTCAAAGCTCCTTGCCTCTCATTGGTTCTCACTGAGTCACATGCCCATCTCTCGACCAATCCCTGTGGCCATAGGAATGTGACTCTGTGATTGGCTGCAGCCTGGGTCACCTGTTCCAGGGCAAGTTTAATTCCTCCCAAATCACAGGGCTGAGAGTGGGGGAGGGAAACAGAGCAGGTGGAAGCCAGAGGAACGCTGTCCACGCATGGCCAGGGGCTCATGGGGAGGATGCCAGCCTCCACTGGGCCCAGCCTCCCCTGCACACCCTCCTCTGACTCCTCCATACACACCCTGCCCACCCCCGGGGTGAAAGGAATGCATCCTGAGTCAGGCTTACTTCACTTAGCACACAATTCGCTTGACTTAATCACTCCACAGTGTATTAAAAAAATCGCGACATCACTTTGTACCCCATCAATATACAATAGTAGAATTCATCAAAATATAATGCTTAAAAGAGATGGGGGCTGAGGGGACACCGGAAAAAGAGCCAGGAGTCTCCCAGCTCCAGCCTGGTGTGTTTGCACAGGGAAAGGGAGGCCAGAAAGGAAAAGGAACCAGCTCAAGGTCACACAGTGAGTTCAGACCAGAAAGCAGAGCTGGATTCTCTCCCTGGGCCCTGGGACAGCAGGAAACCTCCGAGCCCAGCCGCGCTCCCTGGCTGCAGGCTTCAGGCAGCAGGAGAGACTGCGGCCCCAAGCCTGGATGCCTCTGAAGGCTGAAATCTGCTCACACCGCGACCCTTTGGAGTGAAGGTTTGGGAAGCTGGCAGTGCAGGTGGGAGGCGACTGTGTGAGTCATTCCCCAAGGAAACACAGAGCACAGAGCTGGAGGAGGAGAGGAAGGAGGAGGAGGAGGGGGAGGAAGAAGAACAGAGGATGAGGAAAGGAGAGGCAGGGGACCGAACCTGGAGATCCGCAACATGGCAGCCTTCAGGCCCCACCCTGTGACATCGCAGAGGCGCAGAGAGGACAGAGGGGGCTGCCTCAAGGTCACGCCTAGAAGTCCCCCATCTTCAAGGGCTGCAGCTGGTGGGTCTGGGCAGGCAAAGGAGAATGATGTCTGTCTTTGCTTCCAGGGGGATAAAGATGTGGGAACCAGGAGAGGGATGGAAATGGACGGGGTGGGCAAGGCAGGAGCTGGGGAGGGCACCCCATGGGCAGGGGCTCTGGAGAGCAAGGTCCCGATGCAGGCACTGGGGTGTGTGCCTGGAGAGCCCACAGCGCTTAGGGTGATCATGCCCCTCTTCCAGATAGAGAAGCTGAGGTTTCTTGAGACTTGGTTGTTTGCTGGGCTGTGAAGATGCCCCAAATTAGATTAACCTCTCTGGTCTCCCTCAAGTGACTCCAGAAATTCACTTGGATCTTCCCAAGCTGGGAAGACACAGTGTGCGTTTGTGTTGGGGTGTGGGGATCTACCCATTTCTCTGGACAGGACAGCGTTGGCGGGGTGTCAAGCAGGGCTGAGCACCCAGCTCCAAAGGCCACCTGGGGTGCTAAAGGGAGGACCCCCGAGGACCAGTCCATCACCATTGAAATCCAGGCTTGGCAGAATCACTTGCAAAACAGAGCATATGTCCCAAAAGAGCAGAAACTGACTACCTGAAAATACCAGGGCCCTGCTGCACTAGGAAGGTACAGGCAGGATGGATGGGCCTGGGGTCAGGGTGGAGTGGGGATACTGCAGCTGAGAGGCCTTGTGACACCCGGCAGAGCTTGGGGATATGAGATAGGACGAGTGGGGGCTCTGCCCCGCATCGGCCCCTCCTTACCTCCCTGCAAAGCTTCTGGGAATGGGCGCAGCCCCAGGACAGTTGGGGGAGGGGAAGCTGAGGCCATGTAGCCTCATCCAGGGAAGTGAGACAGGTGCTGGGGAACTGCCCACACTCTCTCCTTCTCCAGGAAGGCAGAGCATCTCTGGATCCATTCCCCCTCCCTCAGTGCCCTCTCCCCTTGCCTGGCTGAGCCTTCTTATGGGCAAAGGAACCAGCCTCGCCCCTGGCCTCCCTGCCTCCACTCTGGGGCTCCCAAGGGAGCCCTCAGAAGCACAGATTTGGAGAGCTCACAGTTCCTGAGCTCACACCGCATGCCAGACTCTCTCACTTCTGGCCAGGGGTTATTAGACCTGGTTGCTGATGAGGATGCAGGGCCCGGTGACTTCCCCTCAAGTCACATGGCTTGGGAGGGCAGAGCAGGGACGAGTCCCTGGAGGCAGCTCCAGATCCAGTACTGTTACCACGTGCTGGGTAGGTAGAGAGCCCTCTTCGTTGAGCCCTGCAGGCCAGCCACCCCAGGTCCCACTGCTGCAGCCCCTGACCAATTCTCCCTGACGTGACGCAGACCTTCCAGGGACCCAGCTCCATCTTCCCATCCCCCGTTCTCCCAAGCCCACTCACCCTGCTCATGGACCCTGTTCTCCAGCCTTTGCCTGAGCCACTTCCTCCCTCTCCATGCTGCCTCCTCCATTTCACAATTCTGGGATGAAGACCCCGCCCAAATGCCAGCTCACTCAGGCAGGCAGTGAGTATTAATGAGCACCTAGTATCTGCCAGAAGCTGTCACTCCTCAGGGGGCAGGGCAGTAAAGAAAGAAGAGAAGTAGAGCGAGCCGCTCGGCAGTCAGCGAGGCTGGGCTGAGTGAGCAAGAGCAGGCACCTTGCAGGCGGGGAGAGGGGCTGGGGCTGCGGCCGGCCAGGCCATGGGCGATGACATGTGGAGTGCCCCGCTCAGTTTATGTTTTCAAAAAAGGAGCCTGGCCATCACTGGTGAAGGGACTGGAGGGGCAGAGAGTTGGGGGAGGGAGCCAAGGCAGCCAGGGGATTGCTGTCATCCCTGGGGAGGGTCCATGGTGGCCAGGCCCCGGGTAGCAGCAGCTGGGAGGCAGAGAAGTGGGCACCATCGAGAGACATTCAGAATAAAATCGGCAGGACTTGGTGGTGGCTGGAAGGAATGGGAAGCCAGGAGAAGGTGCCAGGAAGGGCTGTCCCAGTTTCTGGCCTGAGTGAACTCTGAGGTGGGGAGGACCTGGGCCAGGAGCAAGAGCACTGTGACTGCCCCTGTGCTCATGAGAAGGGGGAAAAGACTTCCCCGAGCCAGCGCCTCTCGGACTCCCGGGCTGGAAGAAGCCCGCTCTGTGGTTCAGGCCCTGAAGCCTGGCTCTCACGTGGCAGTCACCGCTCATCGCCTTAGCTTCCGGGCAGCGACTCCGCAGTGGGCTGCTGCCATATCCCACCAGCAGGGCACCGATTTGGGCTTGCGGGACAGTCTTGTTCACCACAAGTGTCTTCCACTGGACTGGAGGCCTGAAGCCAAGTCCAGCCCCTCCCGCCTGTGTTCTCCGGGGCCATTCCCCGGCTTCCCAGGCTGAGGGCCAGGCCACTGGCACCGAGCAGGAGTAGCCCCGCCGGCCCCTTTCTGCTGCTGACAGCTGGGCCTGTGCATCACCCTTCACCCCTGTGAGCTCCGGGGCGCAGCTCACCCCCCACTCTCCAGGGCCAATTAGGAAACCAGGCAGATGCGGACTTCAAAGGCACTTTGAAAACTCCACATTAGTATAAAGCTATGAATCAGTTTATGTTTCAGATTAAATGCCTTGGGCTTGTCAGCATCCTGGAGATGTGAACTTAACACAAAACCTCTTTATAGCCAGGAGGGCTGAGTTCAGAGGGGCCAAGCATCTTCTCCAAGGTCAAACAAAAGTGGAAAGCAGGGCTGGAACCAGACCCCAGTCTCCCAGGCCGGTGGCCGGGTACCTTCAGCATCACCCAGAAATACATGCAGATTCCTCCCCAGGATCGACTCGCTGAGCGCCACGGCCGAGCTTGGAAACCCACCCAGCTCTCCTTCTGCAGCCTGGGTAATTAGGCACAAGAAGCACAAATACTTTGTTCAGATGCTGGGAAGTGGAAATTTTCTAGTCTGTTAGGCAAATTCTCCTTTTCTCCTTTTACATTTTTTTTTACCCCAACAGGAAAAGACTTTTCACTTGGAATCCTTCCGATGCAGATGTGTGAAGACTCTGGTAGCGACATCTCGGGGACTGAGCATCTTCTATTGATTGGAAAAACACACACAGCACCAGTGAGTTTGCAGAGCACACGCCGCATTTTTCAGGGTTTGGGCAGGCGGAAAGCCAGCCGCGGGGCCTCAGCGCCCCCTGGGAGCCATAGCCGGTAGTGCTCCCTGACGGAGCAGAAGGAGCCCAGCGGGCGGCTGGGAGGGAGGGAAGCCGGGCACCCTCAGAGGCAGGCAGCCCTGCGGGAGGCTCGAAGAAGAGCCACGCACGCCCAGCCCTGCCAGTGCATCCCTGTGTGGCTTTGGGCAAATCACATCACCTCCCTGGTCTCCAGCTTCCCCACTGTAAACTTGGGGTACAGCCTGTGTGCACCCCACGGCCTTTGGAATGGGCTGTGTGACCTCCTGCAAGCCACGAACCTCTCGGTGCGTCACGTTCTTGGCAGGGACAGCTGCCCACCCGCGGAGCGGCTGGTAGAGCTGCAGCAAAAAATGAGCAGCCAACTGCCACGCACAGGTCTCTTTGAATTTGATCGATGGACACAGCCCAGCCTCGGGGGCCCCTCTGGGTTCGACCAGCAGGCAGGAAAGACACAGGAACAAGGACCAAAGACGACCTGGAGTCTAAGCACCAAGGACAGACGGGTGTCCCTGGCAGGAGCCTGAGCTGCGGGAACCAGGGGCCTCGGCTGTGAGTCCCTGCCCTTCTTCCTCTGGGGGATCCCCTCTGCTGCCCAGGACAGCTTGCCAGCCACCTGCTCCAGAAGCCTCCTGGCCCCATTGTGAGCCCTTCATCAGGCCGAGTGGAGGACCGTCACCGTGGGTAGGGAGAGGAGCAGCCGGAGCCCAGGTGTGCAGAGCCCAAGGCCAGAGCTCCTCATCCACCACTGTGGCTGGCGGGAGGGGGCCCTGAGATTGGCCCATCCCCAGGAAGACAAGAGGATTGGGGTGCGGACAGGGCTGGGGAGGTATGAGAGTTCCAAGAGGGTGGTTTGCAGAGGGGAGGTAGGAGAGAAAGACCAGGGCATGTGGCAGGAGAGACACAGCCATCCCTGAGGGAGGGGCGGTTCCCTGCTGTCTGATGCCCAGGGCCCCTCCGCCACCCAGCTTCCCTGCCTGTCCCTCCGCATCCTGCCCTGTGTGGAGTCACCATGCCCAGGAATGCAGAGTTAGGTGCAGCCAGGGGACAATGCACTTGGGGTCAGTGTCCGGCAGCAGGGGTCAGCGTCCGGCAGCAGGGGCTTCCTTGACCCGACACAGCCCATGGCTTTGGGCACGCCAGCTCCTCTTAAGGTACAGCCTTTGGAACTGTGAGGCGGCACCTGGTGATGTGTTGAATGTGGCAACAGCAGTGGTAGCCGGGGCTTTCTGGGCTCTGCCAAAGTCAGGGATCACCACCTGTCACTCC
This sequence comes from Homo sapiens, assembly GCF_000001405.40. NCBI lineage: Eukaryota > Metazoa > Chordata > Mammalia > Primates > Hominidae > Homo > Homo sapiens. The sequence continues at coordinate 141,725,822 of NC_000008.11, read as the reverse complement.
TCCGGCCTCCGCATGGGGTCCCCGAGCCCACCCCCTGCTTCATCCCTGGTTTTCCTGTGAGGAAACCAGGCACACAGAGGCCAAGCCGCAGAGCAGCTGCAGAGGGAGGGAGGTGGGCGGGACTCGCTGACTGTACATCAGGCTCTGCCAAGCTCATGAAACACTGGCTGTTACCGTGGCCAGTGTTGTCCTTCCTCTGCCTGGCCTGCAGGGAGCTTGCAAGACTCCAGTAGCCAGAGTCCTTTCGACCCCCTGAAATGGCCACACAAGCAACGGCAAGGCCTGGCTGCATACAGCACCTGGGATACAGTGGCTGGGCCCAGCAGAGTGAGTCCAGGCCAGGACCCACCAGGTGAGGGGCACCCAGGGGTCCTGTGAATGACATCTCCAAGGAAGGCAGGAAACAGCTGAGTCAGGAACCAGTAGAGGTGTGAGGTCCTGGCAGGCAGAGCCCAGCAGGAAGAGCTGGTTCCAGCAGCCCTGAAGGATCCCTGGAGGGTCCAGAAAGGGGAAGGTCCCTAGGAGGAGGCAGAGACTCCCGAGGGAGCAGGAGCCCCCAGGCCTGGGCTGCTGGATGGAGTGAGCAAGGTGGCTTGGAGGCTGGCAAGGGGCAGGCGGTGGTCCCAGGCTAGCAGGAGAGCACAGGAAGGGGTGGGTGGCGGGAACCTCGTGCCGTCCACAGATGGGGCTGTTGCTGCCTGGGAGAAGGGACAGGAGGAGTGAAACCCACAGGATGCTGTAAGGCACCAGGGCCATCTAGAGCAAACGGGCCGACCACTGGCCTGGCTGGGGCACATCTGGAAGGAACAGCTGTGTCCTAAAGGCTCAAAGGAAGCAGCCTGATGGTGGGGGCACTGGAGATGCCCGAGGGGGTTCAGCTTCAAGCCTGATCTGGGGAGGGAATTGTTCATGTCAGATTCCCCAGGGAGTGGCTGCCTACAGGGTGCGGCTTACAGCATGGGGCCCTGAGAGTGGCTGCCTGCGGGGTGGGGCTCACAGCATGGGGCCACGAGAGTGGCTGCCGGTGGCGGAGGAGCTTACAGCACGGAGCCCCGAGATGAACAGAGGTACCATTGATGATCAGTGGGTGCAAAGGAGCAGGGTGACAGGGAGGATCCCGTACCGGGATCCCAGTCCACTTCCGTCCTTAAGACATCCCGGGTCTCAGTCTCACCTATGAACTGGGTATACAAAGCATATGACCCCACGGCACCACTGGGTCCCCACAACAACCCTGCGGATTGGGTTGGGAAAATGATCCCATGTTACAGATTAGGAAACTGAGGCAGAGGCCTAGTTGCCTCTGATACTTTAGTGCACATGAGGTGCCCAGTCCTCACCCCAGCCTGCACTTTCTTGTGCTTGGAACTCGCATGGGTTCCCATCCCGGGAAGGGAGACCACGGGGGCCTGAGCACATTCTCCCATGTGTCAGGGACAGGGCCAGTGACTGGGCAGCAGCGGGGCCTAGCCCCATAGAGAGCCCAGCTGAGGACAGGGAAAGCTGGCCTGACCTTCGATGGGCCACAAGGGCCGTGAGCTCTCTTTCCACCCCGCTGTGCTCCTGCTGCTCTCTGCAGACGGGAAGCTCGAGCTCAGGCCTCTGCTTCGGAAAAGCCCAAGAAAGAACCCAAAGCAACAAATCGTCTCCTAAACAAGAGGCTGCCTGCCGGCGCCGGGGGCGGGCAGTGGGAGGGTGGGCTGTGCGTAAACCTGCCCCGGCGCCTGCAGTTACAGTGATTCAGGCCCCGAAAGGGCCGGTTTATTAAAAATCATCCCTCTGCGTTCCAGCATGAGTTAGGGAGTGCGTCTCTCGCGGAGAACGAATGGGGCTTTTAGAAGTCAATGTAAGCAACTCTGCCCTCTGCCTCCTCGCGCAGCGGGTGGACGCTGCTACCCAGGACGCTGTGTGGGCCCGGACTGGGTTGGGGATGGGAGCCTCACTTTTACCAAAGCCAAGATCCATCGAGATTTCTAGCAGAGCCACAACCCTGGAGCCACGACTAAGGCCAAGGATTCCCACAGTCCTACATGGCAGAGCGGGGAAGGCCCCTTGGACTGGAGTCTGGGTGCCCCACTACACAGATGGGAGCATAGATGCTCCTGCCCACTCCCAGGACATGGACAAGGCCCACCCCACCCCTCCACCATGGGGAGTCCCAAGTCCCCGGCCTCCGTTCCCTCTCGCTGCACACTCCGAACCCCCACCCTCTGGGCCTGCAGCTCACTCCTTCTTCCCCTTTGTCCTCCCTTTCCCCGGGACCATCCCCAGCATGACCCCTGGCCTGCTTCTCTCTGGTGTCTAGAGCGAGCCTCACGCCCTGGGCAGGGTGGTGGGCGGAGCGCACGTGCGGAAGGCTCCCACGGGAATCACCCCACTCCATGGCTGCCCCTGGCTACCAAGACCCTGCTTGGGGCTGCCTGGGGCATAGGGCGCTTGGCTGGAGCCCAGCATGAATCCGGGCCAGAGAACAAGGAGCTCTGGGCATGCAGAGCGCATGCAGCCTGGCTGTCCGTGGAGGTCACGTGGAAGGCACTGCTTCTGGCAAAGAGGAAGAGGAGGGAGGAAGGCTGTGCCTCAGGGCCTGGAGCACCACAGCCACTTCCTGTGCAGTGTCCAGTGCAAAAAAAAAACCAACTCAGTAAGAAGATGCTCGAGTCCCCACCGTCCCTCTGGGGCTGAATCCACCTGCCCATGGAACAGACCCTGAAGGGAGAAAAGCCCTGAGCTCTTAGGTCAGGCAGGAGCAGCCCTGCCGTGGATGAAGGTGACACTGTGGCACCCTGCGCTGGACCTGAGGAGGGGCCGAGACGGGAGAGGTGGGGGATGGGAGCGGAGGAAACTCAGACACAGCGAGATGAAGGAACGTGCCCAAGGCCACACAGCTTCTTGCAAATCTGCCTCCACGGCCTCTGCTCCCTGGCTGGGCAACTAAGGTGCCTGCATCCGGCCCTGACCCTGCTTTAGGAGTCCAGAGTCCAGGCACTGGATTGAACCTGACCTCAGAGATGGGGATGGGGGTGATTGGACCCCTCGCAGGCCACGTCCTCTCCCTGCCAAGCAGCCCCCAGCTGCCCCAAGGTTGTTGCGAGACCACCCGTAGCCATCCCCGGGCTTGGCGAAGGGCACGCTAGACAAATGCAGCGGCCTTGTCTTCGCCATCTTGACTGCGCCATCCCCAGGGACTCACTGCCTGGCCCGCAGACACAGCCCTTCCTCCAACAAGATGATTCTGTTTACTCAAAGATACCTTTGTGAACATCTGATGCCTAATTTATGAGGTGAGCAGGCGGGCAGCAGCGTGCCCTCCCCCATCCCTCTCCTTATTAAACTGTTCGTGATCCAATAAGTCACGGTAAGACACTCCGTTCCAGAGAGCCCTCACTCCCTCCCTTGCTGACATTTGGAGGGAGCCAGAAGTGTCCAGGCTGGCCCTTGGCACAACAGGGGCTCCTGGAATGTCAGAAGGGCTTGGGCGCAGTTAATCCATGCTGCCTGCCCCTTCCTCTGCCGGTAGGGAGACTGAGGCCCAGAGGGAGCCTCACAAACAAGTGAGGTGTCCAAGCCACAGGGTCACAGTGACGCTCACCTGCGTGGGATGTGCACACACACTCACACCGGCCACACACTTCAGCACCATGCAGAGATGCTGAGGATCCCGGGCCAGCCCCTGGGTACAGCAGAAAGTCAGAGGACTGGTGTTTTTCTCCTTTTCAGTACAAGGCTGTGAGCACCCAGGCCTCAAGCCCCAGATCATTCTCAGTCAGCCCAGCCACCCTCAGAAGCTGCTTCAGGGCTGAGCGTTTGGCCACAAGATGCTGTCACCTCAGGCTGTGGTCAGGCTGCCTTTACTGGGCCACCATCTGTGGCTCTGGGAGGCCCAGCTAGCTGCTCCCAAATCCCAGAACTTCTTAACCTTCAGGTACCCTTTGTGAAGTGGTTTGACCCCAAGAGAGTTGAGAGGCTTGGCCCCCCAGGGTGCTCTGTCCCTCTGTCCTGCAAGGCACCCTGCCGCAGAGAATCTGCCACATCCCTGGGGGACAGAGCACCCAGGGGAGCCGAGCCTCTCCAAGTCCCCACACCTGGGTTTGGTGGCTCTTCTCATCGTTCAGAGTCCCCAGAAGGCGAGGGGAGTCCCCCCAGCGATACAGAGATCCCGAGCCCCTGCAGAGCTGCTGACCTTCTTCAGGGGACCCTGTTCCCTGGAGACCGAAAGGAGGGTGGCAGTGAGAGAGGGGTCTCCATGACAACATCTTGGAGAGTTAAGAAGGCTTCCTCACCATCCTAGCCAATGAAAGCGCCATTCCCAGGGCCCCTACTGTGCACCATGGCCTGGTCTAAGGGTGCTCAGGACAGACAGGGTGGGAGATGAGGGATCCACTCTCCCCTGGAAAGGGCTCCCGTCTGCAAAACATTACACAGGCTTCACCCAAAGCAGGCCTGGCCGTGGGCCCCCACACAGTAGGCGGTCGGTGGACACTTGCTGAACGGATGAGGAGGGAACAGGAGCACATTAACACCCGTCGACAGAGCACCTTTCATCTCACAGTGGGCTGTGCTGATGGCTGGTTCTGGCTTGAAGATGGGGGGCTGCTCTGGGGGCTGCTGAGTGTGTGGACACAGCTGGGGGGAGGAGAATGTGCCCTGAGCCATGGCCACAGGCTCCAAGGCCTCCGAGCTAACAGCTTGAGGAAGGGCGGGGGGATGGGGTCAAAACCCAGTTTGCATCTCCTGGGCATGGAGTCGGCTTCCTGAGAGGATGGGGGGTGACACAGAGTGGGGTCCTTGCTTAGAGGCCGGGGGCCTCCGGGTGCTGACGGCAAAGCAACTGCATAACTCAGACCAACCCTGCCCCAGGCATAAGCCCCTCCCAGGTGTTTAAGGATTAGACATTGGGAAAGAGAGGCCAGGGCCGGAGGAGGGGATGGGGATGGGGCACAGCCCCCTCAGGACCTCCAGGAATGGGTTTGCCAGTGGACCAGCACCCAGAGGACAGGCAATGGTGGGTGGGGACCTCGTTGCCTGGGGGGCAGTCTGGTGTACACAGCAGTCATCCACAGTGATTTTTCCCCAGGCACCTGCTCCTGCCAGGGCCTCGGGCCAGTGCTCTCCCCCACTTCCTATGGGGTCACCACCGAGAGGAGATTCGGCAACCCCAGAGCCCTTCCCCCATGCCTCTGAGCCAGCGGCCGTTGCAGGCACGAGCACCACGCAGGGCACAGCCACATTTCACAGCCATGCCACTCGCCAGGGAGGCCCACTTCCGCCCTAACGACAGAGAGGGAGCGGAGGGACAGGAGGATAAATCCCTGCCTGCTCTGCGAGGGGCACTTAAATCCTCTCTGAGAATGGCCCCGCTCTGCTGGGCTTAAGGAGACAGATCTGGGCTCAGCGTGATGGAGGACAGGGAGCGGGAGGATTCCAGTGGGGCGCGGAGGGGGGTCAGCCCCAGGAGGCCTCTAGGAGAAGGCACATTCTTCGAGGGCCAAGAGAGGAAACCGAGCAGCAACAAGAACGAAACAGGGACCTCTGGAGCCAGTGTTCCAGGTCTGGGGACCCCAGAATTCCTGGTGAAGCTGTGTCCGCTCTCGGATGCCACAGTCCCAGGCACAGGACAGCCACGGGCTTCCAGGGCCCTCAGCGTGGACCCATTTCTCTGCTGGAGGACCTGGCCTTGGAAGGCCTTTGAAGAGATACAGAGGGAGTGAGCGCCATGGGTGGCCCAGCCCATCACCAGCCCCAGGCAGGAGTGCAGTGGACCAACATCTGCTGGAGGAGCTGGCCTTGGAGGGCCTTTGAAGAGATACAGAGGGAGCGAGCACCATGGGTGGCCTGGCCTGTCACCAGCCCCAGGCAGGAGTACAGCCCTGTTATGGTGTGTTCCCAGGTGACAGACTCTGGATCATGTCCTCAGGCACCGTGGAAACAGCTTCCACAGCCCCAAGAGAGTGCTGTGGCCAGGCCTGAGCCAGACCACACAGCTCTCCTTCCTTCAAGGACTAGATCCTGGGGCTTTGGGTGCCCTGGAATCAGCCACTCTCACTGCAAAGTTCCCCTGTGTGTCCCAGGGCTGGGCCCCCTAAATAACACCAGCCCTGGGTCACAGCCATGGTGCTTGTTATCTGCAGGGCGCCTTCAGCCAAGTGCCCTCCCATCCTTCCCACCCTCTAGCGCAGTCTTTCTATCTGCCTCTCTAGACAAAGGGTCAGGAACCGTCTCAGGGGTAATGCATAGGGTTGATGGAGCATCAGGAGATTGTCCTGCCCTGGGTCACACGGCTAGAAGGTAGCAGGGTCGAGGGCCTTCCCTGGCTCTCAGGTCCTAGAACCAGAAGGAAGGAAGAGAAGCAGCATCTGTTCAGCTACTCAGAGTGAAACTGCAGGGCTGATGGGTGGGTCAGGAGCTGCCGCATGCTGCGGAGAGTCCAGGCTGGGAGAGTTTCAGGGATCATTCCCCAGCTTCCTCCTGCAGAGGGGTCCCAGATCCAGGTGTGGAAGGGGAGCCCGGGACAGTGTCCGACCATGAGGAGGGCTGCTGGGAACCAGCCCAAGCTCCTCTCCACCACTCTTCCACAAAAATGTCTACAAATGGTGATCGTTCTCTTAATTCTCAGCTCCTCTGACAGCGCCAGCATGCTGCCTCCACTGGACCTGACCCCCATGGTGACACCATGCCCACCCTCACTGCCTCTGGCCCCAGGCCCTGCTGTGTACCCGCAGCTCACTCTGTCCCCACGGCCAAGCCGGGCAACTCAGAGCCCCACCTTCCCCAGTTGTGAGGTGGGGGTGAAAGTCATCCCTGCCAGGAGACTGGAGGCTAGAATGGGCTTGGGTACAAGAACCCTCCAAGCAGGACCTGGCGTCAGGAATAATTCCTGCCCTCACTCTCCCCTCCCAGTTCCCATCACAAACCAGATACAAACTACAAACTAAGCCGGCCCTCAGCATCCAGAGCCTTCTTCAAGCTGACGGAAGAGCCAGAGAGGACTCACCCAGACCCCCACAGCCCAGGAGGACCCCCTGCTCTGCCAGAGCATCTTGGGTGGGGTCCCAGGAGTCCCTGTGCATAAGCACCTCCCACTGCAGAACAGAGGAGCGGGTTTCTTGGTTTCTTGGACAGGAGTCCTGGGCTAGGCCTGAGGCAGGATGTGGGTGGAGTCAGCACCTGGCTTTAGGCACTGCACCTGCTTTAACCCTCAGCACCTCAACTTGAGGCAGGTATATTCCAACCCCACACCGCAGAGGGGAGTGCTGAGGCCCAGAGAGGATGGGAGCAGCTCACACACAGCTTGGGGGCCCCACCGTCAGGATCTGAACCTCATTGTGTTTCCCAACTACTGAATCCAAATGAACCCGCCCACCCCACTCGGGGAACCTGTCCAGCCTCTCCATACACAAGTTGGTTCTCCTCTCTGCCGTCTGTCTCCAGCACACTGGAAGGCACTACAGGCAGGGCAGGAGGAGCCTGGCAGGCATCTGCTGGAGGAGCAGACCGGCATGTGGACACAGTGTCCCTGCCATGGCTGGCTTCTCTGGGAGGAAGGCTGGGGCCCAGCACACTGGGAAGAGCTGGGCCCCCTGGAAGCTTGGCTGCAGGGAGGAAGGCTCTGTGCTCACCTAGAAATTGCCCCTTGTTCAGGCCCAGGCCTGCAAACTCGCCCATGCCTGCCCATGGGCTGGTTCTGGATCCTCTCCTGGAGGAGGGGTCAAGAGGGCGGGTGTGCTTGGGACGGGCAGGCCAGGCCACTCGCCCATTCATTTATTGACAGACTTTGTGTGAGCCCCTGTTTTGTGTCATCAGAGTATGGTTCTGGGGACCCAGTAGAGACCGAGGCAGACACTGCCCCTGCCCACCTGAAGGTTGGCCAGTGGAGGTAGAGTGTCAGGTGGTCGTTAATGCCCCATGGAGGGGGCGTGCCAGGAGCTGGGCAAAGGGCACAGGATGCAGCCAGCACACTATGTCTGCAAAGCCCCTGCTCCACCCACAGAGATTTGTGTGGTTTCAATACCTGTCTTTCCCCCAAGTCCCACAATGGCTGAGCCTGTGTCCACTCTTGCTCCCCATGGTAACCCTTCCTCACACACTAGCACACTAACACAGCCCCGGGCACAGCCACAGCCAGCAAGATTTGCTCCCTGGCTAAGAATGAAAGGGGAGACCCCAGCCCCATGTCTGGGTGGGGGCACAGGGCCGAGTACGGGCAGCCCAGGAGGAATTCTCAGTGTTGTGGGTGGAGCTGCGTGGTCCTCAGGGCTGGGCTGGGGAGAAGGAGGTTGAACACCAGCCATGGGTGTGGGTTGGGGCTGGGGTACGAGGTGAGGTTTCTGCAAGGCTCAATATAGGCAGGAGATGTGATGAGGAGCCCCAGAAAGGTGAGGCAGGAGGGAAACTGTGAAGGATTTTCAGCCGAGGTGTGAGAAATGTGGAACCGTGAGCTATGAAGGGGCCACTAGAGAACAGGTGCTCAGCACACTCACCCCCTATGCACAGGCACAGCCTGCACCTTCCCATGTGGCCAAGGCAGGAGAGGTGGCCTCCAGGCTCAGGGCTCAAAGAGAATACAGGCACTTGGGCCAGGAGGGAGAGGTGGGCCTCCCAGGGGAGCTGTTCCAGGGAGGGGAAGGTCTAGAGAAGGGAGCCGTGGTGGGGCTGGAGCATTCAGGAGGAGGGCAGCTGCAGGGGCCTGTGGACCTGGAGCTGGTGAGGCACCAGGAGGGTGTCAGCAGGGGCGGGACTTGGGCAGGCTTGGTTTTGGACTTGATGGAACAGAGACACCAGCAGGCAGGTTGATAACAGGCCCAGCCAGCAGAGGGAAGTGACAGCAAGGGGAGTGCCAATCTCCAGGGTGAGGAAGCAGGGCTGGAATGCCAGCACCTCTCCTCCTCCCACCAGTGGCCTGTCCTGTCCACATGGAACAAACTCCACATGGGCCCTCGGTGGCTCAGGTTCCAGAGCAGGGCCAATCCAACGTGCAGAGGACAGGGGTTTCAGGAGCTCCCAGCAGCCAGGCTGGCTTTGGCTCAGTTCCAGGGGAAGGTCTCCGGTGAGATGCTCACAGCAATGACAGCCGGTCACAGCAGCAGGGGGCTAGGCTGGCACAGGGCCCTGGAGGCCCCTTAGAGCTGCTGGGTGGCAGGGAGATCCAGACACTTCAGGGAAAGGCAGCTGAGAAGGCAGAGGTGAGAGGAGCTGACCTAGGCCTCCAGACAGCAGGAACGCGGCCCCCTGCAGGGGTAGGGTCCAGGGGCTGCAGCCACATGCACCACCAGCAACTGCATTTGGTTTTAATAAAATGCTGCAAGCTCGGTTGGCAAGCCACTGTGAGCCAGGAATGTCCACACACTTCTCAGAGGCCGAGACCTCTTGAGGTAAAGGTCCTGTCATTCTCTTTTTCCAGAGAAAGAAGTGGAAGCTCAGAGCGGATCCATCACTTGCCCCAGCTGGCAGAGCTCCAGTGACAGAGCTGCAGGATCAGCTGCTCTTGTGGGCACTGTCCTTCCCCTAACCCGGCTGCCTCCTCTGGGGTCCCCATGCCTTCCTCTTCAGACACAGACCCTGTCTTTCCCCTAACCAGGCTGTCCCTCACCCCGTGGGCCCCAGGCCTTCCTCCTCAGACACAGACTCTGTCCATCCCCACATCGCCTCCGACCGCCTGAGTCTGGGGGACCAGGGTGAGACCGTCCAGCACCATGGACAGTGGTGAGACCGTCCAGCACCATGGACAGTAGTCCTGGTACTGCCCCAGCAGTAGGAAGGAGGAGGATCCTCAGCAAGGATCGCCCATAGGCAGGGCCAGGTCCCAAGTTCTCCAAGGTTCCCAGAGGCTGTTTCTATGGAGCACTGAGCTGAGGTCTCATTTTCAAAGAACGCTGGTGCTGCTCCCCAGGGCGCCACAAAGACCAGGCGACATTTGGGGGCAGGCAGAGGCATGGAAGAAGCAAGGCGTTGAGAGACACAATCAGGGTCTCATTACCATTTTGATTGCAGCAGCTCCCCCAGCGCCCTGGCCCGGACACGCGAACACACACTCAATCCAGAGGCGAAGACTGAGCCAGGGTGAGGAGAGAAAAAAAGGAGCAAAACAGACTGATTTTAATAATGCTAAAAATAACCGTGTCAATACTCCCTCTGTCTGGGGAGCCACGGATCATTTTCTAAGGCACCTTCCTGTCTTCCTTCTCCATGGCTGGTAGCAAGAACCCTGGAGTGGATTCAGGCCACCCCCCCCCTCCGCCCCAGCTTCCAGACCAAGCTCTTCTGAGCCACTCATGGGATCTTGCGTGAAGGACTTCACCCAGCGGGATCTCAGTGCCCCTCTCTGCACAAAGGAGGTGGCAATGCTAGCTCTGTGTACCTCTGAGAGACACAGAAAGAGCTGGAGTCCTTGGAGGGTGAGTCTGTCATTTAACAGATGAGCAAATTGAGGCATGAAGATGGGGGCGAGGGGGCCACTCAAGATGGAGAGGGATCTGGTGCATCTGCACCCTGGGAAAGCCAGGGTGATGTCCCCCATGAAGGAAACAGCTGCTCATACAGCTCACACAGACCCTCCCAGCAGCCCCACAGGAGGCCAAATGTGGATCAGGCAACCCAGTGTTAGAGATGAGGAAGTCAAGGCCCAGAGGGAGTTCTGGCCTGGCCCAGGTCAGCAGGGCTCAACCCCAGCCTCTCGACTCCCACAAAGACCTTCTCCAAACAGGCAGTGCCAGTGGACCCTTGAGGCAGCAGTGCCTGCCCAATACAACATGCATGACTGAGGTCTGGATCCAAGAGGGTCACATCCCTTCCCCACCCAGCTGTCTCTCTCAGCACTATCCCTGGATGGTCTGGACATTGTCCTCTTCTGTCTGGCGCCTGTTTTATCACAAGTGCTGGTGTGGCTCTGCCCTCTATGAAGCCAGATGGCCACCCTCCATAGCCAGACCGCTTGCTGGGATCTAGCTGGCCTTGCCTGTGACCAGCCCCACCACTAACCACTCTCCCAGCAGCTCCTCCAACCTCCCTGAAGCACGAGGACACCAGCACTTCCTGGACACTTGCCATGGCCCCTGCATAAGCCTATCACCACCAACCAGACACAGAAGCCCAGGCCCAGAGAGGGTTTGCCCAGCCCCTGGGCAGGAGGCATGGGAAACTGCATTTTGAGACCTGGCAGGACACTCACAGTCCTCCTGGGGTTGCAACACATTGACTTTCAGATTCCCACACTTCCCCTGGGCCCTCCACCCTCTGAACTACTAGCTCCTTCCCCAACGCCCCTGTGCATCTCTGCACCATCTTCCTTCTACCTCCTATAATGTTTTCCCCTTCCTCTTTCTGCCAATTTCTTATTCCATCCTCAAGTTCCAGCTAAATGTCACCTCTTCTGTGAGGTCTTCCCGGATAGCCCCTGGCAGAGCTGGCTTCTCTCCCCTGTGAGAGCCTACCCAGTTACCCAGATCTCCACCATGACCACTGCTGACTGTGTCATAATGGGCAGCCAGGCGCTCTTATCTAACAGTCGGTAGACACTCCTCTCAGTCATTCAATGTCTGTGTTACCTTGGAGAAATTATTCAACCTCTCCATGTCTCAGTATCTTCAGCTAAAATGTGGCTTTTGGTAGACCTGTTCAAGCCTTGCAGAAGACTTAGAATACTACCTGGCAGATGTCGTGTGCTCAAAAAATGTTAATTACTACTGCTGTCAGCAACATCACCACCACCATCACCACCATCACCACCATCACCACCATCACCATCACCATCATCATCACCATCACCATCATCACTACCATCACCATCATCATCACCATCACCATCATCACCACCATCACCATTGTCATCATCACCACCATCATAAACACCATCATCATCTCCTCCCCCACCACTGTCACCATCACCACTACCGTCATCACCACATCATCATCACCATCACTATCACCACCACCACCATCACCATCATCACCATCACCATCACCATCACCACCACCATCATCACCACCACCACCATCACCATCATCATCATCACCATCACCATCACCACCACCACCATCATCACCACCACCACCACCATCATCACCACCATCACCATCACCACCACCACCATCACCACCATCACCATCACCACCATCACCACCACCACCACCACCATCATCACCATCACCATCACCACCATCACCACCACCATCAGTAGCAGCATCTCCCTTACTTGACTTTCCAGCTCCTCGCATGTAAGGAATATGCACAAGTCATCTTTGTCTCTCTAGACTGGTGCCCTGGCACATAGTAGATGCTTCTAACCTTGTTAGATGATAAGGTGGACAGGCAGGTGGGCATGTGGATAAATGAATACATGAAGGGGCAGGTAGACGGTTGAATGAGTGGCTGAAAGGATGGGTGGGTGTGTGGGTAAAGAGGGACGGGACGGATGAATGAGTCAGTGAATGAGTGAGTGCACCGCTATAAGAAGCGCAGATGGGTGGCTGAGTTGGTCCCTCCCACACCCAGGCTTCAGATGCTGAGCCGCTTAGTAACAGCAGACATCACAGTGTCCCCATGGAGCCATGATATTAAAATCCCTGAAGCCTGCGTTGTCAATATCCGGGGGAGATTATCTCTGGAGCCATCAGCAGCAGGAGTGGGCCTCCCACTTCCCGGGCCCTCAGTTCTGCTGGGGCAGATGACACCTCCCTTTCTGAGCTTCTGCAGAGGGACCAAGCCATGCCTCCAGAGTCCTGCGGGTTCCAGCTCACTGGGCTGGGCAGCTCCTTCCTGCTTCAGACCCTAGGGGAAATCTAGGGGCGTGTCGGGACCGGGGCAGTCAGCACCCTGGCTGACATGGTCCCCACCCACCCACACCCAGGCCTTCCATCCTCCCTCTGAAAAGCTCTGCAGCATGGGTTTTCCTCTGTCCCCGCCATCGCTCCCGTCCAGCCTCTTGCCAGCCTCCAGGTACCTCTGTCCCCACTCCTCACGGCTCTGCTGCTGGGGGAGCCCAGAGCTCCCATCCCCTACTGAAAAAACCACATGTGAAGTGAAGTGGGCAGATGGCAGCCCAGCTCTTTGGTCCCCCACCCAACCCCCAGGGCCACCACAGGGCTTGCTTCTGCACTTGGGTCCTACTTTGTTTGGGCGGGACCCCTTCACATCCTCGAAATTAGCAAGCACCTCCGAAAGCATTTGTTTGTGTAGGTTTTATTTATCCATGTTGATGGTGTTAGAAACAAAATATACATTAAAAATGTAACTCATTTGAAAATTACATATTGATGCATATAACATGTTTTTATGAAGCTGTGTTTTCTAAACCACCCCCCATGACCCCGCCAAAAAAAAAAAAAAAAGTGAGAAGCAGGATCAGTGCTGCATTGTTGCTGATCTTTCTGAATAGCAGCCACTGGAATCTCAGGTCTGCCCTGTGTTCAGCCTATTGCCACGTGTAGCTTTGGTTGAAGTTGATGAAAAAATCCCAGGACCTTGTGTGTTCCCTGAAAAAGGTCATGGGGACCCCAGAGGCCTTGGGGTTTTGGGAGGATTAAATGACATAATGTATATTATTTGCAGAACGTCACACCTGATTCCCAGGGGTGACTCAGGAAACAACATGAGGACGGCACTGGGAACCAACAACCCCCACTATCTCCCATGCCATCCCCACTCCGTGGCCTACCCTTTGTTGCCCCCACACACTCACCCCCTCCATGCAGGCGTCCTGGATTGACTACAGCTCCTTCTTCCTCCCACACTTGCCTCCTGGTGGTCAAGACTCACTTCCAGTGACCCCTCCTTCCTCCCACACTGCCCTATCGTCCCCTGCTCCTGGGCTTGCCCCCATCACCTCGAGACCCACAGGGGAAGGACAGCATTACTTCCACCAACACAGCGTAGTGGGCACAGTGATCAAGAGGTTCCTTCTGGGCTCAGGCAGGCCTGGTTGTGTGAGTTCACATGAGCCTCGAGGTTAACGTCCATCAGCCATCAGGCGGGGATAATAGCCTCAGCCTGATGGGGTCCCAGTGAGTAGTGGGTAAATGACCCATTTGGATTCTCGGCACACTCTGAACACTTAGTGTCGGCCTTCAAGGCATCCGAGGCCCCTGTCCTCATGGAGTTAGTATGATGGGGGAGGCAGACATGGAACCAACACCCAGAGAGAAGAGTAGGGGGGTGACCACCCAGGTTAGGGCAGACACCACGGAGATGGGAGTGGTGGGGGATGAAGCCCTGGAGGTTGAGAGGCCCCCGGGAAGGAAGGGGGGCTGGGCAGATCCCAGGGAGGCACTGAGGAATCCAAACACAGGGACAAGCCTTAGACGGAAAGGGGTGAAGAATCCTAAGAGCAAGTCCCACCCAGAGCTGCGGTGTGAAGGGCCTGCTGGGGTCACAGGGAGCCGGGGTTCCCCAGGTAAGAGGCTCAGACTGGAGCAGGCAGTGGGAGGGAGAGCGCACCCCCGAGGCTTGGGGGGTGAGTCGTCGGGACTCCAACAGGGTCAGTCTATGCCAAGGCCCCTGCCTGTCCAGCATTCCTGCATGGAGCAGGGGGCTCAGAACATACGTATCCAGGGAATGAATTCATTCCCCTTAGAAAAAGGCATGACAGCAGTAACAATCACTCCCTAAACCCATGTGCATATTGGCCCCACACCACCGGGTGACTGTCCACTTGTACAAGCACGTGGCTCTGGGAGTCACCACCCTCCCAGGCCTGTTCCTGGGCCCCAGCTGGGCTGGAGCCAGTTCCCCCAGTTTCCCTGGTCCCCAGCCCCTCCAGGTCCTCCCAGGCTCTCCCAGGCTCCATGTCCATACAAAGCCCCCAAGGCACACAGACACCCCAGGCCTGGCTCTGTGCACACGTGTGTTTGTTCTCATGATTGGACGGCAAGTCCCTGGAAGGAGGAGCTGGGTGCATCATCTTGTGCTGTGTGGCCTGGCCCAGGACAGGGACCAGGACCAATTTGCCTGGAGGGCCAGGCACACAGGGCAGGGAACTGAGCACAGCAGGCTGGGGACTGGCTGCGGCTCTGGGCGCAAGGGAGGAGGAGGAACCAGAGAGACGGAGAGGCCTTCACCCCCATCCTCCGCCTCATCCTCTGCCCTCCCTCCGCACCAGCCTGGCCATCAGTGAGGAGCCTTTGTCCAGCCAGTACCTTTGCAGAGCGACCTCCTAGGTGCTCTCCAAGGAAACCCACACCCCCTCAAGACCAGAATGGCAACTTCTTCTCACAGCCCCTCCAGAGACACCCTCTTCCCTTACCATGCTCTTCCATCCTGCACTTCACACATAACTGCTAAGCATCTCTGCACACCAGGGGTGAGCAGGAGGACCATGAGCCACGCTGAGCTGGGGAGGTGATGCCCCTCCCCGGGGCCCTGTACCTGTCCTCTGCTGTCACTCAGGCACACTTGTATCACCACAAGCAATGACCTGCTGTGGTGCCCACCATCACACTGAGGCTAAGTAGAGAAAGGATGGCATCTTCAAGCTAGTCCATGCCCCAGGCCTGGCACATAGTAGTTGCTCAACAAAGCAAGGGAGAGAGACATGGAGAGAGGAAGGGAGGGACAGGCAGCAGCTGGACTTTCTCTGCTGAGACTGCCTTCCTCTGGGCTGGCTGTCCGTCGAGGCTGGCTAAGCCACCCTGATCTCTGAGTCAGCAAGAGCCTGCATGTGTGCGTGGGGCTGCGGGTGGCGGGCGGTGGGCTGAGACACTCTCATGCCAAGCAGGCTCTGCTCTGTCCTCGCCGCCCGCACAGTTCTCACTGCCGCTTCTGAAAATGTCAACTTCTTATCTCGCCAGAATTTTTCCTGACTTGGAGAATTCAATAAAGCAGCTGAGTAACACTTAAAATAATAATGAAGCTCTGTATTTCTGCAACTCCCGGCTGGCTCTGGAGAGCCGGGGCTGCCTTTCCACGATGATCAATCTTCATTTTCACACCAGGCAGACAGCTCTGCTGGGCTGGGCCGGCCCCGCGGCCCGAGGGAATTGGCAGGTCCCCGGGATGCCGAGGCTCCCACCTGCCAATCAGAGAGCTCGTGAGAGGGGAGGCCGCCGAGGCGCAGCTTAAGGGTCCCGAGTTTCCCCTACACAACGACCTGCCCCCCAATCCAGCCCACCCCACTTCCCGCTCATGCTGCCCTCTGACCCTCGCCCCACACCGTCCCGTCCACTCCACTGACCCTCCAAAGCCCAGCTTAGGGCTCAGTTGGCCCTCCCTGACCCCAGGTCCATCCAAGCAGCATTTACAACCTGGGTGGGAGGAGGGTTGGATTGCCAATTCTTCCTGTCTGCAGAGGGTAGAAATGAGGCCCAGAGCGGGGCCCTCGCCCTCACCAGCTGCCGGCCATGCGCTCCACAGGTATCATGTGCTGAGCACAGGGAGCGAGGCCTGGAAGATGGGGGCTCGCTCAGGACCCTAGGGCTGCCAATGGCTGACTCCAAGCATGGAGTGGACTTTCTGCTAAGATCTGGCAGTCTTTTCTGACCTCCCTGGGGGTGGGACGCTGCTCTGAGGGGCCTGGGCCCTGACGGAGGTGGACCTGCCCCGGGATGACCCAGGCAACGTGGGACAGGACTAGGCAGGCAAGGCCTCCGGTCCCAACTCCTCTGCTGCCACTGCCCCTCTGTGCACTTGGTCAAGTTCCTCAGCCTCCAGGAGACTCGTTGTGCTCTCCTGCAAATAGGGACAAGGTGGTCTCCTCCAGCGGGGCACCGGGGGTGCTTGCAGATGCCTGGTCACTGCCCTCCCACTCACCAAGCCCTGTCACACGGAGCTGCGGCTAGATCCGCCCTTCCCTCACCGCTCACACTCCATCCCTCAGGACCCAGCGCTGCTTGGTTTGAATCTCCTCCAATTTGTCAACAATCTTCTCAGATAGAGCTCTTATTGAATGCCTGCAAATTGACTCCCAGGATAACGAGAACTAATTAATCTTCCTTCCTCCCCCCAGAACCTGGCCAACATCGATGGGGGCCACCCCTCGCTGACTCTGTCTTTGGGGACAGGGCAATATCAGGCAAGGAAGGGCCCAGCTTAGAGGGCAGGCCTCAGGGCCTGGAGCAGGTGGGACGCTCTGGGCCGGAGACCCCATCCTAGCCTGGCCCTGCCTTGGGCTCACACTCAGCCTGGGGAAAGCCCAGCCCACCTCTTCATCTGGGAAAAAAATGAGCCCAGGTCCAACTCCTTCCCAAGGTCGCTTAGTGTTCAAATGGGACAATAGGTGCTTTAAAAATCCTCCAGGGAGGTAGAAAAGCCACACAAATGGGAGATGTATTACGAAGCCACATTGCCTGGGATGTGGTAAATCAACGTTTAAAATACAATCAAGTCTGTAAGTAAGCATCTAGGGACACAATCCTGCACATTCGCTGACATATTGTCCAGGCTGCTTTCATGCTGCCAGGCAGAGCTGAGGATTCCAACAGAGACCGGGTGGTCCACAGAGCCAAAAATACTGTTTGGCTGGTGGCAGGGCAGCCCTGCTTTAGACTTGGAGGCAGAGGGGTTCCCCTGAGTCTCCCTGGCCCCATGCAGTGCAGCCTCCGTCCCTGGAGCTCCCAGGGCCCTGGGCAAAAGCCCCTACCCTCTCCCACCCCCAGGTCCTCCAGTTAAGGAGCTCTGCCTGCCTCAGGGCCTGCAGCTGCTGCGGGGGGCCCCAGTGTTGTCCGAGGGTGGATCTGTCCTGCCATGCCTGGGCCTGTGGGGGCCCCACCCCAGCCGTGGACAGACCCCTCCCTCACCCGCTTCCCCAGGTCATAGCCAGGACTCAGCCTCCTCTTCCGGCCAGCCCTCCAGGCCGTCCCAGGGACCAGGGTGGCTGACCGTGTAGCGACAAACCTCAGACACCAGCAGGTCCTGAATAGCTCCTTAAGGACACAGCTGGGATTTCTAGAGCCTCTGAAATCAGAAGCAGTTTCCAGGGTCTCTCACAGGGGGAAAGGAGTTATCTGTGGGCCAAAAATGATCTCAGATACTGAGGGGAGTCCTGGGAGAGCAAGAGCCCCCACAGAGGCCTCCTTCTTTCATGGTGGCCAGGTCCTTAGGCAAAAAGGCAGCCTCTAAAGCCCTGCCTGGGCTCACTCCCCACCCCAGGGACTCAGGAAGAGACCAGGAGGGAAGTAGAGGAGGCAGAGGAGAAGGCCTGGAGTTCCTGGGGTTGAGGGGTCCATGGGGGGACGCAGGGGGCAGGCATTAGGCAGGTGCGGAGAGAAAGCCAGCCCCCGTCTGCGGATGGCGGGGCCTGATCACCCCTCACACGGTCAACCATGGTGATTCTGCTCACGGCAGTGTCTGCTGACCCATACACAGCAGAGCAGCGGGACCCCTGCTCCCCAAAGCTCCCATTCACGCTGGGGTGTGGGGAGGGGGGTGCCATCCATCAACCAAACCAGGAGTGACGTGGACAGGAATCAATCTGTGATGGACATGGTCCAAGCAGGTAGAGAGTGGGCGGGGACCCTGGCCCTCTGGGGGTCGAGGAAAGCTCCACAGAGGAGTGACAAGGATGGACAACAGGATGCTGAGCTGGGCTAGTGAATGTCAGGTGGAGGGGAGGAAGTGGGGAGGTCACCTCCCTTCCCAGAGGACACAGCAGATGCAAAGGCATGAGGCTGAGGCAGGAGCAGAAGCAGGAGAGGAGGGAGAAGGCAAGTGGGGGGAGGGACAGGGCACATGGGGTCTAGGGTCAGGGGTCATCCCAGCAGTGGACTATCAGCACCACCAGGTGTGTGCGCTCACCCGCCTGGAGACCCCTTGGGGCATCTTGCAGTGGTCCAGAGGCGAAAGAAAGAAGGGGACTGAGTCAAAGGACATTTTGGATTGGTGCTTGTCATCCCAGCCAACCCATCAAAAACAGCGACAAAAACACATGTGGAAGAAATGGGGCTTGGGTGTCATCTGAAGCCAGCTCTCTGAGTCACCTGCTCCCCTCCCTCCTCAGTGAGCCTGGGATAGAAAAATACCTCTCCCCCTCCGGCAGCCCAGCCCTTCCTCCTCACTCAGCTGTGCGTCGCTAAGTGATATTACCAGCGATTACGTGCGTGGCAGTCGCAGACACCAGTTACCGCTGCCTAATTGGGTCATAATTTTGACAAATGTGTCATTCTGGAGATCCTGACTGCAGAAGGATCCCGACAATCTCAGCCTCGGAACTGCCTTGCCCCTCCCCTCATCTCCCCTGCCCCTCCTCCGTGTCCTTTGCTTTCAGCTTCGTTTCCTTGTCGGACCCTCTGTTTCCTGCAGCCCTGGGGACCCCTAACCCACCCTGCTGGGCAATGAAGTGCTTGGCAAATGTCTGTGTGGCATTCAAGGGACTGAGGCTGGGGGAGGGAGTGGCGGTTCAGAGATCCAGAGCCTAGCCCCACCAGGAGGCAGGTAGAGTGAGGAGGGAGACCCACTACCCAAGGAGGAATCCAGCACCAGCTCCCACACACCCAGGGCATCAGCTCCTTGTAGGTCGAGAGAGCAGCCAGTGGCTGCAGGGCACCACAGAGTGTATAAAACTCATTCACACCCGCCCCCTTATATGATCCTAGGATGTTCGAGCTGGACAGCACTTCAGCAGCCATTGAGTCCAGTCAACCACGATATGAGAGGGAAATAGAAATATATTCCCACATCACACATCAGGGGAGGAGAGTGCAGTGGTGAGGCCCATCTACCCATCATCTCCCCATCATCTCCCCATCACCTCCACATCATCTCCACATCATGCCTCATCATATCCCCATCATCTCCACATCATCTCCCCATCTCCCCATCATCTCTTCATCATCTCCCCATCATTTCCCCATCTCTCCATCATCTCCCCATCTCTCCGTCATCTCCCCATCATCCCCCGATCATATCCCCATCATCTGCCCATCATCTCCCGATATCCCCATCGTCTCCTCATCAACTCCTCATCATCTCCTCATCATCTCCACATCATCTCCGCATCATGCCTCATCATATCCCCATCATCTCCACATCATCTCCCCATCTCCCCATCATCTCCTCATCATCTCCCCATCATCTCCCCATCATCTCCGCATCATTCCCCCATCATATCCCCAACATCTCCTCATCATCTCCCCATCATCTCCACATCATCTCCACATCATCTCCAC
The DNA here is from genome assembly GCF_000001405.40 of Homo sapiens. Classification (NCBI taxonomy): domain Eukaryota; kingdom Metazoa; phylum Chordata; class Mammalia; order Primates; family Hominidae; genus Homo; species Homo sapiens. The sequence goes on along the minus strand of NC_000008.11, from coordinate 141,705,734 downwards.
ATCATCTCCTCATCATATCCGCATCATCTTCCCATCTCCCCATCAACTCCCCATCACCTCCCGATCACCTCCTCATCTCCCCCTCATCTCCCCATCATCTCCTCATCATCTCTCCATTATCTCCTCATCATCTCCCCATTATCTCCCCATTTTCCTATCATCTGCTCAGCTCCCCTTCATCTCCCCATCTCCCCATCATCTCCACATCTCCTCATCTCCCCACCTCGCCATCTTTTCATCTCCCCATCTCTTCATCTCCCCATCATCTCCCCATCTTCCCATCTCCCCATCACCTCTCCATCATCTCTCCATCTCTCCATGTTCTCATCTCTCCATGTCATCATCTCCCCATCTCCTCATCTCCCCCCATCTGCCCCTGTCTTGGAGCCCTATGCTCCTCATGCCAGGACAGCTTGAACCCCTCACCTCTTTACCTCTCAGGAAAGCCAGGCATTGGCAATACCAGTCCACTTAGATTGGAGAGTGGAGCTCCCTGGTGCTTATATAGGGGTGTTTAGAGACTGAAGAGACCCGAATGGTTGTCAACTGTTGATTCACAGTATCACAATTATTACCATAATTAATAAGTTTTGCACCTCAGAGAATGGCTGCACAGGATAAACATCTGTGTAGCTAAAAATAAAGACAACCAGGGGATTCCAATTTATTTGGACTGTGGTGGACCCTAGAGAAGGGCACTTTTTAAACTTTCCTTTTGATATTTTGTAACATCAGGACTGAGAGTCGCCTGGGTCAGGGAAGCCTTCAGGACAAGGCCATCCATGTCCCTGTCACAAGTCCTGAGGGGCTGTGGCTCTCCTGAAACACCTGTGCTACACTGCCCCCCCCTTGAGGGCCACCCTTGCCTTCAGGGCAGCAGGCATGGCCACAGGAACGCTGGACATGTGGCTTATCCTAACCCTGCACAAAGTAGCCAGAATGATGGCACTTTCCCACTCTTTGGAGACAGATGGGCTGGCCCATGCGCAGGGGCTTTGGAGTCCGAAACTCCTGTCATGCATCCTGATTCCACCACTTCCAGGGTGGAGAACCTCTCTGGACCTCAGCCTGCCCGTCTGTAGAATGGGGTGATGAAGTACCCGTGCCCTGTCCTCACAGGACAGCAGTGGGCGAGTGCTGCCTCTGAGAAGTCTCCACACAGCAAAGCCAGGCCCACCACAAACCCTGACTCCTCTCTTGATCCCCCAGCTCCTCCTGTCAAGGGAAGTATTGGAGGAGCAGCTCTAAAAATACTACCGTGTTGCAGGCTGTGTGGGCGCTGGCTGCCTCCTTCATCTACATTTAAGTCTGGCTCTGCTCCAAGGGCCTGGGAGGGCTGTCTGGGTGGGGAGAGTTCAGAAAAACATTGTCATGAGAGACCCCCCCAGCCCTGAGTCAGGCTGAGCATGGTGGGGGCTGATGGCGCTGGAACCCGTGAGTTGCAACCCTCAGCGCCATCCTGATGAAGCACAGCCTCCTCCGTATTGTTGTGACGCAAGTTTTTGATCAGGGAAATTACTGATTAACATATTGGCAGAGTTACCAGCTCCTGCCTGAGAAAGACTCCCTAGCAGATGAGGGTCAGGGAGCAGGAGGAGAGGGGTCGGTGATGGTGCTGCAGAGCGGGCTCATCTGCGAGAGGAGAGCTCCTCTGTGAAACAGCACCGTTGCTGGCACACTTGCTGAACCCCGCCAGCTCACACTGCCTTCTCCATGGACCGGAAATCTGCTCTGATGGGGAGGGAGTGGGGGCTCTGGGGGAGGGTCGTATCCATGTTGTTCTGGGCTAGCCTCCCCTGGCCAGGCTCCAGACCTTTGGAGTCAGCCTCTGAGGTCTGCTGGCTCCAGACACGTGCTGAATGCCCACCGTGGATTCGGGGAGGCAAAACCTTCGAAGGCCCTGAAAGATGGCGAGGGCATGTGGCCTGAGCTCTGTGGACTCCGCCAAGGGCTGTGGGGTGTACACAGCGGGAGGGAGCTGAGGAAGGGAACCCTGGGCCGAGGAAGCTTGGCCTCAGCCTCCAAGGGGGCTAGAGCAGAACCCTTGGGCTTGAGAAAGGACAAAAGCAGTGAGTGTGCACAGGCCGGGCAGCCTCGGTTGGGCTCACCTTAAAGGCTAGTTTCAGGCTCAGCTTAAAGACCAGTTTCTCATCACTGCCAAGCTCTAGCCCACCCCCTCTCCCCAAAAAGCCACAAGGGACCACTGAGTCTCCTGCCCAGGGCGTGGGACCCAGCAATCCCCGGCTGCCTGAAAGATGACCAAATATGGAATTCCATGGTGGCGACTGCTGAACCACTTTGGGCAGCAGGAGGGGGCTGAGCAGGTGACAGCGCCTGGCAAGCCTGCCCCAAGGAGATGCCGAGAAGTTCCTGGGCTCAGAGAGAGCATGTTCTCTGGTGAGATTTAATAAGAGGCCTGGGAAGAACAATCCTGCGACACAATTTTATTTCCCAGCCTCACCTGAGATGAATAGCAATTGCCAACACGAGCTCCTGCTATAAATAGAAGACTCCTGGGCTGGGTGGCCTGAGCACCACCTTGTCATCCCTCACTTGGCAGGTGGGAAGCACCAGTGTTCTTTCCTTCATCACCCAGGGGTGCTGTGGAACAGGCTGCAGGGGGAGGCAGACACAAGTGCCGCTCCTTGAAGACCAGTGGCAACACGTGCACTGCGGGTGCCGCCTGTGAGCCCTCCAGGAGGCCTCCCACTGCAGAATGCCAGGCAGGTGCCCCCTCCTTCCAGAAACATGTATGGAATTCCCAGGATGTGCAGGCAACATGGGGGCGAGAAGGACGAGAAGAAGGGAGAAAAGGAGGAAAGGAGGGAGGAGAGGGGAAGGAGGAAAGAAGGATCATGGCAAGAAGAGACAAGGGAGGGAGGAAGAAAAGCCTGCCCTGGCGTCAGGAGCCCTTTGTTGAGGAGGCAAAGGGAATCCCAGCCTATCCCAGGCATGATGAGGGTGTGAGGAGCACAAAGTGTGGGAGTGGGGAAAGGGGCACCTAGATCTTCTTAGGGATGCTGGGAAAACCTGCTCATGCATGAGCCACACCTGAAGGGCAGTGGGGACAGGTCTGGGCAGAGTGCCTCAGGCTGGGAGGAGCACGTGCCAGAGCGGGAGAGGTCCTCATCACAGGAGCAAGAGGTAGAGCAGGGATTGTGGGGCAGAGCTTGGGGGCTGCAAAATGGGAGGCCTCATTATCGTGCCCAGGAAAACCAGGGAAGGGCTCAGAGGCAGGGAGGGAGTGACAGGGACACGGAGGTATTTAGAAAGATGACGCAGGGGCTTGGGGAAGGGGGGGCAAGGCCTGAGCCCTGAGCCACCCCTAAGTGTGAGCTGCCGCTGGGCTTTGGGAAGGCTGTGCTCCAGGGACCCCGACATCCCGCCAGATGGCCTTGGGCCATCCCCTCTCATCCACAGGCCTCAGGTTCCCTCAGTTCTCAGCCTCAGCTAGTTCAAGACCCAAGTTTGACTCCAGGGGGCTCAGGTAACCCCCATCTCCCCCAACACACACACACCTACAAACTAACATCCCCCCACACTTCTCTCCCAACACGCACACACACGCACTCAGATACAGAGACACTCACACATGCTCACACACAGTCTCCCACACTCACACACACCCACATACACTCACTCTCACACACACGTACACACCCACACGCATCCACTCACACTCACTCTCACACTCACACACATGCTCACTCACTCTCACACTCACACACACTCACGCTCACTCACTCTCTCACACACTCACACTCACACACACTCGCACTCACACACTCACACTCACTCACTCTCACACTCACACCCACACGCTAATACTCTCACACACACTCTTACACTCACACACCCACACACTCTCTCTCTCTCACACACACACCACTTGTCTGTTGCAACTTGTTTTAGACACATGGCCGCTGGATGAGGTGGGCCATAGGACTGATTCAGAGAGAGCCTGAAACTCCAGCCGTCAGTGATGAAACCAGAAACAGCCGATGTCTGTTTGGAAATTTACTTTCTGCAGGCACCTCTGAGACTGCTTCCCCCCAGCCTGTGTGATTGCTCCCATCAGCCTGGTGGGGTGGGGATCACAGCCCTGGGCGAGGCTGCAGGAGCCACACACACCTGGGAGGTGTGGGCAGGGACCTGGGGCCGGGGCCAGCGCAGGGGCTGAAAGGTTGCTTTTGGAGGGTGGGGCTCTTCTTGGGACTCTGGCTTCTAAACTGAAGCAGGGATGCAGGAGAACAGCCCCCTCCCACCAGTACCCCCAGGGTGACCAGCACAGGGCTCGGGGCTGGGCATGGCAGGGCCGGCAGATCCCCCATCATTGCAACCCTGTGGCTGCTCCATCCGTGCCAACAGTGGGTCTTTCCCATGCCACAGGCCTCAGCACTGCCCTGTCCTCTCCCGCACTGGCCTCTTTTCCTGGGTGGCTGCCCACTGTTTCCCCAGCACCACTCTCCTCCCCAGCCCAGCCCAGCCTCTCAGGCAACAGACCTGCCCCTGGACATGTGTCAGCAATGGCAGCTGAGAAAACCCCTTCCTCCCTCCGCCCTGGAAAGGAGACCCCACCCAATGGTGAGGCTGTGCTCCGCAGTGACCATAGCCTGCTCCTCACTTCCCCCTCCCCTCTGGGCCTGGGCGGGCAGGAGGGGGCTTTCGATGAGGAGGTGAGCTCTGGTGAGACTCACCTCCTGTTCCCAGGGAGCCTGTCAAGCCACTGAGAGGTGGGGAGACCTCCGAGGCTCCCACTGCCAGCTGTGGGGCAGGTGGACTGGCAGGGGAGAGGGCATGGCTGTCACCATCTTCTCACCCCAGGCCCTGTTTGCATACCAATGGGGCTGGCATTGGCATTTCAGAACCCCTGGCAGGAACTCCGGTGGCTCCTAGAGCAGGAAGGGGCTGGCGGGACCAGGTCCAAGAGGGGAAGCCCCCAGGACCAGGTGCCCACAATTAGCCAGGCTTCAGCTAGCCAGCATCCAGGGCGTTCAGAGGACCCAGTAGGGGGCTGGAGACACTGAAATCTTTGGTACCACTGAGTGCTTGAGAAAGAGTGGTTTGCGCTGAGGGAGACAGGGTGGTGACGCTGCTCTGTAGCCTGCAGCTCTGCTGACAGCAGGAGGAGGCTGCTCCATCTTCCCCCAAGACCACCCCAGCCTCTCTCCCCCTCCCCCATCCCGCCTCTCCCCCTCCCCTTCCCCTCTTCCCTCCTCCTCCCTTCGTTCCCCTCCCCCTCCCTCTCTCGCTCTTTCTCCTCCCTCCCCTCCCTCCTCCCTCTCTCTCTCTGAGCAGTGCACCCCGTCTCAAAACAGTGAGGGAAGAGCAAGCCTTCTTATTCAAAACATTAAACAGACAACCCCGGTGTTCATCCCAGGCAGGAGAATGGCTCCGTGAGATAGAGGCTGTCTAGCCCTGACCCATGTTGAGCTCCCCTGTGTCCTTGGGGTCTGGGGCAGCACCTGGCCGCCTGGCCACCATGCATGTCCTTTTCTGTGGCATAAAGAGCCCTGAAATGGTCTCCTTCATCCCCGCCCCATGTCCAGGCCTCTGTAGTCCCCCAGCCTCCAGTGGCGGACATCTGCAAACAGGATCAATGCCAAGCCTCTATTAGGTCATGTGATATGGCAAAGAGGAAGGGATTTTGCAGGTGTAATCAAGGCCCCTAGCAAGCATGGCTTTGCTCTGAGCCAAAGGGAGATTATCCTAGCAGGCCTGACCTCATCAGAGAAGCCTCTTGGGGGACTTTGTCCTTCCCTGAGCTCGGAGACTTCAAACCACAGGGACCCTCTCCTGCTGAACCTGAACAAGCCAGCCCCCACCCCCACCCCAGCAAGGCAGCTTTGAGAAAATGGATTCTTCAATGAGCACATGAGCTTGGAAGCAGACCTGGGGCCACAGAGGGGGTCTCATTGCAGCCAGCTGAGCCCGCCATGACTCCTGACCCAAGAAGGCAGCGAGATAACACCTGGGTGCTGTTGGAAGCCCCTAAGTGTCCAGTGATTTGTTACGTAGTACAGAAAACAGGTACCCTCTCCTTGCTGGGCATACAGCTCCACTGCCTTTCCCAGCCTCCCTTAGGGTGGCCACACAGCCAAGGTCACCCAGAGGGATGCAGACGAAGACAAAGTGGCTACCGCCAAGCTGGTGCCTTGGCTCAGTGGCCTGGGGCTGGGTGAGACGAGGCTACAGCGATCAGGGTTCTCCAGAGAGAGCAGACTGGGGGACACACATGTGCATGTCAAGAGATGGGTTTCAAGGAATTGGCTTACGTGATTGTGACTGTGGGGCTGCAGGTCTGAAATCCAAAGGTGGGCAGGCAGGCAACTCAGGCAGGAGCTGAGAGGCGGAACTTCCTCTTCCTCGGGGAAATCTGTTTAGCTCTTAAGGCCTCAGACCAATTAGATGAGACCTGCCCAGACCGTCAGGGTCATTCCCTTTACTTAGGGTCAACTATTGCCCATATTCACCACATGGGTAAAAGACCTTCTTGGCAGCCTCTAGTTCTGTGGTTGGTGAACAGCAGGGGGCTGCACCTAGCCAAGCTGACACCCAGAGCCCTAATGTGAGCCACAGGAGAGGCTCTGTGGAGGAAGCTGGGTCCCTGAATCGCCATGTGGAGGGGAAGCTGGGGAAGAACCTCCACTCCAGATGGAGGCTGAGTTCAAAGCCCATTTTCCGCCGTCACGTGTGTTAAAGCAGCTGCCCTGCCACAACCTGCACGGGACCCCTCAACTGAGTCCCCCGGCCATGACCTCGCAGGTGCCAGGGGCTTTGCCCCCCTGTAACACACTGACCTGGGAACAAATGGAAGAAACTCCCTTTCTTGGCCCCAAAGTGCCCCTGAGATCGACAGGCATCCTGGTCTTCCGTACTGAGCAGCAACATCATAGGCAGAGAGGAGGCAACCAAGACAGAAGGTGCCGGCCTCTGCTCCTGCCCCTCGTGGTCTCAGAGTCCCAGACTCAGCATACCTCCCACTCACTGACCAAGTCTGTGCCAGGGCCCCGGCCCCTAGCCCAGCCTCGTGGCCCCTTGTCCAGGTCCTCTGTGGCTCCACCACGGGCTGCAACGCCAGGGCACCCTCCCAAGTCTGAGGGACTCCAGGCCCAGATGCCTCTGCAGCCGGCAGCCCTGGCTGAGCCCCACTCTGAGTGAGCAGGGAGAAAGCGCTGTGGGCCGGGAGGGTCAGAGGGGCTGCGTGAGGGCACGAGGCTGAGCTGTGCCTAATCCGGTCCACCCCTCTCTGAACTCGAAGCCATGGCAGGAGTTGAGCAGACAGAAGTGACAGAGGCAGGTGCCATGGGGGGTGGAAGGTCCCCACCAAAGGCGGGCAAGTCTGGTGACTTCCAGTGGGCTGTCCAGTGACTTCCCCACCCCGGCGTCTACCCACGGCCTCACAACTCCCATGACTGTCCAGGGTGCCAGGACCATGGTCTCGTCTGAAGGGTGGGGCGCTGAGGCTCCAGCCAGGTCACGGCTGCCTGAGGCCCCACAGCAGCCTCATGATGGTCCTGGTCTGCACCCAGACATCAATGCCTCAACCTTCTCCAGAGAGACATGGGGACAGAGACACGGCTTGGGCCTGGGGTCCTGAGACTTGAGGCTGGGAACTCACCAGGTGGCCTGGGGTCTGGGGCCATTGGCAGACTCAGTCCTAGTCAAGTGCCTGTGGGTGTCTGGGCTGCTGCCTGCTGCACCTGCTGATCCTGATGCTGTCTGGATCAGCATCAGGGGAAGAGGCAAGGAGGGGGCAGCAAGGAGAGGAGGCTGCCCAGGCACATCCAGGATTGCTGTCATCACCCAAACCCTGAGCGGCCAGCGTCTGGGCTGTTTGTGCCCTGAGCAAGGTCTTGGGTCAACTCTCCAGTATGAACAGGTCCTGGAGTCAGGAGCACTGGGCAGTTGCAGGGAGGCACCTGCAGGGTCAGGCCTCTCCCTCCAGGCCCAGCACTCCCCCTCCCCACCTCCCAGTTCTCTCTCACCCTCTCTCTCCCTGTTACGTCTCTCTCCGATCTCTCCTGCACTCTCAGCTCTCCTCCTCTCTCTTCCTCCTGGCCTTTTTTCCCTCTCTGATTCTCAGGCCTGGCCATGTTCCATCCAGCTCAGCCCTGTCCACAGGAGAGTAGGAAGCAGTGCACATCCTACCACACCCAGCACTCACTCCAGCCCAGCAGCCCAGGCGCAGGCCCAGGAGGAGGAGATGAGGGAGATGAGGTACTGACAGATAAAAATCCCTTCCCGGAGATCCCCAGCAGGTAAGATGTGGCTAACTGGGAGCTGATTGAAAAGGGAGGGACCTGTTCACCCTGCTTGTTTTCCCACACAGCTGCACACTCCAGGGATGCAGCCAAGCCTGCATGGCCCCTGCAACCAACCTCCCAGTGCCTGAAAAGGGCCAGGCTCAGCCTTGGGGAGAGCAGTGTTTGGGCCTGAAGAATGGAGCGCTGCCCCACTCGAGGCTGTCTGTCCCCAAAACCCTGCAGAGGGGACACTCCCAGCCCCAGAGTGAGACCCAGAGGCAGGTGGCCTTGTCATTCCAGCCTCTAGGGACTAAGGACAAGTCACTCTGGGACAGGAGAGCTCGGGGAAGATCGTGAGGCTTCAGAACCACCTGTGTGAGTGACCGCAGCTTGAGGCAGGTCCTCATCCCCAGCTCCCCCAGCTCTCTCCTCTTGGTCATCCTCTTGATCCCCTGCGGTGATGAAAACCAAGGGAATCTCACCATTTCTCCCTCCAGAGCCAGCCGGCCACATCTCACCCACAAAAGATGAAACCCAAGGAATGGGGCTCAGCAGGCCTGGGCTGGAAGTGGCCCCGGCACAGACACCCAGGTCACTCACCAACCCTGCACAGGCTGTGCCTCCTAACGGGAGCCCTTGGGGAAACCGAGTCGCATAGCATGCCTTGTACATCCTCTAAAAGAAGGAAGCATCTAAACTTAGACCCGCTGCCCCTCAACTTCCCCAGTACCGCCCATGGCGCTCAAGGCGCTTGCTTCCTAGAGTTTGTGGGGGACACCCTTGTGACTCAAGGCTCACCTCTGCGGAAATGAGGCTCCATGTCCAGGCTGGAAGGAAGGTGGAGGGAGCATGGGGGCAGAAGGAAAGGACGTGAGCAGACGCAGTTTTCTTCCCGGCATCTCTCTTCCTACCGGGCTGATGGGTTACCTCCTTGCCTTCTATGTGGGGACAAAGCCACAGCCCTAGCATGGCTGCTCTGTGTTTCTCCAAGTTCCAAGCCCTCACCAACCCCGACATGCTCCACCCCAACACCCGCAGGGTGACACTACTCACGTGCCAACGTTGTCACCCATCCTACGGGAGGGGCCGGGCCTGCCAGAGGGGGCAGGGAAGCCTACGTTCTAGGAGCCCCATTTCCAGGACAGAGAGATGCCCCCCAAACTGGGTGATGTCAGGATCCAGGTGATATTTGCCCCAAGAGGAGCAAGGCAGGCAGAGGTGGAGAGAGAGGCAGAGACTGGCAGCCTGATGGAGAAGTTGCGTGCCTGGGGAAGGAAGACAAGAACAAGCCGGTCCTCACGCTAAGGGCTGCTGTTCTAAGTGCCTGGGGGTGCATTTTCTCATGACACCTGCAAGGCAGGTATGTTTAGGACCCCAGATCTACCCCCCTCACCTCCCTGGCCTCAGGCCTCAGCCTCCTGTTCTGCCTTACCAGCTGGAGGCTCCTCTGGGGCCTAAAACACACCAGGTGCTCTCCCACCCACAGCCTGTGAACTTGCCGAACCCTCCTCCCACAGGCTGGTTTGCTGTTGTTTTAAACGATTTCTAATTTATAGAAAAGTAACAAGTACAGCACGGGTAACTTTTTCCCGAACCGTTTAACAGTGAGTTGCCAAAATATTTCCTCTTCCGCCGCAAACTCTTGAGTATGTTTCTTACAAACTCAGACCTTCTCCAGCACCCCACACCATGATCAGTGAAGTCGGGGGCTGCTGGCTGCTCAGGGCAGTGGGGTCCTCCCATCTGCAGGCCCCGTCCCAGCTCCACCAGTCGTCCCAGCTCAGAATCTTGGGTTCCTGTGCACTGTCCTGGCTCGAGTCCTCTTAGCCTGTTATGTAGCACAGAAAACAGGTACCCTCTCCTTGCTGGGCATACAGCTCCACTGCCTTTCCCAGCCTCCCTAGGGGTGGCCACACAGCTAAGGTCACCCAGTGTGGTGACCTTGGCCTTTCTTAACTTTCACGACCTTGACACTTTTGAAGGTTACAGGCCAGTTCTTTGGTGGAACGTCCCTCAATTTGGTTGCGTCTGACGTGTCCTCACGATTGCGTCTGGCTCCTGCATCTTTTACAGGAACATCCCAGAAGTGATGCTGTGTTCTCACTGCTTCCTGCCCAGGTGGTGGGGGTTGGGGGAGGTATGGTTTTGATCTGTTTTATCACATTTATCACTTGTCGGTGGGGGAGGCTGCCAGGTTTCTCCCATGTGAAGTTGTTTCTCCTGCTTTGTTATTAATAAGTATTTTGTGAGTGTGTGGGTCGGGATGTGGTGCCTTAAAACCAAGTGCATATCATATTCCTCATCAAGCTTTCCATTCATTCTTTCATTTATATTTGTCTGGACTCCTGGATGCCTATTTTTCCCAATGGATTATAATGCACTACCAGCATCATCAGACTGTCCTAGATTTGGCCAGTGGGAGCCCTGCAAACTGACTTCTGTGGGCTTTACATGTCCCCAGTGTGACCTGAGCACCACCTTGCTTTCTGGCTCAAGATGCTCCAGGCACATCCTGTGCTGTCCTCACCCAGCCCTGGTCAACCTCTTCTCCAAGGAGCCCTGGCACTTGTGAGTGAAGAATGGTATTTAGACACCAAGGTGGGGGCTCCAGGTGCGCTCACTGCTCTTGGGGCACCATCTTTTTCAGGCCCTCTGAGTGGAGAGAGCTACAAATTAAGATATCTATTGATATGTGAAGAAACACTCCAAAACTTAGTGGCTTAAAACAAGAAAAACTTTTTTTTTTTTTGGCAGTTTGTGTCATTTGCAATTTGTGTCAAAAATTTGCAATTTGTACAGGGCTCAGTGGTGACAGCTGACGTCTGCTTCACTCAGCATCCACTGAGGCAGCTTTGAGAGCTGGAGTCATCGTGGCAGGTGAAAGTCATGTCATCTTTTACGACTTAGCTTTGGAAGTCACATAGTATCAGTTACACAGTGGTCACCCCGCCCAGATTCAAGGAGAGGGAACACAGACCCCAGCTCCCAACAGAGCAATGTCAAGGCCTCACTGCAAAAAGGGCCTGAGGGTGTGTGGGAGAGATGTTGGTATGGCCATCCTGAGAGTACAACCTGTCACAGGAATATATATATATATATATATATATATACACACACACACACACACACATATATGTATACCATCCATCTATTTATCATCAATCTCTGTATATCTATCTATCAATCTCCTTACCTACCCACCTATCTATCTAGAAAATTATGAATTCATCCTGTGTTGTGGCTTAAGCCAATACAAATTTATTCTTTTATCATTCTGGAGGGTGGAAGTCTAAAGTGAAGGTGTTTGCAGGTTGCGTTTCCCTTGGAGGCTCCACCACCTCACCCCAGCTCCTAGAAACCACCTGCATTCCTTGGTTCAAAGCCCCTTCCTTCACCTTCAAAGTGCATCCCTCCAACCTCTGCTTCTATTATCACCTCCAGTGTCAAAACAGGCTCTGCCTGTCTCTTATGAGACCCTTGTGATAATGCTGGGCCCATCCAGATAATCCAGGATCACCTTCTATCTCAAGAACCACAGCCTCATTACACATGTGGAGCCCCTTTTCCCATATAAGGGAACATATTCCCAGGTTCCAGGGGTGAAGATGTGGGCATCTTTGAGGGCCATTTTTCAGCCCCTCACAGTCACAACTGTGTTTGTCGAACCACGAAGCCCAAGAGAAGAGAGTCTCAAGGTGATGGGGACGGTTCTGCACACCTGTGTGCATCTCCGTGCCCCTCCCTCTCCCTCAGCCCTGCCCCCAGCCCTTCAAACCCACCAGGTGTCTCCACCTCTGCTGCCCACCGGGGAAGCTGCACTGCAAGCCTTCATATGGCTGACGAGAGGCTCCGTGAGCCCTCAGCCCTCCACTTCTCATCCTCTGTGACCAGCTGCCACGGGCACGCACACCACACAGATCTTACGTGAATGCCCCCTTTGTCTTAACTACATCCTCTGCCCAAGGACAGCCTCTGACCTCTTCCCTCCCTCCCCATCACCACCAGCATGGCCTTCTCAAGCTTCCTCCCTCCTTCCTGCCCATCCCTCAGGATACATGTATAGATCAGGCTTCCAGAACCTTCCTGCATTCCCTGGGGTTAGCTGCTCCCTGGGGGTGTCTGCAACTTCCACTCTTACCCCTCATGGTGATGACAGTAGGTCCTTGGCACACCTTACCTCTGTGCTGGGCCCCACCTCAACTCCCACACCTGTTGGCTCACCTCCTCATCACAATCGCCTGGAGGTTGGGGCCGTTATCATCAGCCCATTTTACAGCTGGGAAGCTGAGGCTCGAGGAGGTCGCTCATTGGCCGGTGCAGACATGGGATGGAAGCTGCACCGTTCCCCTCTCATGGGGGACATCGCCCTGTACTGGAATGGCTGTTGCCCCTGTCTCCTCCTCTCTGGCCTGGGGAGTCCTCATCCTGTCCATCACTGCCCGGGGCGTGGTGACCTACAGCAGGTGCACATAAAACGTGTGGGTAAATGACAGCCTCAAGGGCAAGGATGCTTGAGGAGCAGGGGGGCGCACGGGGTGCAGGAATCAGCTAGACTCACCGGAACTCAGGTGGGGTCGGCCCTCACCTCAACCTCCCCCTGAGCCTCCCAAACACGCATCTTCTCACCATCAGAAATGTAGCAAGAGCCCCTTGAAATCCTTAAACCCAAACAAAAGTTTATCTTAATAAGCAGGCAAACAATAAGATAAGCCTCTTGAGCATGAAGGGCTACCCAGGGACTGACTTCTCACTGTGATTCCTGAAGCTGAGACTGAGACCACCTGCCTGCTGGCCTGCCCGGCCCACAGGCACCGAAGGGAAGGAAACAGCAGGGCCCTGAGGATGCTGCCCAAGCCTCCTGTGCAGGCCCTGAAGCAGCTGCTGGGCCCCAGGCTCACCTCTCATTCTTACCTCGTGAGGCAGGTGAGACCAGATAGAGTCCCAAGTCCCAGCACCTGGGTAAGGACACAGTTCCCCAAAATGTGTGCTGACCACACTTACCACCATCACAGTTACAGGACTTGCTGCTTTGTGGATGGGGCGAGCAGTGGGGTAAAAGCTCTCCTGCCCTGGGTTCAGATCCTGCTTTGAGAGCTTACCATGGGCATCTCAACTTTGCATGACCAGGCATTCCCATCTGTAAGCTGGGGATGAGGCCAAATCCCTGGCAGGTCGGCTGTGAAGACTGCGTGGATTAATCATTAATTGTGTCCTGGTTTGCATGAGAAATGACAAAGTCACCTGTCTGGGGCATTTTGGGGTGCCCAGAATGGGTCACCTTCTTGGTTACTTTGCAGGAGAAGCTTCTGTGCAAAGGGCCCCTTAGAGGAGCACAGGAAAGGGGCATCGGTCACAAAGTCCATCAGCCATCACTGTTTGCCCACGTGGTGAGTATCAAGAAGGGTGCTTGGGCCAGGCACAGTGGCTCACGCCTGTAATCCCACCACTTTGGAAGGTCAAGGCAGGCAGATCACCTGAGATCAGGAGCTCGAGACCAGCCTGGCCAACATGGTGAAACCCTGTCTCTACTAAAAATACAAAAGAAAAAATTAGCTGGATGTGGTGGCAGGTGCCTGTAATCCCAGCTACTCGGGAGGCTGAGGCAGGAGAATCACTTGAACCCAGGAGGCGGAGGTTGCAATGAGCCGAGATTTCACCACTGCACTCCAGCCTAGGCAACAAGAGCGAAACTCCGTTTCAACAACAACAAAAAAAGTGGGGGTGCCTTTTCATCTTCATCTGAGAGCACTGCCTAATGTTCTCACTCTCAAAACTCGCATGCAAGCCAGCTCACTCCCTACAAAGCAGGTCTGCTCACCGAAGGGGGTTTGATCAGAGGTGACATCATCCCTCAAAGAAGGCAGGGTCGCAGCAGAGAGAAGTGAAGGTGAAGACAAGATTCGGGGAAAAGGGGGACTCATGGCCCAGAGTGGGGGACAGAATCCCCTCATGACTTATCCTGTGGCGTCCCCAAGAGGTAAGGGTCAGTGGTGGTTGGAAGTGGCAGCATGGCCACCCACGGCCAACTGGGTATGGCCTGGCTGGGTGTGGTCCTGGTGTGGATGGGGTGTCAGGGCCCTATCCTACCTGAGACACTCCGCTGAGCCAGGTCCCCAGGCCGCTGCCAAGAGCTCAGCTTCCCACGGGCCATGGGCCATGTAGGTGAGGAGTGGCCTGAGGCGTGGGTGTTCCCATGAACTGGGAAGTGCACCATGATCTCTAAGTGACTCTCAGACTCCTCAGGAAACCAGTGCACACGGGAGCAGCTCCAGGACCCTCAGGGTGGCCCCAAGATACCTATAGATTGACCTTGGTGGTCCTTGGATGTGCCAGACAGCCCAGAAAGGCTCCTAGGAGGACCCCCACAAATCAGAGGCTGACCCCACGCATCGACACCTGAGCATCCCCTCAGAGAACAGGAAGCATGGGGGACTCTAACTTCTCACTGAAACCAGGACACAAGTAATCACTACGCTGGAACCAGAGGCACACGGGGGACTTCCAGCAACCCTCTGGAGGGAGAAAGCTAGAGTCTGTAGCCCAGTATCCTGCTGTATCACTAATGTAAAACCTAACTCTACTGCCAGGTGAGCACCAGGGGAAATGCCTTTTACAGGAATATTTGTCACGTAGATGGTTCAACACACACGCACCTGCGAATGCGCCCGCCGTGCTCAGCTCCTTGCTTTCCCTGGCGGCCAACACTTCCCTGCCTGAGTGGATTTATTAGAAGTGCTCACACCTACCCACCAGCCCCACCCACTGAGGAGGGGTCCCTGGGCCAGGAGCGCACAAAGGAGGTGATGCCATCAGCAAGCCTGACTGTTCCTTCCTTGTCATTTATTTTTCACAACTTAAAAATCATGGAGTAATCCAGGGTCATGCAGTAATAATCAACCACAAACTTCTCTCCTGCAGTTGGCCAGGCTTTTGCAAAATATACTCCTGTCTTACAAAAGGTAATGCCAACTGCGCGAGGGAAAACTTGGAAAATAACAAACAGTAAATAAAATAAAGCAAGCTCTGCCTATAACCCCACCATGCAAACAAAACCATTGCTAATATCTGGGGGCATGTCCTTTCATTATTTCTAAAGCGCTATTTTCCTAGCTTTTCCTGAGATGATGGTGATTTCTTGCTGACAGAGTTGGAATCATATTACACTATATTACCTGTTAGGATCACACTTTTTGTTCCCTGCAAGCATTCTCGGTATGTGCTCTTAGCAAACATTATTTTTTAATGGCTGTAATATTCATTCAAGTGGATAACCCACAGTTTACTTAAACATCCCCCATGTTCAAACACTTAGGTTGTTTCTAATTATTTTGCTAAAAATACCTATTTTTTCGTATTTAAGATTACTTCCTCAGGATAGCATCCTAGAAATTAAACTGCCAGTCTAAGGGGGCATTTTTAAGCGTGTGATGCAGGCTGCCAACTGTCTGCTCCTGGGGCAGTCCCTGCCTGCACCCGACACAGCACATGTCAGACATTACCATGTTTTAATGTCTGTTCCCCTTATTAACAAGAATCCGTACTTGGTTTTAATGTGCATTTTCTTTATTACTAGTAAGGGAAGATAACTTTTCCATGTTTATTTCCTAACTGTATTTATGATTCCTGGGAATTGGGCAGCCACATACTTTGACTAATAACCTATCTGAGGTTCTACGTGTTACTTATCAATTTTTAGAAAGTCCTTTTACACGCTGAAGATGTTAACCCCTCGAATGCGGTGTTGGCTGGAAATATATTTTCCATGGGGTAGTGGCTTTTCATTTGTGGCCTTTTCTGTGTTTGTTAAGAGGCAGGAGTTTCCGATTTTTCTATAAGTCAAGCTGTCCGTCTTTCTCTTTGTGATTCCGTCTAACATTTCTCATTTGACAATATCCTCCCCTTTTACGTGTCCATTTTCAGTTCTATTTGGTTCTAGATTTGCGGATCCTGAGCATGTGTTTTCACACCGTCATCTCAAATCCAGGGTTTATCCAGAGGACAGATGATAGACCAATTGTACGCTTTCAGCTTACCGTGGAGGAGGTCACTTGTGATGCGGGCAAAAAGGGGGAAGTGGGGTGGGGAAGTGGCGAGATAAGGTCTCTGGAAAGTGGAATGTCTCCCCCAGCCTGTGACTGATTTTCCCTGCGTGACCTTTCTCCTCCAGTCATCACTTTTGTCTTTGCTTTAAGTCAGAGGTTCTCAATCAAGGACAATTTTGTCCTCCAGGGACATTTGCCAATGTCTGATTGTCACAGCTGGGAGGTGCTGCTGGCATCTAGTGGGCAGAGGTCAGGGAAGCTGTTCAGCATCCCGCAATGCACAGGATACAGGATGGCCCCTGTCCCCAGAGCAAAGAATCACCCAGCTCAAAATAGCAATAGTGTCAAGGGGAAGAAATCCTGCTTTACACTGAATGCTAGCTTCCCTAGATGGATTAGCTAAAATTACACTAAAAAATGATCAAACATGGGTGGGTCTGAGAGGGCTAGTTGTCCTACAATGCCCATTCTCTCCTCCTTTCTTGCGCAGAAAGTTTAGCTGGGCACACATAGAAGAAAGTGGTTACATATCACAATTCTCCTTTCACCCAGGCACAGCCACATGACTGAAGTTCTGGCCAGTGACATGTAAACAGAAGCAAGTGTCCAGGGGCAGTTTTAAAAGTCAGCTGCCACTCACAGCTTGCCTCTCCCTTGCTGCCCCCTAGAATGCAGATGTGATCGTTGGAGCCGAAGCACCCTTTTGCACCTTGAAGTGGCTTTGAGAATGGAGGCCATGCTTGGGGGACCAACAGGGCAAAAGGAGCCTGGTCTCTGAGCTCTCTGTGGAGTAGACCATTTCAGTCCTGGCTGGCCTGCCTCCAGGCTCTATGGAAAAGGGAGAGCGAAGCTTCTTTCTTTTTTAGGCCATTGCTATTTTCAGTCTCTGTGACTTACCACCAAATCTAACTGTCGCAAATGGTGAAATGGGGAATGTTTGTGAAGACTTCTGATAAAATTCCAGCGTGAATTTGAGAGGATTAAATAGAATAAAATGTGCAAATTGCTTAGCTGATCACTTGGTACACAGCAGAACACTTGGTACCCTTGATACATTTAATAGTAAACTGGCTGAGTTATTGTGAGCCCCACCATGTGATGGGCATTACACCAACAAGCTTATACCCCATGTTTTAATCCCCCCAGCAACCTATGAAGGTGGTGCATTGTGGTCCCTGATAGGGATGGGGTAACAGAAATACAGAGACTACTCTCAACTTGCCACCATCGCACTGTCAGGGCAAAGCCAGGCCTAGTCCCTGCACTGTGCCACCTCCACCTCAGCAGACATTGGGGACTGCATGGTTTGGAGGCATTTGGGATCCAGCAACTATGAACAAAACTCTTTGCCTGAAGATCTTGCTTCATCCCAAAACTGTGAGCTTTTTGTTGCAGCCCAAAAGGGCTGCTTCAGCTCCAACCATCACATCTGCATTCCAGAATGCATCTCCAACCCTGTGAGATACCCACTGTGGCATTTGTCTTGCCACAAGAAACCTGAGTCACAAGGAGGCTAAGTGACTTATCCACTATCACACCACGAGTGGCAGAGCTGAAGCTCAAATCCAGGTGGATTTGATATCAGAGTCCATGTACTTAGTGACGTGGCCAAACTGCCTTTCAATAAATACAGCTGAATGAAGGCAGAGAGCACACAAACGAATGCCAGCTGTGGCTATGATGCCACTGAGTATCAGGATTAAGTACCCACCATGCACTGACTCACTCAAACTCACAGCAATTCTTGATCCAAAGATAAGGACATGGAGGATCAAAGAGGTCCGGAGACCAGCCTGAGGTCACTCAGCCAGGAAGTGTGGGGCCTGGATGAAGAGCAGATCTGGGGTAGGGGATGCTGTTCCCCTGCCCCTCCTGCCTCCTCATGGGCCATGTGGCCACAGTTCCCAAACTGGCGTGGATGATTCCTTGGCCAGGAATCCTCTTCTAGTTGGCAAGATGCTCTGGTGTGAGGCAGGCAGGGACCCAGGCACAGCCCTGGTGTCTTATGTTACCCGCCTCCATCCCTGACATCAACAGGGACTCACGCTTTGCAAAAGGGGCATACAGCTGGTACCCCTTGGAGCTGAAACAGGCTCTGTGTGTGGTGGGCCTGCAGTCGCTGCTGCAGAAAGTGAGAAATTGAACACATTTCTTGCTAATGCAGACAGAGCCGCCCATTTAATGTTGGAGAAGCCCTGAGAATTGGGGAGGGCAGGGAAGACCTCCTGAAGGAGAGGAGGTTTGACTCTACTACCTGCAGAGGGGACTGGGGCTGCCCACAGGAGGCCAGAGGCTCTGAGCCCTGATTCTGGGATTCCAGCTTCCTGAGAGGCAAGCTGACTTCCCCGGCCCTGAGGAGTGGGGGTGAGGGGTTGGGATAGGTGAGCCCCATCCCTCCGGAACCGCTGCCAGCTCACTCAGGTCGTTAGCACCTAAAGAGGGTGTAAAAGTGACTTATGAGCAGAAATCAGGTGTTCAGGCATAAACACACCAAGGCCAGTGATTGATTTGACTGGGTAAATAGCTTTTATAATTGGTATTTTTTATTAAATTTTAAGTGATGCATATTTATGTGAGAGCATCGTGGGCACATAGGGACCGGCCTCGCCCGGCCTTCCTGCTGGCAGAGACTCAGGATCATAAAACAGATTCCTGTTGGCCGGATTCCCAGGACCCCAGAGGACCCCCGGAAGGAGAAGGGACAGGGGATGTAATTGCAGCATCAGCTGCATTTTCAGATATTGGAGTGACGTTCACTTCCCTCGAGCTGGATGTCCGTGAGGTTTGGAGACAGGCGAGGGCAGGCAGTCGGGGAAGCGAGGGGTTTGGTTTTTGCTTCCTCCCTGCCCCACCCCGACACAGTCAGTCCCACAGCACAGAGAAGGCAAGCTCCGTCTCCCCTCCAGACGTGGAGGGCCGGCCCAGGACAGGCACAGACAAGGCTACTCGGGCAGAGGCTGGGCATTGAGCCCCAGAATAGCAGGGCACCCTCTTTAGCTCATGAGGCGCTTGGGGCCTGGCACAGCCAACAGGTGCTTGCTAGGAACCACCAACCGGAGCTCACAGTGCAGGCCGGGGGCGGGGGAAAATGCACTGGGGGTGCTGAGACCCCAGGAGGTGTGGGCAGAGCAGGGTGTGGCTCAGATGCAGGGTCTTCAGGACCGGCTATTCTCTGGGCGAGATCCTGAGGCCCCTTCCCGGGCCTCCGTTTCCTCCTCTGTAAAGTGGGTTAATGACTCTCACTTTTGCTCACTCCCCAGGAGGTGAGGCTCTGAGGTGAGCGTGATCAAGCCCCCAGCCTGAGGGACTGTCTCATGGCTGCCTCCTTGAAAGCTGCTGCTGTCACCGGAGGGCAAGCCCAGCGCAGGCTTAAAGCACAGCTACCTGAAAGATGCCACCTGCAGGAACTTCTTCTCGCATGTAGGGAGGGTTGTGTTCTGACCTGAGTCCCAGATGTGCAGAGGGGCTGCCCTAGCGAGTCCCACCTCATGCCCTGGCCTCTCCCTTCCACACTGGAACAGTTCATAGCCAATCAGGAAGCAGGATCAAGGCTCAGCTGATTGAGGACCAGGGTCAGGGCTCAGTGTGTGACCAGGATCAGGGCTCAGTGTGTGACCAGGGTCAGGGCTCAGCCTGTGACCAGGGTCAAGACTCAGTGTATGACTAAGGTCGAGGCTCGACATGTGACCAGGATCAGGACTTAGTGACTCAGTGATGAGAATCAGGGCTCAGTCTGAGACCAGGGTCAGAGCTTAGTGTGTGACCAGGGTCAGGGCCCAGCTTGTAACTTCGTCTAACTTCATCAGGGCTTGTTGAGTCTCCAGGGTCAGGGCTTACTTCCTTACACCTGTCCCTTTGCTTCTCTTGGAGCCTTTGAAGGGCAGAGGTCGCTGGGCGGCTGCCTCCTGTTTTCCACTGTGTAAATGGGGTCTTAGAACCGAGACACCATCAGGGTGCTGGCTACCTCCCCTCCAGTGTAGCTGAGCTGAGGCCAGGCACCTGTGGGCCGCCGCTGGGGCAGGGATGTGTGGGCATTATGGTTTCTGCAGCCTCTTCTGATCCGGCTTCCTCCTAAGCCTCAGTAAACTCGCCTAAGCTCAGCCTGAGCCTCCGTCACTCAGGCGCTTTCGCAGCCCAGGAACGAGCCTCCAGGCACTGTGAAGCTCCCGCCACCCCTGTCACTGGCACCAGGCTGGTGTGGAACAGGCGGGAAAGACTTGTCCGCTGTGAGCAGCAACCAGCCTAGATGGGATGAAGGCATTTGCATCTGACTGCCAGACAAGCCTCCTCACACTGCAGATAAATATAGGCCTCACCCTCCTTCCCTGGTCCCATGCAGGCCAGCAGGGCTGGCAGGGAGGCTTGCCTGCGGTCAGCAACGTATCATCAGTTGCCCAGGGCTTGGGCGGGAGCCCCCAGCCATGGCCCAGAGCTGGTGGGCAGCTGTCCCTTGTGAGCAGGCACCAGCACTTAGTGATCAGCTGCTGAGACCTGCAGCTCTGGCACGCCTGGTCTTATGAATCCCTGGAGCTTCCTGGAGGGCGGCTCCGTCATCCCCACGTGCAACATGAGGAAGCGGCTCGGCAAAGCCAGGCCACTTGACCACCGCCACGCAGATCGGAAGTGGTGGCACTGGGCCCCCGAAGCCAAAGTTCGCCTTCTCTCTGCGGCTGCTTTTGGGGCGTCTGGGCAGAGGGCAGACACTGGGCAGAGTGGACGGAGCACCTCTCCATCAGACCTGAAGTTCCCAAAGGAGTTCAGCACCTGGCCAGGTGCTCAGGGCCCGGGCAATGCGCAGATCAGGCTGTGGCCAGTGTGGTCCAGAGTGGCTCCAACTTCCTTGTACCCACTGTGCTGGGTGCAGCCACCCCACTTCTCGTACTGGGAGGCCACGTGCTCTGCAGCTGGGGCAGATCTCTCTCTGACCCCCTGCTTCGGACAGGGATTCAGCTGGCCTCTAAGACCCCCTTCCAGGATATCTTTGGGCAAATAGGAATGGCAAGAGGGATGCATTTTCTGCATAAATGACGCTGGTTCAGTTAGTGGTCTGCCCCCAGGTCTTTTTCCCTCCACATGAAGGAAGCACAAGGTCAGCTGTTTGAGCACTGTGGTGGCTGCATTTCCAACAGGTGGGGTCTGGCCCACAACAGGCCCAGCCCTCGAGGCCCACACCGCCAGGTGAGAGACAGAGCTGGGCCCCAGGACAGCCTGGGGAAGGAGACCTGGGGAAGGAGACCCAAGGAGGGGACCCAGGGAGCAAAGGCCTCCTGCCAGGCTGCAGAGGGCTTCCCCAAGGAGGGTGGGCTTCCCCAAGGAGGGTGGGCTTCCCACTGGGTGTGAAGGGTGGGTTGTGCAGGCTGAAGGGGAGCCCAGCTCCTATGGGGAAGGGTCTCCAAGTCAGGCTGCCTGGTCTGAGGCAGTGGGTGTCTCTGAAGGCCAGGCAGCCGCCACCCTGGAGCTTCCAGGAGAGAAGCTCAGGGGTCCGTAGTGGCGGGAAACCAGTTGGGGCTCCTGAGAAGGGAGTCTCGATGGCCTGTGTGCTCAAGGGGGAGGCAGGGCCTTGTCTGCCGGTGGCAACCCGGTGACCATGCAGGGTAAACACGGTGCGGGGCTGGGAAGCTGCTCCTCTGGGAAGGAGAAGGGCAGCGCTCGGCTGTGTGGTTTGCCAATTTCTGCAGTGTCCAGGCTCCCACGTTGGCTGATTCCAGGAAGTCAGTGTTGGCCACAGCTTGCAGTGTTCCTGAATATGAAGGATCGCCAGCTCTAGGAGCCACCAGTGCAGCCCACACCTGTTCAAGAAGACGGGGGCGCTCTGAGTTGGGCCTCTCAGGCAAAGGGGTGGTCATCTGCCGTCCACCCCCAGGTTGGCTTCCCAGAGCACATAGTCTCAGGGTTCCCATTGCGGGAAGATAGCCCTGTGGCCAATGGGAAAGGGGAAACCCCATAAGGCAGGGGCAGCCAGGGCCCTTCCGAGGTTCGAGGCACAACCTCTGGGCTCCAGGGAGGAACGCAGGACGTTGTCACAGCAGGGCTGGGTGTGGTGCATCTGCTCCAGGGGGAAGCTGCAGGGACAGCTAGGACTTTGCCGGGGACCTGGGAGCGGCTGGGTGCACCTCTCCGCACTTCAGTTACTCACCCCCCAGCCCCCAGTCCCCAGCCCCTGTGCTGTGGCCGAGAGCCAGAGTCGATGGGTAACTTTGGTGCCATCAGGAGCCAATAGCTGAGGCTTTCCAGCTAATGCCTGCGTGGAATCAATGAACAGAAAGAGCTTTCTTGTGCGGAGATAAAATCACAGCTGAGGATTAAAGTCACAAATGAGCAAACCCTTTTATGAAACCCCTCAGTCTCCCCAGGCCATGGAGAGGGCAGGGCCATCTTCTACAGTGAGATTGACCCGCAGTTGAGGGTAATCGGCGAGAAGAGGGAGGGAAGGAGGGAGAGTGGCTTCCTGCGCACCCCTGCTCCCACCCGCAGAATCACAGCCCCCTCCTCCTTGTCCGCACAAGCCAGCAGGCTCCTCTTCCCTGGTCCCACACGTGCAGGCCGCTGGAGTGACTGAACTGCTCCCAGCTCCCGTGCCCCCCGCCACATCCAGCCCACCCTTCACAAGCTGCATCTCCTGCCTTCCCTGCCTCCCCACCCTAAGCCCCAGCTCAGCACCAGCCTCAGAACGGCCTCTCTGCTGCTCACCTTGGTAGAGCTGCCCTTGCTCTGAGTGCCCTGTCTCCCTCTGGGCCTCCTGAACCGGTGCAGCCCAAGTCCCGGTGCTAACCCTCATCCTCCAGAAATGTCCCAGAGTGCGCCCTGGCCACCCCCACACCTGCACGTCTGAGCCTGTCACTCCCCATCTCTCTCTCACCAAATCCATCACCCGCTCATCCGACAGACACTCCTGGGCTGCAGCACCAGGCCGAGCTTGAGGAGATATAATAAGACCCAGTCCCTGCCCTCAGGGAGCTCCACGTCTGGTCAAGAAGACAGAAGGGTGGGCAGGGAATTCAAGAATGGTAGGGGCCGGGGCAGGGGCAGAGGCATGCCGGGGCAGCAGGCGCTGATGGAAGCTGGAAGAGGCAGAGGGATCCTCCCCTGGCATCTGGAGGGAGCACAGCCCTGCCCACACTTTGATTTCAGACTTCCAGCCTCCACCGCTGCCAGACAATAGACGTCTGCTGTGAAAGCCACGCTGTGTGTGGTGCTTGGCGGAGCCCGAGGAAACTAACACACACCCGGCCTGTGAGGGAGGAGGCGGCCCCGGCACGGGGGAGAGCTCGGATCGCTTTGGTGTCTGCCGTCTAGTGCAGTCCAGCTGAGTGCAGCTGAGAATGCAGCCCAGGCTCAACTCTCAGAGGCCCCTGGGCGGGGCTGGGGCTAGGCCACCCCCACTATCCTGTGTCTCCCCTTTCTCCAGAGCTGCAAACAAAGGCCCAGCTGCACTGCGGAGCTGCAGGGAGCCACGGCCACTGCCCCCACTTGAAGGGAAGCAGAGAGATGGGATTGAGTGCGGGGGAAGTTTCTCCCCGCCGCCCTCTCTCAGGGGCTGAGGCCCATCGCATTCTGGCCCAGAGAGTTCTGAGCTGGCAGAGCTTAGAGGCAATTTGTGCCACATGTGCCCAGGCTCACCCGGAGAGGTCATCTGGGAGCACCCAGAGTCTCAGTCAAGAGCCCAAACCTGTAAGTGCCCCCAGTGGCCCCTGCCCCAGACTCCCTTCCTCCCACCTGATACTCGATAGCATGTAGACAGCCCTGCCTTGACTGACAGCCCATGGCAGGTGGGGCTGGAGTAGGCAGGCCACCAGCAGCGCTCTGTCATGGGGGCTGGGCCCACACTGGGGCTGGTAGCTGCTGCTGGGGCCACCCGCCCTGGGTGCTGCCATCAGTCTC
The DNA here is from genome assembly GCF_000001405.40 of Homo sapiens. Lineage (NCBI taxonomy): Eukaryota > Metazoa > Chordata > Mammalia > Primates > Hominidae > Homo > Homo sapiens. The sequence goes on along the minus strand of NC_000008.11, from coordinate 141,681,565 downwards.
CCCTCTGCAGAGTCTGCTCCTGGCTCCTGTGCTGTGGCCGCACGCAGCCTCCCCGTCTCTGCTTCCCCTCTGCTCAGAGTCCTGGCCCCTCCTCCCCCATCACCCCCTCCTCCCAGCACGGCCCTCTCCATCGCCCCATTCCTCTCTGGGGTCTCGGAGGCCTGGGGTGGGAGCCCGCAGGGGACGGAGGGCAGGGAAACAAGCAGGTATGGGTTCCGCTGGACCTAGGGGTGCTGGGGGACAGGAGCGAGGCCCAAGAATGAGACCGAGGAGGCAACACCTGATGGGGCAGGGGCCCAGGGACTGGCTTTCCGAGGTCCTGGCTGGGAGTCGCCCAGAATACATTGCCCACGCTGTTCTTTCGCACCGTTCCAGGAGCTGACCTGACCGAGGCCACAGCAGAGCAGACAACGCCGATTCAAATGTGTGCAGAGGTGTGGCGGGAGGCCAGGGATGGGAGGAAGCCTCCTGCAGAGGAGCCCTTTCAGGAGGGTCCCGTGCCCCTGCCTGCGAGTCCTGCTGGAGAGCAGTTGCTGATTACAGGAGAAAGGAAGCAGCGGCCTGGGCCAAGGGGACATGTGGTGCTTTCTGCCCCACTGCAGTGGCTTCTTACGGAACAGCAGCCCCCAGGCCAGCAAAGGCTGAGGGAGGGGACTCACTGCTCTTTCTCCAGGAATCAGACACAGTGCCTGGAGTGGGGAGGGGCCCTGCAAGTCTCCTGATCACAGTGCAGCCCCCTGGCCCCTCCCTGGCTGACTGACTGCACAGGAAGGGAGTCCTCTGTGCTGGCCACAGCACCTCCAGTCAGGCCCATGGGCCTCAGTCTCCCCAATTGTGGTTTGGGGTGACAACCTTGAAAGGGTCTCTCAAAGATGCGGTGTAGAAGAACAATGCCGGGCCCCACTCTGGGAAAACCCAGCACAGCAAACAGCGGGTAACATGGAGCCCAAATCGGAGCACTGCCGAGGACGGAGCCCCCAGAGCAGGAGAAAGGGATCCCCGTGGGGCAGACAGAAACAGTCATAGCAGAGACAGCAGCTGCATCCCGGGGGTAGGGCGTCCGGCCCTGAGGTGCTTGCCTGCCTTCACTGGTCCCATGGAAATTCCTCAAAGAAGACCGGAGCAAGCCTGCATCCCAGGAGAGGAGCTGGATGCCACCAAGCCTAGCCAGCTGCAGGAGACCTGCAGATGCCAGCCTGAGCCTGCCTGCCCCACAGCTCCCGGAAGTTGTCATGCCCCACGCTGCAGAGAACCGGGCAGCCAGGGGTCGCAGGGACTAACCGCCAGGCAACGCTTGGCTCCCGGTCTGTTTGCTCAACAGAGAGTCTGGCAGGAACATGCTCCCTGGTTCCAGCCCCTTTCAAACCAGATCCATTTGACTTCTCATCTTTATTTTGGCAGGGGAGAAAAATGTAATTTTTTTCTAATTTAAAATGTTAAAACCATCATCCTCATCCACATGCATTCAGCTCAGATGGTGTTTGGGAAATTAGCTCTGTCACTCACACACACACCAGCACGAGGCCTGACAGTGGGAACAGTCTCCCCCACTGTGGACACTCTGCACCCCCCACTTGCCTTATGGGGCTGTGCTGAGCCCCCGTGAGCTGAAGGAAGCATCTGGGGACTCCAGAGAGCAGGATTGTACCCAGTACCTCACCCTTCCCTGCCCAACTTGCTGTGTGACATCCACCTTGTGAACTCACCTCTCTAGCCTGGATCATCCTCCCTATAACAACCAGATGGCCTCATAGGGGACATGTAATGATGTCATCAGGTTTCGCAAGAAGAGTGGAGTAGGTCATGGAAGGCCCAAGCACCAGCTGAAGAGTTAGACCAACCACGGCATGATGCCTGGGTGTACCACAAACGTGTTCTGTGACTTGGGGAAGGCAAGGAACCTCCCCAACCTGCAGTTTCCTCATCTGCAGAAGCGCTTTTCTGCCCAGAGTTCTAGTGAGGCTCATGAACGGTGCGTGTGTGTGGCCTGGCCCAGGGTCAGACCTCCCACAGGGGTTCATTCCAGACTGGTGTTGGGATTTATGAGTTATGCACATGGAGGAACTGCACACACTGTGTACTGTGAGCAGGAAGAATATCAGCTGAGATTACTAGAGAAGTTCCATGTGGGGTGCCAACGACTGGCCTCATCAAATCCTGCATTTTCCAGACTGAAACCAAGGGAGGTTGAACACTGTGCCTAACATCCCTGCATGTGTTTTGGGAGGGGTGGCTCCAGATCCAAGGTCTGCATCCACACCTCCCACCCTACAAGGGTTCCTACGCCTGGCTCTTCCCCTGAGAGCATCGGGAGGGGCTGGCACGCTCCCAGGCCTCGCCATTACCTTTGCAGTGCTACCATCTCCTCCTGCTTTGCAGGAAGGACAGACGCAGCCAAAGAAGGGAAGAGACTTTCCCAAGACCACAGACACTGGCATTCTTCAGGGTTCTGGCTGCAAGGCGCAGAAACAAGACAAACGCTCACTTATTGGCTACAGAATCCCAGGAAGGCTACATGATCAGCCCCCAGGAAGCTCAGCATTCCTCTTTGTAAAATGTGCATATTAGGAGCCTACAGGGGGCAGGTGGCATTCCCAGAGCTGGCAAAATGGAGGTGACAAGGGGACAGATGGACAACAAGAAAAAGCACAAAGGAAACATCAGGAAGAAGCCAGTGTCCATACAATGGAACATGACAGGGGAGGGCTTGGAACTGGAAGGGCAGGGGAGACCTCAAAACATCAGAAACTTTAGGCTTCAGTAAGTCCTGGGGCCTCATGAGTACTGCCACTGAGCACACTCTCTCTCCCCTCTGCTTTCCTCCAAATCTCAGCCTCAATCTCTCACCATCTGGTGAAGAACAGGACTGAAAGTTCACATTGAAGCTCAAATAAGGGTCCAGAGTCTGACCTTTATTAACAGGAAATCCCAGAGAAGCACTTTGATTGGCCCAGTTTGGGTTGAGCGGCTATCTCTGCACCAATCAACTATAGACAGTGGGTAGGCTCCAGTGAGAATTGGCTGGAGCTCCCATGGCATCCACTCAGTTGCAAGGACCGAGGTCCTGGAGACAGAATGGGCAGCTCTCGACAGTGTCAGAGCCAGATGGAGCACAGGTCACACTCCCTTCCTTCTCATCCTCACAGCTGCCCCCGGGGATGGCTAGCATTCTCATCCCCCTTTGCACAGCACCAAGACTGCAGGTAAATTATCATATCCCATTTGGTTTCAGAGCCCCTCTTTCCCTGCTCCATGCCTGATGCCCCTGTCAGAACCCATCTGTGTGTTCCTGACCAGGCATCTGCCCTGAGCTCTAAGCTCTCCTCCGCCCCTCATCCCACCCTCTTCTCAAACCTCCAAGGGCCATTCGGACCCATCACTGAGACAGCTGTGGTTTGCTCTGGAAAGAGCTTTGTAAATGCCGCCATTTTCCTGCAGAAGAGGCTGGACCTCTCTTTTTATTTGTGAGAGCCCCAGCTTCCTGACCCATAAGATGGAAATTACAGGGTCTGCCCCTATTGTCTTCCCATGGAATAAAGCATATGGCAGGTAGGCTTGATGTGCCCAGTGCAGTGGCTGCTGCACAGGGGCTGCTGATGGCCCATTGGGTGCCCATAATGGCCATAGAAAGGTGGCACAGCTCAATAGCCTGGGTGCTGTACACAGAGGCAAGGTGCTTAAGTCCCAGCTTCTAATGAGCCCGCTGGCCTGCAGTGAAAGGGTGGGTGGGAAGAGCTGCAGGCGTGGGAATGGAGAAAACTGCTGAATTAGGAGCAAAAGCTGATCACAGGTTCTGGGCCTCCTCACTGAAGGGCCAACAGACAGCCCCAGGAGGAGCAGGAGAAAGCCCAGAGTGTGTTCCTGGCCAACCACTTTTTGGAACTGCTTGTGTTTAAATAGCCTGCTGGTCTGGACTTCCCTAGAGGAAAAGCCATCTCCCTCATGGTCTGTAGACAAGTTCAATGGGGATGGAGCATGTGTCATGCAGGCTATGGACCTCAGCCCCTCCCAGGCCACCTTGAAAGCTAGCATGGGTGGCAGCCACACACAGCCAATCTATGGCACAGGAGATAAAATCAGTGGACAAGACAGAATGCCCCCAACATCCAGGGGCTGAGGTAGGGGATGTGGTAGAATTTAAAGTTTAACATTATCACTGGGATACTGTCACTGCCATAATCAAACAGCAGCCTTGGTAGGAGGGCTTCCTGATGAGTTCCAGGAAGATACCTGTTTCTCTCCACCTGGGGATCTAGCCAAGCCTCTTGTGTAGCATGAGCACTTACTCTCAAAAGAGCCCAGCCTCAGTCCCAGATGGGTGGGCAGCCACTGAACAAGGTGACGGCAGAAGCCAGTTGCCCCATGGGCCGTGTTCCCCAGTGTCTTGTCACACTGTGAAATCCCATCATTAATTCTCCATTCCTTGAGTCAAGCATTGCCTTATAGAATGCACTATTAAACACAAAAATGCCCTGGGGATAAGGAGCTGTTACATTATTTCATTGCCCAGAAAAGACCTAGGGATGTGTCAAAACAGAAGACCCTTCCTGTTTACCACTAAGGTGAGCCACAGTGTGGAGCTTGTTGAAGACAAACTCTCCCACGAGCTTGCTGTGGTGTCTGCCCCTCGACCATCTGGCTCAGGCGCTGGGAATCCCTGGTAAAACTGAAACATGCTACTTAGGAGGAAGACACTAACAGCTGTTGAATCCCTTTTCTTTGTCAAGCACCTGATGGATGTTACTCCATTACCTCCTCTTAGGCACCCTCTGTGCCAGGTAAGGAGCTGGAGGTCAACGTCACAGCAGCACTTAGACTTGGATTTGAATTCGGTTCTGCCTCTCTCTCTGGAAGGACTCGGCAGCACTGGCAGATCAATGGGTGCTTCCAGCTGAAACGGAGCCAAGGGGATACCGAGGAGGCCAAAAGGCAGCCCAGGGCCAGAGCGCTGTCCATAGGTGTGGTTCTGAAGCCAGGTCCTCCATGCTGGGGGGTGAGTGTGCCTGAGGCAGAGAGAACTGAATAAATGCTGAGTGGATGTAAAAGGAAGGCGGAGGTCACAAACAACCCCCTTAATGCTGCCCTGGATTCATGCCTCCCACAGGAGAAGCAGATGTCCCCAAACTTCCTCTAACTCCTCAGTCCCCTTCTTCCCATTGCCCTCATTTCATTTCCATGTATCCTCATTGACCTCCAAGCCTTTGTTTCCACTTCTTGGATTATCCTGTTAGCATATATTTCTAATTGTCAAAGTCCTACTGCTTTTGGGAGACCAGAACTCAGCTAGGAAGGTAAAAACGTGGAATGGCCATCGCAGTGGGCAGGGGATTTCTCCAGAGCAGCTGAAGTCAGCAAATCCGGAAGGACTCAAGGGTTATCTCTATGGGGGCTGAAGCCATGGTAGCCAGTCTGACATTAAGGATCAGTTAGGAAGCGGGTGGGGTGTGGCACTAATTGAAGCAGGGAACACTGCTCAGAACAAAGTCTGAAGCTGAAGTGGTTGTGGCTCTGGTCACTTTTTCTCCCATGAGCAGGAGTGAAATGCTCCAGGCTCAAGCAAGGATGTGATTCCAGGAGACAGTCAACTCTAGATGCCCAAGAAAGGTCATGACTCAGTTATTCTTACACAACACTCTCTATCCACTCTCTGTCTGTGTAGACATGGTGCTACCAGTTCCTGCAAGCCTCTCCTGCCCCCCCGACTGGAGCTGGGGGTGCCCAACCTGTGCTATGGGAGCAAGTACACATTGCCCATGTGACCTGCCACCTTCCACCCTGAGCCATAGGAACCTAGGGATAGGACCATGGCTCACTCCCTCACCACCACATCTGCACTGCCTGGAACATTGATTATGCATAGTAATCACTTAACATTATTGAACAAATTCATTGACCAAATTAGAATATCGTTTTCTCATGCACATGTCAAGCAAAAGCTTCACTGTGAAACAGTCCAGGTTCAAGACCTGAAGGCTTTCTCTCTAAGGCCTAGTTTGCTTGTAAAACCTGTGTGCCTCCTTCTCCACTCCTGCACAACAGAGATCATGACCATAACATGAACCTCCTTCTCTCGGAGTTGTCCTGCAAAGAACAGGAACTGACAGACATGCAACAGCATTGCCCATAGCAAGTGTGTGTGTATAACTTTTTTTCCAGATCCTTCTCCAGGAGGAAGCCTCTTCGTCACACATCCTGGAGGATTGTGCCCCGCAGGGCTCAGGTGCTTAAAGGTGCCCAGGACAGAATTGAGATCATTCACACAGTGAGGGCGCCCAGGAAGGAGCTGGAGGGCCCAAGGTGAGCTGAATGGGGTTTGGGTCAAATTGGAAAAATTGACTGAAGTTGGATTAACTGCCAGGATCTGGTTAAAGTCAAAAAACTGGACTGAGGGCAATTGAAATGAATTGAAGGAATTGAATTTAGCTGGACTGAAGAAAGAAAATCGAATTGAACGAAAGGAATCCAATAGAATGAAATTAAAATAAATTGAATTGAGGAGTCAAAGTAAAAATTGGAAGGAGCTAGCTGTGGGCCTGGGATTGAGTTGAATGGAGGGAATTGGAAGAATTTGCGACGAATGAGATGAATTGAGTTGAACTGAAATTTTTGGAACACGCGACTGCAACCTCAGTTAATTTTAACTGGAGTCAGGGGCACCCACACCAAAGTTTTCTCCCAGCTGCCATGCATTGTCCTCTGGCTCTGGTTGTTCAAAAAACGTCTAAGGGGCGCCAGCTGCATGCAGATACCAGACGAGGACCTGAATCAGGCCTGGCCCCACACCATGAGTGTTCAGGCACCGTTGTCTGTCAGTGTGCTGAGTTCCTGAGGTCAGACCAAAGGAGGGAACCCAGCACAACAAGCAGGAAGAACCAGAGAGCCCGAGCCTCGAAAGAGGAGGCATCTACCCACCCACCTCTGCCCTCATTTGGCAAAATGCTTTGAGTGCATGGTGCAAATCTAGCTTAAGGGCCAGGCAAGGAACCACACGCCTGCAGCCATAGAGATGAGAGCTGGGAAATCCGTGGGGCCTTGGGCTCTGTATCCCCTCTGACTCTCGGTGTTCTCATCTGCGAAGTGGGGACAACAGGAGCTTCCTCAGAGGAGTGTTTCAAGAAGATGAAGGAAGTCAGAGTTTCTTTTCTTCATTAATAACAACCATAGCAACTGCCCCCTTTCCCCCACTGGCTGTGCATTTGTTAATTTCTGCATCTTTCCTTCAAGCTTCCCAAAGGCACTGGGATTTTTAGGAGAAACTTTTGGACTCCTTTGACTACAAAGTCAAAGGCCACAAATGCCTCCTCCAGGGAGGCCTCCTGTGCTCCCAGAGAGGACTCATGTCACCCCCCGCCCACCCACCTGTGGTCGACCCTCTGCTCTAATCACCTGCCACACCCACTGACTTTCCCAGCTCCCTGCAGCCCCTGGCAGACAGGCCAGAGGCGTTTCCATCTCTGAGCCACAGAGTATGCCGGGCTCCACACCCGGAGGGGACAGGGCCCATCTGTATCAACACAGGGCTTTCTTTCTGAGCCCTTTTATCCCCGAGTTTGTTTTCATTTGAAGCTTTTCAAGGACTTTTTTAGACAATTCGTCTAAGGACACCTCCACCTTAATAGCACAATTATAATGAAAATGCTCTAAATGTAGCACGTGCTATCCCAGGATGATGAGTTTAGCTGCTTCCCAGTGTTTTTGCATCTTTTCTCTGTTATTTTTCCCCCAACTTTTCAAGTTCAAGGATTTTGAGTCAATTAGTCTAAGAATACCTCTGCCTTGTTTTCTTATTTCTAATAAGCATTTGTCACACGTGGAGAGCTGCTCACTCACCGCCTCCCGCCATTCCTCCCAAGTTATCTCAGCCCCTGGAGCGGCCAATTTTTTTTTTCTAGCTCTTTCCACACCGCCCTTCCCAAGTGACAGAGTTCCTTCGGCCCGTCAGCACACACTGGGGTTCTTCCCGGTGAGGCAGGTTTGCACTCTTGGGCAGAATGCGCACGGAGGTGCCATGGGGCTGCAGAGGGACCCTCCGCTCCGGGCACCATTCATCCTCCTGGACAGCTCGGGGCCGGGGCCTCGCATGCAAACCCAGCTCTCCCCCTTATCCTGCTGTTGTGCCTAGCTGGAGTCCTTAACCACTTTGAGCCTCGGTTTTCATATCTTTAAAATGTGGATAATAAGTACCTCCCATGGGCATTGTGTGGATTAAATGAGATGATGTGCAGAAAATGTTTTGTTCATAGCAATCGCTTAAATGGTGGCTATTACTAAGAATTATTATAAAAATAACAATAGATCACAAGATATTAATGGACTCATATCATATTTTTAGACAAAACATACTCCTTAAAGAAAATTTGAAAAATCCAGAAAAATACCAAGAAAAAAATAGATCAATCACTCCCAGTCCTACCACCCGCCGAAATCATTCTCATCTTCACGGTGCTCTGCAATCAGCTTTTCCTCCACGTACAAAGCTTTCAGCATTTGAATAAACCCTTCCCTCTTAAAAACAATCTGAACTTTATATCATATGCATTTCCATGTCTTTACAGAAATTCTTATAAGGTCTTTATTTAATAAGGAAATTAAGCCTTTGTCATATTTGCTACAAATATATTTCCCAGGCCATATTATTTTTGCCACTTTATTTGATGGTTTAATTTTGACTTGCAGAAGATTTTCATTTTTATGCAGTCAAATCTGTCCATATTTTCTCTCCTGATTCCTTGTATTAGTTCTAAACTTAGGAAATCTTCCCTCTCCCCAGGCATGATGAATATTAAATTCTACTTAATTCTCACTTTTTCTGTGCCCTGATTTTTTTAAATATACTTAATGCTAATCCTGATGGAATTCAGTTTGATGACAGGGTTGAGATGGAGCTGAGCCAGTTTGCCTGCCCCCAGTCCCGGACTCCCATGCAGAGGAGGGGGTGTCCTTCCCGCTCCCACTGCCTACTGAATCCCTTCCTGGGGTCGTGCTGGGCCTCTGCCAATGCTGCACCCCCCTGCCCACTCCTCCCCGAGGATGGCTGGAGTGAGCTCACGTGCTGGAAATTCATTTGCAGAGGAACAAGTGGACTAAAATCCTTGAAATGCTCAAAAGTGGGCCCCAGAGAAAATGACCTCAAAAATGGGCCAGATTACTGCTAATGTGACACATTTGGCGAGTAACTCTGGCGTCAGGCCTCTCCATCTCCGGCGCCTGCCTGTGTGCCTTCCTGCTTGCTCTTGCCCTGCCGGCTCCAGCACACCACGTCCTTCTCTGCTGCCATCAGCCATGGCAGGTCCCCACACCCGTGTGCCTGACCAGCTTCCCCAGAAGCGCTTACTCAGGCCAAATGTTGTTCTAAGGACTTTAGAAAAGCCTCCCAATGAATGTGATGTATTGACTACCTCATGAGAGGTGCACTTTTGCCCACATTGCAGATGGCTAAACCGAGGCACCAAGGGATAAACCACCTTCCACAGTCACCCAGGGTGTGAGTGGTGAGGCTGCACAGGAGACCCAGCTGGTCGGACTCTGACCCCCAAGTTCTGCCTGTCATTCTGTGATGTGCACCTGCCAACCAGCCTCAAGGGACAGCCTGTCTTTGTTGGCCTGTCCCTCCCAGGAGAGGGAGGCAGGAGATGAAGGACTGGGGTTCATGAGGCCCAGGGGTGCTGTGATCACAGTCCATCATCCTCATGGGGGACAGGGAGTGGGGTGCACAGAATTTGGGACGCCTGACCTGTGCCCCCATAAGCCTCAGTTTACCCTGCTTTAAAATGCGAGTCTAGGACTGGGTGCTGATCTTCTCGTCCTTCCGGACAGCCCAGCCATGCCTCCCAGGCCCCACAGTTCCCGTTCAGAGTGTAGCGAGCTCTGTGTCTGAGCCCTGACCAGCACCCTCTTCACCTCTGTCCCTCCCAGCAGAGCCCACGGGGGAATAAAGCCCAAAGGAACAACAACTGCCCTTGATGGGGCGAGAAAGAGCCCACAGGCAGGAGGACTGGAAAGGTGCTCTGGTAAACCCACAGGGGCTCCCCACCCCAAGTACAAGGCAGCTGGACCCCAGGCTCAGGGTCTCCCCACCCTGAGTGCAAGGTGGCTGGAGCCCCAGACTCAGGGTCTTGCCACGCCAAATGTAAGAGAGCTGGATGACCAGATTCATGGGGCTCCCCACCCTGAGTGCAAGGCAGCTGGACCTCTAGACTCATAGCCCTGGCAGGGAGAGCAGGAGGGTGAGAGGATGGGGAACTGCTGCTGCCATCTGGTAGCATGGGGTCACCCCCACGCAGCACCCCCCACACACACACAGGACACAGAATCAAAGCCTCAGACTCTGGCCAACCAGGTCAATAACTCCTCCGCGGGCAAGTGGGAGGCTGGAGCAGGAGGCAGGAGGTGAGTGGCGCACATCACACCCATCTCTGCTCTAACCCCCAGGGCAGGCCCACAGCGGGGCAGCATCACCTCTGTTGTACAAGCAAGAAAATGGAGGCAGAGGAGGTGGCACCCAGGGGCACCCAGTGGGTAAAGGGAGCCGGGCTGGGAACTGGGCCCCATCCTGGTCAAGTCCGTCCCCTGTTCCACCTTAGTCTTCCTGAGGCCTCAGGTCACGGCCTGGACACAGGGTCCGGGACCAGGGTGGGCAGTGACAAGAGCAGCAGGGGGCCCTGAGCCCCAGCTCCTGGATTCGGGAATGAGGCCCTGGCATAAGAGACGGGGCTCTGGAAAGGCCCATGAGTCACCGAGCACTGATGGATGGATGGGCCTGGAGCTGAGCCACTCAGCAGCATTTGGATTCCAGTGTGTTTATGGGGTTCCGAGGCACTGGCCAGGAAGAGAGGGAGTATTTGGCCTGTTAATTTCCTAGTTAATCATGCAGGACATTTGGTAATTAGCACGCTTGCTGTTCCATCGCACTGGCCAGCCCTGGGCTGGGCCATAATTCACTCTCAATGGTGCAAACAGGTGCCAGGAGCCTCTGCCTCGGGGCTGGCCACCGGGGGTGGCTGCTGGGGGCCGCCGTCTCCTGCCTTCCACCTTGAAAGGCTCAAGTGCTTCATGCATGGAGTGCGGGGGTTGGGGGCAGCAGGGTGGGGGCTCAGTGTGTCCCCGAGAGTCTGTCCGTCCTGGAGGCAGTGAGGCGCCCTGGAAGGCCCACAGGCGTCAGCCCCTGCAGGCCTCGTCCCACTCTCCACAGGAGTCTGGCCAGGCCTCACTCCTTGCACACTCCTGGCCCATAACATGGGTCCTGTGTCTGCCCAGAGGACAGCCACAGGGATGAGGAAGAGCAGGGAGGTTTCTTCAGGCCATTACTGTCAGTGCGTCCAAGAAGGCAGGCATTTCTGAGAGCTCCACCGGGGCCACCTCGCACCAAGGCCACCTCGCTGCAGCAGATCATTGCTGTTTTGAGCCTCTTTCTACTGCAGCCCCCCTCAGTGAGGGAGGTCAGGCCTGGCCTGTGCCCCAAGCCTGAGTGCTGGCTGGGGAGAACCACTGCACCTCCACATGTGAAGCCCTCCCGGCCGTCTGGAGGAGTCACCGCGATGGGAAGGTGAGGATGCGGCTGAGAGCCCAGTGGCTATTGGGAAGGTGAGGACGTGGCTGAGATCCCGGCGGCTATTCACCCAGGGCTAACTGGCACTGTAAGGACACTGCTCCATCACACCACACCTGCTTAGCCGAGGCCAGGGAGCAGTGGGCAGTGGGGTACTAGTCTCCTCTGTGCCCAGCAAGGCCTGGGCATCCCAGGAGGGACCTCGCTAAGCCCCAGCGTATGTTACAAATGGCATCCTCTTGTTTTCTAGGGAAGAGAAATGCTCAGAGCAGCTCTAGGGTTTGCTCAGGGCACTGCCTGCAGGACCAGATCTCAGGACTTAAAAACAAGCCTCCTGTCCTAGTCCCTTTGGCTGCCGTGACAAAGCAGTAGACTCTGGGTGGCTTAAGCCACAGACGTGTATTGTGGTTGCAGGTGGCTGTCTTCCTGCTGTGTCCTCACACAGTTGAAGGGGCGAGGGAGCTCTCTGGGGCCCCTTTTATAAGGTCACTGATCCTACTGGTGAGGGTCCCACCCTCATGACATCCTCACCTCCCAAAGGCCCCACCTCCTGATCCCATCGTGTCAGGGGTTGGGATTTACACCTGTGAACTTGGCAGGGACATGAACATTCGGTCCATTGCACCACCAGACCCTGTGTGCTGTGTCTTTCCCTCTCTGCCTCCCCATGCCCAAATGTCCCTGTGAGGCAGGCAGGACAGACAGGTAAACTGAGGCATAGAGAGCCTGTCACATAGAAAAAGCGCTGGGTTGGAGCAGAAGAGCACACTTGTGGCCTCTGGACCCCAACATGCACCTGTGATGCGTCCGGTTCCAGGGACTCAGAGACCAATAAGGTAGCACCTGCCACAGGGACCTCACGGCCTGCAGGGAGGTGAGTATAAAGACAAGGCCACGCACCCTGAACTCTTGTGCAGAGGTGCTGCAGATGGTTGTGGATTCAGTGACATCCTATGGCCTCTGGTTACAGGTGCTTGGTGAGTGCACGGGGGTAGCTGGATGGATGTTTGCGGGAACCCTGGACAGCAGACTCCAGGGCAGCAGAGCCTTGTCCTAGGCATGTCCCTGCAGAGGGCCTGGCACAGGCACGTGCTCAGCAACCATTTCCTGAGTGGGTGAATGGACAATAATGGGTATTCCCTGGAGCCCTCTAGCTCCGACAGTCCCGGGGTTCGTGGGGCTGAGCCTCTCTGGGCGCAGCTCTTCCCCCACAGCCCCAGGGGAGCCCTGCTCTCTGTGCAGCACCGCCTAGAGCCGAGCTGGGCACTGGGACCAGAAGCTGTCCCAGTGGTCCCAAGACCCACTGCTCCAGCCCCTTCCTCACTTCTGCTCGCCCTTCCGCCGGGCTTTCGCATCGATGGCGGGTGTCTACCGCTCTTTGTAGGACCACCGTGGGGTCCTGGAGCCTTTTGCCCACACATGCCCCGCGGGCTGGAATGTGCATGCCCCTAGTGGGGGTGTGAGCCCAGGCCCTGAGGCTGAGGCCAGGACCACCCTGTACCCCACGGTCCCCTCCCCAACCCAGAGCACTTCCTGCTGCGTGCCCTCCCTGCCACTCCTGCCCCAGCCCGCACGCCTGGTCTTGTCTTTCCAGGTATTGCCTCAATGCATAGCTTGGACTTGAGCTGGAGTCTGACTGTGGGCACGGACCCAACCCCAGGGGTCTGATTTGATGTGTCTACAGGATCCTGCGACGCTGGGGGCCTGGAGAGAGAGTGTAGATGTGTCAGTGCCTCCACTCGCTGCTCAACCTAACCCACGGGAGCTCGGCTCAGTGCCTGGGGCGAGGACTCTGTGGGGGTAGGGGGACAGACAGAACCCAGGCTGGGGTACAGTGGGAGAATGGAACTCAGGCTGTGCCGAGCAGAGATCCTGGCTCCTCGCTCTGGGTTTCATGCCTGCCTCTGCCACCCAGATCCCCCCCAACACACACACACACCTGAGCCCCTGCTGCAGCTTCCTGGCCACCTGCCTGCACTGCCATCCCCCCAGTGAGCAGTCAGGGCCACCCTCTCCAACCTAAGTCAGGTCACGCCATCTGTGCTCCAGACGCACTCCTGATTCACTCAAGCAGAGTGAAACCCACGTCCTGCTGCACCCAGGGGACCTGGCCCATTGCCTCTGACCTCGGTCTATCCCTGTGGCTTCCTCAGCTCCAGCACGCTGGCCTGCGCTGCTCTGTGGTCCCCCAGCTGAGCTCCACCCAGGCCCTGGCACACGTGGCTCCTTCTGCCCGGTGGGCTCCCCAAGGGGCACCTAGCACCGCTCTGTCTCCTCTTCCAGCCTTTCTCAAATGCCACCTTCTCAGAAAGCCACCGTGCCAGCCTTAGTCCATTTGTGCCACATAAGAAAAATACCATAGGCTGAATAATTCACAACCCACAGAGATGGACTGTTCCGGAAGCTGGAAGGCTGACATCCAGGCGTTGGCAGGCTTGGCATCTCTCTGCTTCTAGGTGGCACCGCACGTGGTGGAAGGGACAAACAAGCTCCTCGGCCCCTCCCATCAGGAGTCCCATTCCTGAGGGCGGAGTGCTCCTGACCCAGTCACCTCCTACAGGCCCCACCTCTTAATTCCATCACCTCAGGGCTCCGGTTTCAACACAGGGGTCTCGGGGCCCTGGCTCGCCATGTCCAGCAGGCCCTGCCCTGATTCCCTGTCACTGTTCTCCTTGCCGTTCACATCCGTCTCTCTTTAGCAGGCTGCAGAGACTGAGGGCAGAGGTTTCTCTGCATTCCCAGCACCTAGAGCGGGGCCCAGCACACAGCAGGGCTCAGTGCAGGCTGATGAATGAATGAATGAATGAATGATCACCACCCAGGGTTATTGAAATGGGCCACCCATTTCATCCCTCAATAGGTTCCAGCAAAACTACTGGTGTGAGAACCCCCACTCCCATCCTGCCTCCCCAGCTTCTCTCCTGCCTCCCCTAGCAGCTTTCCCTCAGGCCTCTTCGCTGGAGAGCTCAGAGGCCAGGAGGCCCTGCCTGGAGAGCCCACTGCACGGGGAGTCAGCCCCCGATCTCTCTGGGGACCCCTCCTGAGGCAGAGCAGCTGCCTGAGTTCACACCATCAGGGCCGAGGGGGTCTCCGGAGGCAGCCCACTTCAGCCACAGTAAAAACAACAACGACAGTGAGAGTGGGACACCACCAGAGAGCTCATCCGAAGCCAGCCACAACCGGCTCCCTCCAACCCTCTTTTTGCTCCAACCCAGGCACTGGGGCCTAGAGGAGCAGGGCCCAGGTCAGGGGCTGACTCACTGGGAGCCCTCAGCATCCCCATCTGTAAAACAGGAGGTGGGGGTGGTGCACAGGACGAGAGTGGTCTCCAGGAGTCCACGTTCTGTACTTTGATGAGCTGCGGCCCCCAACCAGTGAGTCTGAGCAGCGAGAGCCTAGCCCTGGGTGGCCCCTTCCAGGGAGTTAACAAAGGGGATTTGGAGGACAAAGGGCTGGGAGGAGCCCCAGCAGCAGGCTTCCAAAATTTATGTGGGGCATTGGGAGAGGAGATGCAACAAAAGCAAAGATCTCACCGTTTTCTGAGTTCCAACTGCAACTTCAGCAAATTTTCCCTTTGAATAATAAAGCTGCCTCCCCAGGCTGCGATAACCAAAGTCACTCACTCTACTGAGCCCAGAATCAAAACCAAGAGCCCCAGCCCTGAGAGGGAACTCGCGAGCTTCTTGCCTGTGTTCTTGGGCCCTTCGTGCAGCTGGCAGCCCTGCTCGTCCCGCCGGCACCAGGGTCTCTGAGGAGCACCTGTCACCCATCACCACTCCCAGTCCCTCAGCGCAGCAGCGAGGGAAGTGAGGAAAATCACCAGGGGCAGAGACGATGGCTGTAACAGAAGTGAACCAGGCGCCAAGGTCAGGAAGGGCTCGAGGTGGGCCTGTGGAGGGCGAGCAGGAGCCGAAGCTGAGCCCTGAGGAAGGGGAGGCAGCAGCGTGGGAAGGCCTGGGGGAGACCAGCTCGTGCCAAGGCCCTGGGGCAGGGAGGAGCTGGTGGAGGCCTCTGTCAGGTCTGACTGAGCAGCACAGAGTCCTAACTTGAATGCCAGCACCAGGACTCCATCAGCCCAGCCAGGGCCAGCGCTCCCCTGCTGGGGTGCATGGCCTCCGGACTCCAGCCTCCTCCACTCAGCTTCTCCATGGTGCCCCACAGGACAGCAGGAGCTTTCTCTCTAGAGCGCACATCTAGTTTGTTGATAAAGCATCATAGAATGTGTTCAGAGTGAATGAATGGCTCCTCTGTGGCCAGCAACATGAGACTGACTCGGGGTACAGCTGGGATGGAAGAGTGAGAGACGGGTGAACACCAAGGAGCTGCAGAGGGTCCCCGGAGGGGTGATGCTCAGTGATTTAGACTTTTTTCCTTGTTCTTCCCTTTATTTCCAAAGTTTTCAACAGAGATGATCTATGATCAAAACCCACGGTGACAAGTGAGAAGGGAAAAGGTGCTGGCCCTTTACTCTGAAGTGAGTGGCGTCCATAAGACAAAAGGCAAAGGCAGCTGTGCACAGCACGGGACTCCAGCTGGCGAGGTCATTCCCCTCCGGGGGCGGAATGAAGCTTCTGCACGGTTTACCAGAACTGAACAAGCAAGTGGTTGACGAGTGGGAGGAGCAGGTTTCTCGCAGATGGAGAGAGAGGCCACAGGTAAGAAGAGAGGAAGGATCCAGGTGGTCATGGATGAGAGTTGGAGAAGCCGGCGTAAATCAACCCCATCTCTACAAAAAATACTAAAATGAGCCAGGTGTGAGCCGAGATCATGCCAGTGCTCTCCAGCCTGGGCCCCAGAGCTAGACTCTGTCTCCAAAAAAAAAAAGAATGAATGAATGGATGGATGCCTTGGGCTCTGGAGCCTGGCTGCCTGTCTTCAGATCCTCCCTCCCATGCTTACATGCTGCATGGCCACAGACAGGTTTCAAAATCTCCTGGCCTCTGTTTCCCCATGTGTGGCCTAAGCTAGGGACAGTTCCCTGCCCCCCACCCCCAAGAGCAGCCGTGCATTGGACACTGGCGGCTGGAGCGCTGCCATCGCAGCCGGGCGGAGGGCACTGCAGTGAAGACCCTCACAGAGGCATGTGTCTCCAGAGTTAGGTTTGCTGGCCAGGAGGCGAGGTGACACGTCTCTCCTGAAAAATGAAAGTTCTTGAAGAGGAAATGTGGTTCAGTGGAAAGAACATGCTCGTTGTCAGCTGGCAAACTGGAGCTCCGCTCCTGGCTCTGTCACCGAAGGGTTGTGTGACCTCAGGCAAGCCCTTCCACCACTGAGGGCCTCAGTTTCCTTATCTGTCACATGGGGTTGCAGGTGACCACCCCAAGGGCTGTGGTTGGGACCAGGGCAAAGCCTCCCTCTCTGCTATGGGGCACAGTGAGGTCTGGGCCCTCCTCTACCCATGCTTCCCTCTGGCATCTCAGGGCTGGGACTGGGAGTGCCAGGTCCCCATGCTCTCTTGCCTCAGATGTACCTGCCCAGCTCTGACCATCCCCAGCCTCATCCTGAGTCCTGCCTCCTCCTTGGTGAAGTCCTCCCTGACTCCCCTCAAGATCAAATCTCACGCAGGCCAAGGATTTCCTGGTGGTGCCTCGAACACCGGGGGTGTCAGCTGGGTCTGAGTCCCCGGCAGGGGGTGTGCTCCAGGAGGACATGGGCCTGCCCAGGAAGGGCTGTGAGACACATGTCTGCTCAATCACTAAATAAGTAAACCGTGAACAGACTCATATGAGCTGAGGCAAATGGCTTCCCCAACCTGGGCCTCAGTTTCTCCACCTGTAACTCAAAGGAAGGGTCTTCTGTTTCTAATACCTCCCCTCCTGGGGTTCTCAGATTCCTGGGAGCCCAGACTCATCCTCATCTTCCCAAGCAGTAGCTTGGGCCCCGCTGTCCTGCTGAGATGGATGGGAGGAAGTGGGTATAGACTGAGGCTGGTGGAGACCCAGGCCCAGCAGGGAGGCCACATCCAGCCCCAGCAGGGAGGCCACATCCAGCCCCCCTTGAGCAAGGCTGGGCTGCAGGCTCAGCCCAGAACTGTAGTCTTAGGACAGCCTGACCAGGACCAGCAGCTCTCCCCACCAGCCCCAGGCAAGACGGGCATCTTCCTGTCACACAGCACCTGAGACTGGACAGTCCCATCAGCCTGTCACTCAACTGAGGGGGCCAGAGAGAGGCGGGGAGCTCCCACTCCAGTCATGCAACAGCTCCTCTCAAATGAAGACAGGGCAGGAGGATCTCCCGGAGGCTCTGCCACACACGGGGAGCTTATAGCAAGTTGAGCAGTATCTCCCGAGACTTCATGTCCACTCAGAACAGCGGAATAGGACCTTATTTGGAAATAAGTTCTTTGCAGATGTAATTGGTTAAGGATCTTGAAGTCATCCTGGATTTAGGGGAGCCCTAAATCCAATGACCGGTGTCCTTATAAATGAAAGGAGAGGAGGATTTGGGCACAGAGACACAGAAAACAAGGCCATGTGAAGGCAGAAGTGGAGATTGGTGTGACGCGGCTACAAGCCACAGGATGCCACGCACTGCCAGAGCCACCAGCACCTAGAAGGCAACGAAGAAAGATCCCCCTCCCGCCTTCAGAGGGGGCTCGGCCCTGCCAGCACTCGGATTTTGGACTTCTGGCCCTAGAACTGGGAGACAACAAGCTCCTGCTGCTTTGGGCCACCCAGTTTGTGGTAACTGTGGCCCATGTTCTACCAATATGTCCTGTTCCAGGCTCTGAGACATCTGGGGAAGGGGAGGACTGACTTTCCTCATTCACAACCAAAGCATCTGCAGCCCAGAGAGATCAGGGCACGTGGCCAAGAGCGTTCAGCACACTTCCTCTATGGCACTGACCCTCCTCTGAGCTCACGGCATCAGGAGGCCAGGGTGCTAGACACACGCCAGCAGAGACACCTATGAGCTGTGTGGCATCAGGCCAGTCCCTGAGCCTCTCTGGGCTGTTTCCTCATTTGTAAAACAGACACCATAGCATTATCTTCTTTGCAGAGGATTAAATGGTCAATACACATTAAGCCCATGGCACAGTGCCATGAATTTCAAGTGCTCTCTGTTCAGGGGGCACAGCTGGTCGCTGGACCCTGGCTCAGGGTTGAGCATGCACCACACCAGCGGCACAGCCCTGTGATCCTGCTCACAGCCCCTTCCGCCCGTCACACCCCCTGGTCCTCAGGTCAGCCTCAGGAGATAGGCCTGGCAGGGCTGTGTCCCATGTTCCGGCTGGAGAAACTGCAGCCCAGGGTGTAGGCGACTCACCTCCAGGACACCGAGCTCCCTCCCACGGTCCCACGCTGCCCCCAGCCATGCCTCCACCTCCCTCCCTTCCCCAGCCCCAGGCTCAGACAGCCTCCCTCCTATTCCTGCCCATCCCCCACACCCAGCACGACCTCCCCAGCCACACTGTCTCGGCCCAGGCCAGAGGCCCCTATCCCTCAATGGCGACACATCCTTCATGGACCGACTCTCTCATGTTCCTGGGAAAGGAACATGAAAGAAGACCCTTCTTCCCACTGGGCGAGGTCCCTGCTGTGTGACCCTGGGCAGGCCACCTAGCCTCTCTAAATTGCATTTTTCTTTTCTGTAAAATGTGGGTGGTAACTGTAACTTCGCAGAGCCGGGGCCCAGGGCCCTCGAGACTGCCCGCGTGCACACCACCGGCTCAGCGCCCAGCCTCATAGGTGCTCAAGAAACGTCATAAATGGATTCTTTGTTCCTTTAAGGCGAGTCAAGGGTGCAGTCTGGAGACAGGATCTCTGCCTTCAGCAATGAGCACAGAAGAGCCACTTAAAAATAGAAAAGTAACAGTTTTATGGTTATTAAAGTAATAAGCATTGACTGCAAAAAACATAAAAAATGAAGACGACACCTGAAGGAATGATGAAATGAAGGAAAATCACTGGCACCGCCCTCCTCTGGAGCTATTACAATGTTGGTAAATAGGTTTTTAAGCATCATATTCTGTATTATTCTTATGCACAGCTAGAGAGCTGGAGCGATGGAGAAAGAGAGAGAGAATTTACAAAGTGGCCCCATTTGGGACGTGCTGCCCGTGGTCTGCCTCACACACGATAATATACACCATGGACATTTTTCCACAGTAATAAACCCGAATCCACACTGTCAGAATGGCTGCCTGGTGTACCTTCTGTGGCTGCTCCATCCTCTCTTCACTACCCTTCTGTCCATGGACAATTTGTTCATTTCCAGCTTTGCACCAGACTGTGGCTAATAATTTACAGAGCCCATCACAGCTGCATCCACAGCCGAAGGCTCCCGTCCAGCTATTTCTTTATGAGGCTTTACCAGAAGAAAATGGCTGGGTCAAAGGGAGCGAGTGTTGTAAACCCTTCCATGGCACGGGCCAAGCTGCCTTCCAGGAATCTGGGGTTGGGGTCAGTGCTGCCCCCGTGCTGGTCCCCACACCACGAGCCCCTGCACCACCACCAGTCACAGCAGACACCATGTCGTTGCTTGAATCTCATGTGAGAGGCAAGGTCCATGGGTGGTCTCCCGGCTGTTTTCAGTTCTTTCTTGGTGATTGACTTGTTCGTGGACTTGGTCCTTTTTCTCTTGGAGTTTGTTCATTTACTGGTATTTGGAGAGCTCGCATTGTGACAGGTACAGGGATGCCTCGGAAGAAAGCCATCCTGAGCTGGAACTGTCCTGGAGGTCACCCTCTCAGAAAGAAGGTGGACAGTAAGCATATACACATGCACTCTAATGCACATGTATGCACACACACACACACGCACACACAAATAAGTAAACTAAGTAATGGAGAGAGAGCAAAGCGCTGTGGGGGGTAATAAGCAGAGGACTGAAACACAACCATGTAACCTGCTTTCTGCTGCAGATTTCAGGCTCCAAGAAGGCAGCCCCCAGGTCCCCCACAGCCCCCACACCCTCCTCCTTTGGTATCTCAGCCTCTGCTCAGGTCCTGTCACCATTCAGTAATGAGAGCTGCCTGAAGGACACAGAGCTGGGAAGTGGTGGGACTGGGGTTGGGACCTGAAGTGGGTTGGTTTGACTTCACAGCACGTGAGTCTACAAGATCCGCATCAGCACCCCAGAACCTCCGATCTGCTGCTGCCTCTGCCACGTACCCACACATGGGACTGCACTCCCCAAACCTTGACAAGCTCAGCTTCTCCCCCACCCAAGATCAGGGCACCAAACAGTGACACTTAACCCTTTATCCAGGGCCCTGGAACTGGGGCCCCAGAAGCAGGCACAGGTTTGCTGACTCCCTGCATGAGGCTGCTCTAAGAGCCTCTTGGAGCTGACAGGGCCTCCCAGGAGCAGGATGCCTGGAAGCAGCCGAAGGCAGGCTGCTCTGCTCTGGACGCTGGGGCCAGAGACAGGCACAGCCAGTAAGGCCTGTTGCAGCTCTCCCCGCACAAGGGTTACCTGGAGCTTCTTAAGCCTTTCTTCTGCCAAGCTCCCACCCTCCCTCGAGCTGGCCTGAGCACCACTTCTTCCCAGGACCTCCCAGGGCTCGGCCTAATGGGCTCTGGGCAGGCACCGCTGCCGAGAACCTCAGCGGCACAACAGAAGCGGGAGCCTCCAACTGCCGGGCTCCCGAGCCAGCCTGGCCCTCATCTCCAAAACCTCAGGGGGAAACTGTCCCATCTAAAAATGGGGACAACCCCTTCATTGTGGAGTTGAGGGCACAATCCAATGAGCCGACAGCATAAAGCACCCGGCATGGAAAGCGGCTTGGATTCTGGAAGGGGAACCTCTGCTCATTCCTCACCCACAGCCTCCTCACCAGACCTCACAGAGGAAACCCACCAGCCAGATTGTCCAAGTTAGGAAACCGTAGCAAAGAGAGGCAAAGAAATTACCAGGAGCAACGCTGCTGAGGACAGAGCCGGGATTTGATCACAGGCCGGAGCCGGAGGGGGCTGTCTGGCAGGAGGCTGCTGGGGGAGCCCCAGAGGACTTGCAGCAGGGATGAGCCCAGGCGCGGGGTGCCTCTGAGGCGTCCTCACTCCGTACGGAGAGAAGGCATCTGGGGTGAAGTGGAGAGTTCTGGGGACCATCCAGTCCTTCATTTCCGCATCTGTAAAACACAGGTCCTCGCCTTCCCCACATCTCTGTGTTGTTGAGTGACTCAGTGGGGTTAATGTTGCTTGGGGACACATGGGGAAAATGTCAGCTGCTGCTATTTTCTCACCTTGCCACTGCGAGCTACTTAGCAGTGAAGGGCTCCTTGGCATGCCTGCTGTTGACAAGCGGGGAGAGAGAGGGCAGAGACGCAAGCCCTGCGACAGGATGATCCCGGGCAATGCCACCTGCAAGGCAGCTCTCCTCCAGGGTCTCACAGTGAAACATGCAGAGGCCCCCCTGCCAGGCCTCTCTGAACGGGGCATTCTGGCTTCCCAGGGAGCTGCTGGGTGACAAGGAAAGATGGCAGCAGCCCTCAGCGGCCTTTGCTAGAATCTGATTTTAGAAACATGGATGAGTGGGTTCCCATCTGCCCTTTTTAAGAAGCCCTGAGGGACAACCACGTGCCAGCCTCATGCACCAGTGAAAACACAGCCGGCCAGAGACAGGAGGGTGACGTGTGGGTAGCAGGCATCTACCTTACACCAGGCACTGCATCACCTCGATAGCCCTGTGACACCGTCCCTAGGATTTTCACTTTGAAAATGGAGAAACTGAAGTTTAAACATGTGCAGACACTCACCCGATTGTCATAAATCGTTGAGCCAGGACCTGAGTCCAGGGCTGCCTGTGCTGTGGGGCCCAGGTGTCCCCTCTCCTTAGGGTCCAGATGGGGCTAGTGATCATGGTGCCCCACCCCTGCTAGGACATGGGCCCCGTACAGGCCAATCAGACATCTTCCCCGAGGCCTCACACAAGGACACTGAGACGAAGGAGCCTCACTTTCTTTCCAGTGTGGACGTGGAGCCTAAGACACATTCTTCAAATGGGCTGGCTCGAGTTCCTTGGATCAGCTCCATCTTCCATTATCTATGAGAAAGGTTTGAGGACAATCTTACACTGTCCATGAGGGGATCTTGGTGCTCATTACGTGCTGAACATTGTGCAACATTCAATGGGGAAAAGGGAAGAAAACAAAAGGAGCTGAGGGAAGGGAGAAGAGCTCCATCCACATTTGGCTGCACGATGTCCAAAGAAAGAACATTCACGTGGATGGGTCAGTGATGGGGGCAGGGGTGCAGGTCAGGCAGGGGACCCAAGGCTGATCTCCAGCCAACCTGTCCTGAACTACAGGCTCCCCCAACCTCTGCAGGAGCATGCTTATGTAGAGTGCAGAGAAGGGTCTGTGATTACCAGCTCCTGCTGGGCCAAGTCTATGGTGTCAGACAGACTAGAGTTTGAATCCTGGCTCCACTACAAGCTACCTGCGTGAGGTCAGGCAAGTTACTTAGCCTTTCTGAGTTTGAGTTTTTTCATATGAAAAAAATAAAATAATATTTTCTCTCTTATAGGGTTATAGTGAAAAGAAAATGAAATAATGTAAATACAATGATTAGCATAGCATCTAGTGCATAATAAGTGCTCAACAAATGTTTGTTGTTATCATTGTTATGTGTTGATGTTGTGAGGATGGTGATGGTGATGGTGATGGTGATGATGATGATGGTGGTAATGGTGATGATGGTGGTGGTGATGGTGGTGATGATGATGGTGATAATGGTGATGGTGATGGAAATGCTGATGATGGTGACCGTGGTGATGGTGATGATGGTGATGGCGATGATGGTGATGTTGATGGTGATAATGGTGATGGTGGTGATGATTGTGATGGTGATGATGGTGGCGATGATGATGATGGTGATGATGATGGTGATGATGATGCTGATGATAGTGATGGTGATTATGGTGATGGTGATGGTGATGTTGCCTTAAGGAAAAGCACACTTCTTCTCCCAGATCCCCTGAGATGTGGGATCCAGTTCAAGTTTAGGAAGAGGAGGAAAGTGGGTGTCTCTCACCTGTCTACTTTTGGTAATATCTTTCAAGATCATGTTGTTCCCTTTCCTGTGACACTACAGTTCCTACATCTGAGAGGAAGAATTGTCTGGGAGGCTTCTGAAGATTAGTGATTTGTGTTGGGCTGGGCTGAAATTAGTTCAGTCAAGTTCCTTCTCATTGCAACAAGTTGGTGCACCAGGAAAATGGTAGCCAGTAGCTGCAATCCCCGATTAGAAGCCCAGCATAGTGAAAGGTCTAGCCAGGGGGCACTGCTGGAGCCACCAGGCTTCATAACCCACACCTTCTGCGTAATCCACTTCCTTGAGGAGACAGAGAGCCTGCCACTGCTACCCACCCCTCAGAGTCAGACACAAAAGAAGGGCCCACCTCAGACCTGTGGATGAGCAAACAGATGAGTGGGTGGGGAAGGGGCGATGAGGCAGAAAGGCTTTCTTCTCTAGGAGAAGAACTCCAGGTTATCTCAGGACTCACCAGCCAGGTCTTTGGGGCCTCTCTCTGAGACGAGCACCTTATTTTCTCTGGAGGTGGAAGGAAGGTCTCTGGCTCACTTACAGCCCCCAGGCTGTATGTGTGGCCCTGAATTCTCCTGCCCCCATCTCTGCTGATGTGGGGCTGTCTCTCTGTCTCACTAAGTCATATCTTTATGAATCTATGCCTTGATTTCACTCTCTCTCTCTCTCTGGAAATCTCCCTCTCAATATGTGAGGTAGTGGCTCTAATTTCTATATTCCTTATTGTTGTCTCTTCCATTTTCTTCTCTCTCTTCTGGCATCTTCTTCCTGAGTGTCCTTTGCCACATCTTCCTTTCCCTCTCCTATTAGGGTAGTCTCAGAGAAGGCCAAGTGGAAAGCCAAGATTTTCATCCCTGCCAGGTGGTAACAAAGCCCATGCAGGGTGTCAGTGGAGAAGGTTTCAATAAGATCCAGAGTCTCATAATCTCTGAAATGTCCAAGTTTCAATCAAAAAGTACTCATCATACCAAGAACCAGGACGATCTCAAATTAAATGATAAATAACAGGCAGTAGATGCCAATACTGAGTTGACAAAGATGTTAGAATCGTCTGACAGAGTTTAAAGCGGACATCATACAATGCTTCAGTGAACAATTACACACAAGTAACAAATGAAAAAATAAAAAGTATCAGCAGAGAAATAGAAAGTTTCAGCAAAGAAGAAGGAGATATAAAGAAGAATCAAATTAAAATTTTAGAACTGAAAAATTCAATAACTGAAATTTTAACATTCCATGGATGGGCTCAACGGCAGGTCAGGAGGATAGAGAGAAGAGTCCAAAACTTAAGGACAGAACAATAGTGCAACAGAAGGACAGTATACTGAAAAAAATTAATAGAGCCTTGGGTACCTGTGGACAATAACAAAAGATTTCTGTCATCAGAGTTCTGGAAGGAGAGGAGAAAGAGAGAGGTGCTGAAAAATTGTACTTGAAGAAATAATGACTAAAACGTCTCAAGATGTAAACATACAGATTCAAGGTGTATAAGCCCCAAACAGGATGATCGGAAAAAAAAAAAGAAATTCATATAAAGACACACCATAGTCAAACTTCTGAAAACTAAAGGGAGAGAGAAACAAATATTGAAAGCAGCCAGAGAAGAGTGACATCTTATCTACAGGGGAAAAACAAGTAGAATGACAGTGAATTTTTCATCAGAAATCATGGTTGTTGGATGGAAGTGACACATTTTTCAAATACTGAAAGAAGAAAAAAACCATCAACTCAGAATCATATATCCAGCAAAACATCCTTCAAGAATGAAAAGGAAATCAAAACACTCTCAGGTGAAGAATGTCACCAGCAGACATATGCTTAAAAAATGGCTAAAGGAGATTCTCTAAGCAGAAAGGAAACAGTAAAAGAAGAAATTGTGAGACAAGGAAAGAAGAAGGAACAACAGAAAGACTGAAAATATGGCTAAATACAATAAATTTGCCTTCTCTTACATTTTCTAAATCATATTTGAAAGTTGAAGCAAATATTATAACACTGTGTCTGAGGTTCGAAATTTATGTACAGAAAATATTTTAAACTATCATAGTACAAATAGGGGAAGGTAAAGCAGCATATAAGGAGGTACGTTTTCCTCACTTTACTTGAGCTGATAATACAATGACACCGGTATACTGTGATCGTATGTGTGTATAATGTAATACCTAGAGTAACCACTCAAATACAGAGATACACTCAAAAACATTACAAATAGATGAAACATGACATTTTTAATAATACTATTCAAGTAACCAACAGCAAGACAGAGGAAAGAGAGAAACCAAAAAAAAGAATAAACATAAAACAAAAATAAAATGGTAGTCCTAACATATCAATAATTACATTAAATGTAAATTAGCTAAATACATCAGTTAAAAGACAGGATAACAGAGTGGATTAAACAACATGCCCCAGTCATAAACTGCCCACAAGAAATTTGCTTTCAATATGGTAATATAGACAGTTTGAAAAGCATGGGAAATGATATACTATGCAAACAGTTATAAGAAAGCAGGATTGTTTATGTTAATGTCAGATGAAATAGGCCAAGGGAAAGAATGAGAGGAAGAGACAAAGAGAGGGACAATATATAATGATAAAAGTGTCGATCCGCTGAGAAGACCTAGCAATCGTAAATGCACATGCGCCAAACAACAGAGGTGCAAAATATATGAAGCAAAACCTGATAAAACCGAAAGGAAAAATAGGCAAATCTACAATTACAGTTGCAGACTTCTGTACTCCTGTGATAGTAATAGAGCAACTAGACAAAAAATCAGCAAGGATATAGAAAAACTGAACAATGCCATCAACCAACAGGATCTAATCAACAATGGGTAGAACACTCCGCCCAAAAACAATGGAATACACATTCTCTTTGAGTGCCCACAGAACATATACCAACACAGAACCTGCCTCAGGCCATAAAACAAACCTCAACAAATTAAAAATAATTGAAATCATAGAGTGTGTTCTCCAACAAAATGGAATCCAACTAGAAATAAATGGCAGAAAGACAACACGAAAATCTCCAGACACTTGGAAATAACTTAATCCATGAGTCAAAGAGCAAGCCTGAAGGGAAGTTTTTAAAACTACATTGAACCAAATAAAAATGAAAATACAACACATCAAAATTTGTGGGACACAGTTGAAGCAGTGCTTAGGGGAAATTTTACAGTACTAAATACTTACCTTAGAAAACAAGAAACATCCCAAATCAATAGTCTAAGCTCCTGCTTCAAAAACTAGAAAAAGAAGAGTAAATAAACCCAAAGCAAACAGGAGGAAGGAAAGAATAAAGGTAAGATGTGAAGTCAATAAAGTTGAAAACAGAAAAACAACAGAGAAAATCAATGAAACAAAAAGCTAGTTATTTGAAATGATCAATAAAATTGACAGATCCCTAACATGGTGGACGAGAGTTTCCTCCTCTTCACTCCCCTCCCACTGTTTCAGAGGGAAGCCCATCTCCAGGTGGCACCTCCAGTCTTCAGAGCAACCCGGAGTCCACTGCCTCGTTGAATCATGTAGGAAAACTCTAGGTTGTGGACAAGATGCCGATGGCCACTTCAGCGCTGAGGAAATAAGGGCTAGAGGGAGCTGTGTGCTTTGCTTAAGATCACCCAGCGGTAAGGAGCAGGGTGATGATCAGAACACAGCCTGGCCAACCCTTGGCCCCACTCTCACTCTCAGTAGACGTGGCGTGGCTGGGGCGAGGTATCAGGGCCTTGTGTTTTTCTCAGATTGGAGTCCCTTCCTCTGCTCAGGCTGGAATGGGACTCGAAACTGGGCAGAGACCCCCAGAATTGACCAGGGAAGGCCTGAAGATGATTCTCAGCTGTATCATCCCCCTGTGTGCATTCAGCTGGCACTGACTAAGGTCCAGGTACACTTTGAGGGTCTGTGACCCATCCCCAGAGCCAGCAGATGCCATCAGTGTGGCCTGGCAGGGAAACTGGGGGTTCATTGCATGACCCCTGGAGTTGTACTGTTTGGGTTCAAAATGCAGACCTTCCTCTTGCTGGCTGTGGGACCTTGAGCAACCTACTTAGCCTCCCTGCACTTTAATTTCCTCATCTGTAAAATGAGAATCGTAGTTCCTGCCTCAGAGGTTATTGTGAGAATAAACTGGCGAAGGGACAAGTGCCTGCATTTCGGTAAGTTCTGTGAATGCGTTCACCACCATTATCCAGAAGTGCCTGGCCCTGTGCCTTCCAAGACTGAGCACTGTGCAGAAACTGAGGCAGAAAGCCACCATGTATGAAAGGAGGCCCTTCCGACCCCCCAGGTCCAGTCTGCAGGAAACGCCTGGCCTGGCCAGGTGAGCTTGCCCTGCATGTGCCTACCTTCCCTCCTGTTCCTGGTTTTGCATTTTCCTTTGATGAACAGTTTTAATAGAGGCCTGTTGCCTGCTTCGCAGCAAACACCCAAAGGAGGGGAGGGATGTGCACACAAAGTCCCGTGAAGGAGCTGGTTTCGGCTCTCCCCTCTCCTTCCCCTGGGGTCTGGATGCTCCCTCCGAGGGTCTAGACTCTGCAGTCCGGGCCTGCTGCATAGGGGAACCCACAGACTCACTTGGGGCTGGCTCCAGCACCCACTTAAGGTGCAGGCCTCCTCCCACCTGATCAACCCTACCAGGACCATCGGCTGGAGTTGGGGAAGGGATTAGCCAGAGAGGAAACCACGCTGAAGACACCACTTTCTCCCCTGATGCCCAGGAAACCTCCCAGACCACAATTCTCCCAGAGCTGCCTGGGCTGCGGGGACCTGAGAACTGCACAGCTCTTCGGGGGCAGACTCAACACAGTGACCAGAGTGACCCCCAGGGGCATGCATGCCCTAGTTTCCAGCCTCAGATCGATGCCTGATCCCACTCCTACCCCTCAGAGAGTCACACTGAGCCCTGATCCTGACCCATGCTGAGCCCTGATTCTGATCACATGTTGAGCCCTGATCCTGGTCACACTGAGCCCTGATCCTGACCCATGCTGAACCCTGATCCTGACCCATGCTAAGCCCTGATTCTGGTTACATGCTGAGCCCTTATCCTGGTTACAGGCTAAGTCCTGACCTTGAACATGGGCTGAACCTTGACTCTAATCCTAGACTAGGCCCTGACCCCAGCTATAAACATAAATCCTAACTGCCAGCCACTTGAAGAACAGGTACTCAGGGCAGAGGGAGGGGATATGGATGGCCAGGTGCAGCCCTTGTCCTGTTGGCCACAGGCTGAGATGCTGGATCCACGTGCTGGAGCCTCAGAGCCACTCACTGAAGGCAGGTTGTCCCCTTGCCCCTGTGCTCGTGGCTCACCCCGTCAGTCGTGGCTGCTCTCCCGGGACCCTGAGGAGGGGGCTGAGCTCTCCATCCCTGCTCCTCATGGGGGCACCTGTGTGAAAAGTTCAGGAAAAGCTCTTAAAGGAAAATGGTTTTCCGCTGTTGGGCCTGAAATAGCATTCCCTTTCCCCGAGTTAATAACCGGTTGCTGGAGATACAGTGCTATTTTAGAAATAAGTGTCTATTAGCACCGGTCACCTTCCAGCGTGACTCAAGGTCATCCCTTCACCTCTGCCCCTTGGAAGTCGGTGTCTGGATGCTGAGGGCTGAGGTGGAGAAGCCCCTTAGGGTCTTAGGCTGTCCGCGGTCACTGAGGCCCACCTCGGGGTTAGAGGGAGGCAGAGTGGGACCCGCAGCCACATCTGGCCCCTTCTTTGGGTTCCTCGGCTGCCGTGCACTGCCGCAGCTCACACGATGCCGACAGCAAAGACGAGGATCCTGCAAACACCAGCCAGATGCTGAAGCACAAACAAAGCTAGCGTGGACTCATTCAGTCCTGCCAGAAAGAGGCCATGGGTGGAGGAACGTGACCACCCATACTATCTGCCAGGCCTGGGCAAGGCCACGCAGTTGGCGGTGGCCCTGAGTCCCGGTGCTACGATGAGTCCCCTGTGCAATATGCTTGGGTTGGGGCCAGAGCCTTGGGCTCTAACCCTGGCGCTGCAATGAGCCCTCAGGAAGCCTGGTCCCCAGGGTCAGTTATGCAACTTGCAAGGACCAGTGCAAAATAAAAATACGGGGTCCTGGTTCAAAACCAAGGCAACGGCAGAGGATTAAACTGAGCATGCAGTCCCTCTGCATGTAGCCCCTGGGACTGCCCAGGCCACCCCCGAGAAGCCAGCCCCTCTGCTGCATGTCCTCTGTTTCCTCAGCTGCAAAACAGGTGGTGTTGGTGACCGCCCTGCCCTGTCTCAGGGCTGCTCTGAGGGTGAGACGACTGAGAAACAAGGGAACAGAGAGATGAACAGTGTGACCTGGCTCCCCCAGGGGCGGGAGGAGCGAGGGTCAAGGCGGTGGCTCCTCATCTGACATCCCCTCTGCTGGAATCCCTCGTGTCTGCTTGGTCACACGTTCCGGCTCTACCCCCTGTGCCAAGGTCCTCACCCAGGTCCTCGCCCATGTGGGGCTGGTGGTCTATAGCAAAGGTACAGGACATACGTCATTGATACTCTATTCTGTCAAATTGAAAATACCGTTGATTCTAAGATGCCATGATTTTGTGTGACACTCAGACACTGCCAGTGACATGATACCATGGGGCCTACGACAGTCCTGCACAGCGCACTCAGGGTCACGGCAGCCTCTCCTGGCTGGATAATTGCTTCCATTTCTTCCGAAGTGCTCGGCGATTTCTCCTGCCTCCAGCTGCTCTGCTCATCCTGCCCTAGGCAGCCTTTGTGTACATCTTTGTACTAAACAGAGCTCCCCAGGCACATAAAGCGCCTGGTTGATGCTTTACAAAAAAAAATATGGAGCCATGGTCATCTCCTCCAGGATGAACACTTGCTTCCCTGATATAAGAGGGAGCCCTGCTGCTCTGTCCTTGCTTCTGTGTGGTAAGTCCCGTTCTATGCAGAATCAGAGTGTCGCCTTTAAAGCAATTCAAAGCGGCAATCAGACCCGACCCGGGCAATGTCAACAGCACGTGGAACTCAACTGAAGGGAAGGCAGCATGAACAGCGATGCCTCGGCCGGCTGCTGCGGCATAACAAACCACCCTGAAATGAAGAATTGCACCATACAATACAATTAAAGCAACATGTTGCTTAAAACAACAGAATTGAACAACAAGTTCCGAAGTGTACAGATCCACATGTGGTTCTGCTGTCAGCAGGCCTCATCCTGCATCTGAGTTCAGCTGTGAATTGAGTGGGCAGCTCTGGCCTCCCATGTGTCTGGGGGCAGGCTGGCTGTGGGCCGGTGCACAGGGTCCTGGCTGGGGCAGCGTGGCCTGGCCCGCGTGGTCTCATCCTCCAGCAGCTGCCTCTGGCCCCCGGTTGCCCACAGGGTAGTTGCAGGGTCCCAGGAGCAGAAGCCCACAATGTAACTCAACCCACAAAGGCCACTCCTGCCACAGGTAGCGTGCAGCCAGACAGTGGTGTGCACCTCACCTCCCAGCACCTCATGAGTTCCCTGGCATCACATTGGTGGCTGGCAAGCAGCTGCAGTGGGGGTGTTGGCACCATAGAAATACGCTACAAGTCAGGGGCTGGGCTTCTCAGGAGCGGGAACCCAGTTCACCAGCACACAACTGGTCAGCCACGGTCTACGGGCAAAACCCAGTCACAGGGCCAACACCAATTCAAGGATTGGAGGACAAATAGGATGAGCTTGCCTCAATTTGCTCAAATTTTCCCAGTGTTATCTCTGAAAGTCCCTTGTCTCCTAAAACCCTTCTGTCTCAGGGAGACCTTGGGAACTGATGCCACTTCTTTATGGGAGAAGCATCAGCATCATATGCCACAAAATACATGAAGATGGGGTGAAGATTCACGTGCATGTTTGCAACCAATACCTCATAAGTTCAAGTTCATACACACACAGGCCGCGGCAGCTGAGTCCTGACCCCCACCAGAAGACAGCACCTGTCAGACCCCAACTCCCATACTATGCATCCCAACTTCCTGCCAGTTAAAATGTGGGAAAGCGATTATCTTAGAATTGGTGAAATACAGCGGTTAAAACACAGGACAGTGACGCATTGGCGGCGCTATGAGCAGGGAGTGGGAAGTGATCAGCACACAGGGGTGGGGCCAGGGCCAGGGCTGCAGGGCCGGGCACAGAGGATGCCCACCAGCCGAGCTCTGAAGAGCCACAGCTCAATCCCAAGTCCCAGAACAAACAGCCACTGGCCTCTTTTCTTCCTCCCTGGTCAAGTGCATACCTCAAATGGCCCTTTGAAGTCCCGCAGGCTGGGGCTGCGTGCTAGTGTGCGTGGTCAGGGGAGCAACAACGTGGCGCCTCTCTGACTCGGGCATCCCTGGGGGCGACAGGTCAGAGGTGACTGTGAGTTTGGGCTTGAAAGGCTTCTTCTGGAGGGATGAAAGAGAGGGAGGGAGGATGGGAACAGGCAGAGGAGCCAGCGCAGCGCTGGCAAAGCAACACACAAATACAGAAGCCAAGCACGAGGTAGTGATGGCCAGAAAGACCAGCTGAGACCCAGGACGGTGGGTCTCAGCCAGGGCTGATCCTGCCCCTAGGGGACACTGGTCATGTCTGGAAGCATCTGTGGTCGACACAACTGTGGGAGGTGGATGCTGCTGGCCTCCAGCAGGTGGAGGCCACGGATGGAGCTGACACCCTACAGGTCATGGGGTGCCCCAGAAAAGACTCCCTGCCCCACACATCAGGAGGGCTCAGGGTGACAATCTGGGAGGGAAAGGACAGCATCAGGCAGCACAAAAGCAGCGCAAAGAATGGGGAGGAGGAGGAGCCGGCCCACTGGGTGGCCCCCATGCTCCAGAGCCCCAGCCTTCCAAGCAGGCTCAGGGGGACTCCTCAGCCCACGGTTCCCTGGCCCCGCCAGCCAGTGCGCAGGCTCTGGAGGAGGCTGTTTGCTATTCTGCCCCAGGTCCCCGGCACAGCTGGTTGGAGCCCCGGGACGCGGAGGGGCTACCCTAATTGCACTAATGGCTGGTAATCAGGCATAATGGGGTGTTTGTACACACCATCAAGCCCAGCTGCAGGTGTGGCAGGCGGGCGAGTCCCGCGGGGCTCCCAGAGACTCAGCAGCGCGCCAGCTGAGAGGCCGGGGCCCATGGGCAACTTCGCCCCCCATAGATGTTTAAAATCTCCTTTGGGCTTCCCACGTTGCACAAAGCATGCCAGCTATCCACAGACCATTCGAGACTTCCAGATTTCCCGGGTGCACCACGCCAGCCGCCATGGACTTCCAGCCCCTCGGGTTGGTGGTCTGGAGAATAGCTAAGCAAGCGGAGCCTGTGATGATCCCCAAGTCACCAACTCCTTGGGTGCAGCAAAGAAGAAGCCATTGCTGTCCCCATGATGCCCGCTGCCTGGGGGAGCTTGAGGGCCCCGAGACCACTCACGGTGATTGCTATTGTCACCATAACCAGGCCCTAGGAGTAAGCCCTGTTCCGGATGCTGCAGAACCATCTCACAGCCACCCTCCATGTGGCGGGTGTTACTACTATCACCCCTGTTTTCCAGATGAGGGACAGTGAGGCTCAGGAAGACTCACACCTGGCCCGTGGCCACACAGCTACATAGAGGTGCAGGCTGCAGGCTGAGGCACAGGCTATGCTCTGGGCAGCACGACTAACTTTGCTGAAGCAGGTGAGCATCAGGGGGCGATTGAAGAGGAAGCATTTTCGAGCTGGGTTTTGAAGGATGTATAAGAGTTGCCACAGTGAGGATTGGGAGGACATCGCCCTTACATAGACATAAGATGGTGGTGGTGTCTTTTAGGACAAGTGATTAACGCTGAGTTCTAGGGAGAGAGAGGAAAGGATAACAGTAGATGGGTCTGGAAAAGTAGGTCAGAGGGCAGGCTAGGAAGCATTGACAGTTGGGATAAAGTTTCTATTATGGAGAGATGGCTCTCCTGGCTCAGGTGGGCATGGGCTGCAGGCCAGGAGGGCAGGATTCAAGACGTCACGCATGTCTGAGCTCAAGGGAGCAAAATAGAGAGACAGGAAGCATAGCCAAGGGAGCAAAATAAAGAGACAGGAAGCATGGCTGGACCCAGGATCCTGGTTCAAACTTTGACTCTGCCACTAATATGCTGTGTGACCTTGGGCAGATTCCTTACCCTCTCTGTGCTTTGGCCCTCTCACAGGGTTGCCATGAGGCTCAGCGGGATAAGACCCTCAAAGCAGCTAGAGCATGCCTGGTGCACGGGTAGAACCCCACATGCCAGAAGTCACATTGTCCCGGTGGACGCAGCAAGCCTCTGAGACCAGAACAGAGCAGGGAAGAGGGACCCCCTCGCCTGCTGATGTTCAATCTCAGGGTCTCATCAAACACTTCTGCAAGGACATCTGCCCGGCAACTTCCTGTCCAAATTCAGACTGACGCCACCCTTGTTATTGATTTTGGTAGCCAAGGATAATTGTCCCAAAACAATTACATAATCCTCCTCATTTTTCCTTTAAAAACTTTCGTCTTCCTTTACCTCCCTGAAGATACACATAGCTTTCTGTGGCTTGGGGATTCCCAATAATGCCTATTCCCAAATAAACATCATCTTGTTTGAGAGAGCCTCCCTCTGTGTTATTTAGGTTGGCACCTCATAACTATTGGTGCTATTATTATCACCGCTCTCACTCTATGTGTGATGAAACTGAGCACAGAGAGGTTAAGTAACATGCCCAGGGTCACACAGCAGGTGAGGCATGGAGCAAGGATTTGAACCCAGGCACCTGGTACCAGAGCCTCAGTCTTGCTCCCAACCACTGTGCTATGAGAGCCCTCTGAAGAAGGGAACAGGACACAGGAGAAAATAAAAGAACTGGTCCTGAGCTGAACTGGGGACCAGGGAAAGATATTTAAAGTAAGATCAAGGGGCCCCCAAGAAGCTTGCCAGCACAGGGCACCAGGAAGCATGTGCCAAGTTCCTGTGCAGAGAAGAATGTGGACAGCAGGAAAAATTGAAACCCACATGGCTGCAGCTGTTAACCAAGGGAAGTGAGGGAGGGCCATGGAGGGCGAGGCGGGCGTGAAAGGAGAGGGTAAGTTGAGGGCCACATCCCCCAGGCTTGCCGGCCCATGAGGCCTTTGGGGGTTTATCTCAGGTGCCCTGGAGGCCATGGGGGACATCAGTCAGGGGGCATGATTGGATCCCCCAGTCACTGGTGTGGGATGGATAGTAGGGGGGCCACCGGGGCACCAGAGGCCCCTGGGGAGGCTTCGGCAATGGTTCGGATCAGAGATGGCCTGGATTCTGTGGGGAGGTGGGTGGCATGGAGGGGGAAAGAGGATGGATTCCAGGCATATTACGGAGTGGAGGGATGTGCAGGGTTGTAGTTGCTGGGCTCAGGGGTGAGGGAGAAGAGCTGTCAGAAATCCACCCATTTCCGGAGTGAGGGGGTTACAGGGAGAGCCATCACCAAGAGGGAGTTTCTGGAGTGAGGAGGGTGCAGGGAGAGACATCACCGAGAGTGAACTTCAGGAGGCCCAGATGCTTGGGTTGAGGTCCGGGTTCTTCCCAGGGCCTGTTCTGTCAGAGGGGAGAGGCGGCCAGATGAGCCCCAGGAGCCTTGGGCGGGGGCCAGGGCTGGAGGCGGCTGTGGGTGTTAGCTCCGTCTCCGGGGAGCTAGGATCCAGAGGGGAGGAAGGCAAGGGTGGCTGGGGCGGAGGGGGTGCCGAGAGGCAGGGGGGCCTGGAGTGAGGGATCAGACGGCAAAAAGGCTTCGGACAGCGGGGAGGGGAGGCTGGGCTCCGGGACTGGGCAGGCGGCATGGCAGAGCAGGCATGCGTTCGCTGCAGGTGCTTGCCGTGCCTGCTTCTCGGCAGTTTCCTGCAGTGCACAGCTCCTGGCTCACCCTAGGACACGCCTGTGGGATGGGTTGGGGAGGTCAGGGGCAGTGGCATGGGGAGTCCATCTGCTCTGCAAATGTGAGACAGGCAGTTGGGAAAGGGTCAGATGCTGCCTACCATGTCTGCTGAGGTTGAGTGAGGCGACCTGAGC
The DNA here is from genome assembly GCF_000001405.40 of Homo sapiens. Classification (NCBI taxonomy): domain Eukaryota; kingdom Metazoa; phylum Chordata; class Mammalia; order Primates; family Hominidae; genus Homo; species Homo sapiens. Next base: position 141,646,044 of record NC_000008.11, on the reverse strand, counting down.
GAGTCTGAGGCCTCGGAGGCGGGAGGTGGCCGGAGGACTCAGGGAGCACAGCCTGGGAAGCCAGAGCCACTGGGTGCAGTTGTCCTGGGGCCACAGAAGTTACAGTTTGAGCAGACAGGGCCAAGGTCTCCGTGCCACCAGGGACGGGAGGCCCAGGCCTTTAGATGCCCCAGCTTCAAGAGCCTTCTCCGCGGCCATCTCAGAGGCTACCTGGGCTGCCATGGCTCTCAGTGTAACTCAGCCCTGGGGACATCCTTGGTCACTGAGGGACCGGGGGACAGGGACACAAGATACACTGGTCACCTTGAGTTCCCTCTGGAGTGGGGACACAGGGGAGCAAAGATTGTAACCCAAAGAGGTCAGCCCTGGGTGTCAGACGCACCAGGGCCCACAAATGAGGACGACGAGGGGACCCCAGCCGGAGGCAACAGCAGGAGCTGAGCTGAGGCCAAGACAGCGGGGGCCACCTGGGCCCTCCAGGGTCCCCTTTATCACAGCCAGTAGGCTGCAGGGAGGGAGTGGGGAGGGAGGGAGCCTTCCTGCAGGACTTCCTCCCTGTGCTAAAGACCTGGCGTCACTAAAAGGTGATGGGGTGACTATGGGGAGTGATCTCTAGGATGCTGCTAGTAAGAAAAACAGGGAGGAGGGCCAGGTGCAGTGGCTTACGCCTGTAATCCCAGCACTTTGGGAGGACAAGGCAGGCGGATCACGATGTCAGGAGATCGAGACCATCCTGGCTAACAAGGAGAAATCGCATCTACTAAAAATACAAAAAATTTAGCCAGGCGTGGTGGTAGGCACCTGTAGTGCCAGCTACTTGGGAGGCTGAGGCAGGAGAATGGCGTGAACCCAACCCGGGAAGCAGAGCTTGCAGTGAGCCGAGATCACACCACTGCACTCCAGCCTGGGCAACAGAGCGAGACTCCGTCTCAGAAAAGAAAGAAAGTAAAAAAGAGAGAGAGGGAAAGAAGGAAAGAAAGAAAGAAAGAAAGAAAGAAAGAAAGAAAGAAAGAAAGAAAGAAAGAAAGAAAGAAAGAAAGAAAGAAAGAAAGAAAGAAAGAAAGAAAGAAGAAAGAAAGAAAGAAAGAAAGAAAGAAAGAAAGAAAGAGAAAGAAAGAAAAAAGAAAGAAAGAAAGAAAAACAGGGAGGGGCAAGTGTGCAGGAGCTGAGCCAGGGTGCCCACAAATAGGAGGGCCAGGGAAAGGACAGTCATTTGCATATATTTAAAACACAATGGAGGGCCTGAGCAAACACTGAAGGAGAAAACATGTAAGAAGAGGAAACTTAAAGTATAATAATAAAAAAAAAAAAGGAGAGGGACGGGACAGGACGGAGGGAATCGGGACCAGAGCCAGGATTCTCTGAATCTCCCCAGCCAACATTCGTGTAATTACACAACAAAATTACATTTTTGAAAAAATAATCCCTAAAAATTAAAAGCAAAATAGAACCATATATGGAGTGGGTAGCATGACCACACGGAGGGAATCATTTGATGTAAGCTTCAAACACAGCAATTTTACAGGATATTCCTGCGGGTTAGACCCTAAGGACGGAAAGAAATGCAAAAGCAAAAATAAAAATAGAGAATTTAATTCCCAGGAATTATATTGTGACTAATAATATCGGTGGCTATTCTAAGACTGCATTTACTCAAAGATAAAATAATAACACGATTGACCTCTCCAAGTCTGGGGAAACCAGTTTGTCAGCATGAGAGAAAGGAGGTACAAGCATAAAGTGAAGAAATTGCGTAAGATCCTGCAAGCCTATGTTGGATCGGGTAGTATCTGCATAAATTTGTGATTTTTTTTTTAATCTTTAAGAAAGTAATTTTCCTAGCCTGCCTGGGAACAAACCAGCCCAGGAGCAGTGAGAGCTCAGCTCCTGGTGCCCAGGGACTGAGACCACGTCCCCATGTCAAGCTCCTTGGAGAAATGTCCGATTACCTGGCTGGGCCAGGAAATGTCCAAGAGGAGCCTGGAGCTTCTTGTCATCCCCAAAGCAAGGAAGCCATCAAAGCTTTCTGGAATCATGTCAAAACCATCGGGAATCGAGTCGAAGAGCTTTCCACAAGCCGAAGACGGGAGGAATTACATATCAACACAGATCCTAACCCCAGTGGGTTGAAACCTATCAAATACGTGCAACTTCACACATTCAGAATGATGAAAACCCTCATGGGCAAGCGTTGGAGGAGGCAAGACCACCAGCTTATTGTTTTGGAAGCTAGCGAATAAAGGCAGAGAATCCAGCGTGTCTCCGGACGGTCCGTCCTACACAACCACACATCCACGTCGCCAACAGCTGACGAGGGAACGCTCCTTCATAGGAAAGCATTCCAGCCAACGAGCGCAGAAGGCTGACAAACTCTCATCATCATCCTGCGATTCCCTGATAACTGGGGGATGTGGCAGGCAATGGCGGATAATGTCACGGAGGAGAGGGACAGGCAGCTACCCTGCACCTCCTCACCAAGGAACACCAGCGCCCAACGCTGCTGTGGCTCAGAACTCACCACCAAGGACTGGGACTGCACAGGGATGTGTCATCAGGGTCCCAGCTGGAAGCTCCCAGGACACGGGCTGCCTCCCCCACAGCTTACCTGCAAAGAGAAAAGAGCACGCAGGGAGGGATGGAGGGGATGCCTGTGAACTAGGAGATCTGAGGGGCCTCTTGTGGATGTCTGCAGGCCTCATTTCGAAAATATTTTTTTAAAAATCCTGTTTAAAAAGTATTCATGATATAATCAGAGAAATTGGAAGCCTGGCTGGCAGAGGACATTATAAAAAAAATACCGTTCTTCCCTTTAGGTGGGAGACGGGTGTAGCAGTTGCATATTTTTATGAGCCCTCATCTTTCAGAGATGCACTCTGAAATGTTTATGGATAAAAGCTGAGCAGCTCTCTATGCAGTGACATGGAAAATGTTCATAATTTATAACCTGGAGTGAATGTAGCATGCCACAGATCAATGCATTGAATGCCATCCAATTTGTTTTGTAAAGAAAGGAACAGAGAGAGCTGTCTAGGAGGCATCACACTCAGAGAAAGATCCAGAAGGACCGCACAGAGTGTTGGCACTGGGCATCCCTGAGGAGCCCGACCACAAGGAGGGTGATGTGAGCCCTCATTTCTTCCTGGCAGGGAAATCCTTATTTGTGGAGAAAAGTAAAATGACATCGTCTTTCTGCGGCCTCCAGTGAGCTAACGGACGGGGTATTGACCATCAACAGCTGTCAGCAACATCACAACGGAGAGGCTGCCAGCCCATGTGTCCGCAGCAAGCACCCAACCCCGCCACGTGGTGTCCTGCCGAACACGGCCTGCGTCCATCTGGCCAGCCCTGTGTGGAGTCCCCTGTTTCTCTGCCTGGGGCAGTCTGACCTTGTCCCAAGCAGCAGTGGGCAGGGGCTGAGATGCTGGGGAGATGACTTCCGCACCGTGTCTTGCATACGCAGGGAGACTGTTGTCTCCTCCGATGCTGTTTCTCCTCTCTTGTGCTGGAGACTGTCAGTGCAGCCATGGAGGCACCTTTGTCTGAGGAGATAAAAGCAAGGTTATGTACTTGGGGTAACTCATGACAGCTGAGAAATCAAGTGGCCCCTCCATGAGCCAGGACAGCTCTGAAAGGGACAGGTGTCTCAGGGCAGTGTGACTGCATGTGAGTTTCGGAGAGAGGTGGAGTGGCGAGGGGCAGGCCCCAGTCATCCCTTTTTTTCACCTGTAGAACAGAGGCCAGCAGGGGACCCTCCACCCTGCACCCCTCCCAGGACCCTGAACTCCAGAGTTCACCCACTGACGGTCCCCTGCGGTCCCTGGGCCTCGCAGGTCCTCTGAGGTGTGGCCCAGGCTGCGCTGTCTGCCTGGTGTACGTGGCCCAGAGAAGCCTGAGAAGTGGGTGGTTCCAGGGCTGGAAATGGCGCCTCCGAACAGGAAAGCCTGGTCCTGCGGCCCCCTTCTTGCCCTGCGGTGAGGAGCACTCTCTCTGCGGAAGAAGCTGGGGCTTTATCCGCCTCCATCCACAGCCTCTCCCCACCCCATTTCTCTCCCTAATTAGGAAGCAGGTCATTACTGTCAAGGAAAAAAGTCCAAATCAACCTAGAGTCCTTCACCTTCTTCTCCCACCTGAATCCTCTTCTTCCTGCAGGTGTAGCTCTGGCACCCCCACCTCCAGGAAGCCCCCTTGCTCCCCCTCCAGCTGGACTGAGCGTCTCTCCCAGTGCCAGCCCCCGGTGCTCCCACAGATGTGATCACGGAGCCCTTCTGAGTCACAGCCCACCTGCCCCTGTGCTTCCTGCCTTGCCCAGCGGGGAGTCCTGGCTGTTGCCCCCAGGGACCCACCTCCTAATACCCAACTATCCCTGTCTGCCCCAGGGCTAGGGCCAGGCCTGTCACAGCCACAGCTGCAGACTCTCCAGGGCCCACTCCTACCCCGCCTCCAGACTCCACGGGGGCACTGCTGTGAGGCTGGAATCTCCCCAGAGGGGCGGGTAAGAGATGGGGGAGCCTCGGTACCAGTGGGGGCAGGTGCTGGCAGGCGCCCTCCATGTCTTCCTCCCCAGCACCACATTCTCACTTGGGGGGTGCTCAGGACATGCTCTACATGATGGAGACACAGCTATACCTTCCCGTGCAGCTGCCGCCAGCTCAGGAATGCCCCTCTGTGTCTCTCCCCTACTCCCTGGCCTCGCTTCCCCTAACCCTCCCTTCCGGTGCCATGGGACTGCACCTCCCTCTGAGGCCACAGCACGCAGCAGCCCTATGTCAGGCTCTGTGCTCTGGGCACTCGGCTCACCCAGACCAGGCCCCTTAGACAATGCTCAGTCTGCATTAGTTCAGCCGCCCCGGCCATGCACATGGGGGCCAGAGAGTGTCACCGTCACTGGGACTTAGTCTCTGGAGACCAGAGGTGCTCCAGGGAAAATGGGAGGGCCATCTGATTTCCGCTAGATAAGTCTGAGGCCTGTGGCCAGGGCGATTTTCTCATCTTGTAGCCTTTTTTTTATTAATCACCTATGGAAATGCAGACATCTTCCAGCTCCAGAAGCAGTGACACCAGAGCAGGTAGCCACGATGAGCAAGTGGCACAGTCTCCTGCCTGGGACTGCCGCTGGGGGGCTGCCAGTCAGATGGGCTTCAAGCAGCTCTGGTGGGTCCTGGCCCCATCGCCCATCCCAGCAAGAATTTCTTCTCAAATCTACCTGGTAGGTGCCGATGCAGCTGCTATGTAGGTAGAGTGGGGGAGGAGTGGGAGGGAGAGGATGGGGAGGAGAAGGAGGAGGAGGAAGAAGAAGGCAGTGAGGATGATGGCGACTCTCCAGCTCCAGGGAGCCCACCTGCAGGGGGTCTGCATGTTCTGAGTCCAAGTCCCTGTGACATGACCTGTGGGGTCCTGCCTTCCCCATCACGGCATTTATCACTCCACCGTACTGTGTCCACCTGCCCAGCCCTGCTCCCCACTAGCCCAAGGGGGCCGGGGAGCCACTCTGTGTCTAGTGCACCCCCCAGGAGGAAGATCTGGTTGGAGTGAGGATGTGGCACCACCAGGCGACAGTGGAGGCCCCGCAGTGTGGTGCCCACGGCCACTCTCTTTGATGCCCACACCGGCGCCCCACAGAGCACGCTGCTCCTTCTTGCCCTTCCCACACAGTCTCTCCCTGTCCCCCTGCTTCTCCGCCAGCCGGCCCCACCTGCTTTCTGGCCCCTGGCCCCTGGAGAAGGGGACAGCCATGCCCAGCCTCCTCTGCAGGCTCTCTGGGGCTCTCCCAGAGCCTCCAGCCCGTGGCTGGGTCCCCCTTCATTGCTCTCATCCTTGCACCAAAACACTGCACTTTATTCAGCCCGTCCTCATGAGAAGTTTTCCAATTTGGGGCTCATTCTGGAGAGACCCCTCCAGCCTCTCTCAAGTTCTCCATACTCCACTTCAAGTCTAGATTCTCCAGCTCAGATAATAACCCGGCGAGGAGAAAGGAGAGGGGAAAATTACCTCTCCACACATCTGCACTCTGCAATCTCCCACGTGAAAGCCACCCGGCGTGTCAGGGATTTTCTTTTTTAATTGAACTCTGCAAGTGGGAGGAGAGTGAGAAATAGCACTCGTTCCCGTGTGCTGGGCACCCCAGCCTCGGTTAATCCTGGCAAGGCCACCCGATGGCTCTTGCAAGAAGGGTCTACTGTTCCCATCTTGCAGATGAGGAAGGCGAGGCTTAGAGAGATTCAGTGACTGCCTAAGCAGGTGGTAGACGGATAGAGGCTCCTAAAAGTGCAACGACAGCTCACCCAGATAGGGAGGCCCCATCGAGCACACCCCACCTGCTCCCTGCGCAAACCCCCCTCCTCCCACAGGGCGCTTGCTTACAGGAAACGCCGAGTCTGGAGCCTAGAGCCCAGGCCTCCCTGGCTGTGTCCTCAGACCAGGCCCCTCGGAGTCTTGTAGAACACCTTACTCTACCTGCTCATCTTATCTTACAGGTGGGGACATTTAGTCCAGGGACAAAGTGAAGACCAAGTCCAAGCTTCCTAACTCCAGTCCTCGTCCTGCTTGGTGAGCCTTGTGCCCCACCTTGGATACTCCGCTCCCTCTCTGGGCCTCAGTTTCCCCATCTATAGCATGGGTCTCTAGGCCCTCCTCCTGCCCAAGAGCTGCAGGGGAGGCCCATGCTGGCCACGCAGGCTCCGAGTCTAGGACGATGCCCTCCAGCCTCCCCCCTGCACCCCTCCAAACCCCGCTTCCAAGGAGCCTAGCCTTGGGCCGGGCCTCTTCCCCTGTACCAGTCAGGTGCTGCTCCTCCCGGGTGGAGGCTGCAAGGGAGGGCAGTCCCACCGCGAAGGGCTTTGCCAGCTGACAGGCTGTCATGTTCTCTGCAAAGGACAAGATTTGCTGGGTTATTAAGCACACACGGACCCACAGACTGTGGCCAGGAGATAAGGAAATCTCCGTCGAACAACTGCGGGATGGAGTCTGCGTCCCTTTTTTCTTTCTTTCTTTCTTTTTTTTTTCTTCTTCTCTCAACTTGGGTATTTTCAAGCTTAGAAGTGACTGCTCTAATCAAACCAAGAGACCAGCGGCGAGAGGCGGATTTGCGCAAAGAAAATGGAAAGTTTAAGAAAAAGAGAAGGCAGGGGGTGGGGAGAGCTTGTTCCAGAAACATGGAAACAGCATCTCGTGGCTGGATAGAGATGGCACAGCCCCAGCCTCCATGTAGATAGCTGAAAATTTCGAGTAGAGGCCTGGCCTAGCCTTTGGAAGCCTGTAATCTCAGTGGGGAGGCATAGCTCCTGCAGAAAGGCCCTGGTCGGACGGCAGAGACGTAGCCACACTCAGGCAATTCATCTGGTGGGGGCAGCAAGGCCCTGCCCTAGGCCAGCACCCCCCCACTCCCCAGATGCTTTCAGGAGCTCCTCAGGGCACGAACCCGCTGCCACCAGCTGCCGCCTTAACCCTGCAGGCTGCCCTGAGCAGGCTCCTCGACGGCAGTGCTGGACCCCTCCCCACAGCTGCTCCCAGCCCATGGCCCACCCAGCGCACACCACAGAGCGAGCCACAGCCTAAGTCACCTCCTGGGACTGTCGTGTTCTTGCTGCAGGAGCCCAGCCAGGGCTTATCTGGCCGCTAGTCCATCCAGTCCCATGCCGGTGTGGTCCTCACGTGTCCACAACACTTCCTGGGCTGCAGGAAGTGTTGGCCTGAGCCCAGGCAGGTGTCACACCTTCTACTGTTCCAGTCGTCCTGCACACAGGGAAGTGGGTGAGCCTTACCCACCTGGGGCAAAGGCCCAGATAAGGCCACGTCCCTCAGATAAACAGGCTTGTATTTAACCTCAACTTCCATGCAAAAACAGACTTGAAAGACACAAACTCACATCTGGAAACATTTTTAAAGGTGACCAGTGACCCTGGAGCAGCTGCAATTCCTTCCCTCTCACTTTCCCTCCAGAAGCTTCGCTATCGCCGGCATCCAGCCCTCAGGCCTCCCCACACGCTGTTCCTCTGTCCAGAATGCTTATCCCTGCGCTCTTCACAGGGAAGCTGGCTTCTTTTCATCTCTTAAGTCTTGACTCCCTTGTCTCCTCCTCCAGGCAGCCCTCGCAGACTGCCTCATCCTGCGTGCTCCACCCCAGGCCCTACTCCTTTCCCTCGCCAGGGACAACACGCTTGAGCTTGTCACTTGAGTCAGTCTGCCTCCCCCTGCCAAAAAGAATATCAACTCCATGAGGGCAGGGGTGAGTTACTTGTGCCCCAGAGTCTGGCCCATGGTAGATGCCTCATAAATAAGTGCTGAATAAATGAGGAGGCCCCTGCAATCTCCCTGCCTCCACCTGCTCTCCCTAGTCACACCCACCAGCTGTGCACATGTCACAGACATTTCCTGCTGAGCCTTCCACGCCTTCCAGGTCAAAGCCATCACAGGCTGGTGGGGAACATGGGGTCCCCCCGGGGGCACCTGTCACCTCCCTCAGTGGCCCACCCAGTCACTGTGCTAGCCCTCGCCTGTCCCCACTGTGGGGTGTTGAGAATCATGAACACAGCATTTTGCAGCCACTTTCATTAAGAGGTAGCGTCAGTAGCTCATTCCTGTAATTCCAGCAGTTTGGAAGGTCAAGGCAGGAGAATCACTTGAGCGCAGGAGTTAGAGACCAGCCTGGGCAACATAATGAGACGCCCTCTCTACAAAAATCTAACAATTGGCCAGGCATAGTGGCATGCACCTGTGTTCTCAGCTACTTGGGGGGCTGACGCAGGAGAATTGCTTGAGCCCTAGAGGTTGAGGCTACAGTGAGCTATGATTGCACCACTGCACTCCAGCATGGGTGACAGAACAAAACCCTGCCTCAAAAAAGAAAAAAAGAAATGGTCATAACAGCTGCCCGGCCCTGAGTCTGCAGCCCTCTGCGGCCCACAGAATGTGACAGGGCTGACACTGCAAGCTCCAAGCCCGGGCAGCAAGGGCCTGGCAGTGCCCACCCTCACCCTCTCGGAGGCCAGCACCACGCAGGGACGTTCCACTGACCACTGACCCCTTCTCACTCCCTGAGTGAGACCTGTCATTCTCCTACCAAAAAACCTGCCCTCCACCCTCCCAACAGGGCCACAGAGGGCAGCACCGGTGTTGGGGGCTCAGCCGAGGACAGGTCTCAGGTCTCATGACAAATGCATGCCAGTGGACCAATGCAGGGCCTGCTCATGGCTGAGCTGCCCCGAGCCGATAGCCTTTGGCTGGCACTTCAGAAACTCCCCACAGCCAGCGCCACTGCAGCACCTGGTCTTTCTATGACCCTGACTACCAGGGGACATCTTTTCTCACCTGGTCTTTCTACGGCCCTGACTGCCGGGGAACACCTCTTCTGAACCCCTCTGTTGTGTGATTTCTTGATGAATTTTGGAAGCCACTGAATGCAGGAAGTGTCTTTTCTCAAGGCGCCCCGGATCCTATCTCGTTCTTCAAATGAGAGCATTTTCCACCGTCACTGAGGCAAGCAGCTCCTCCCTAAAGGAGGGAGGAAGGGTGCTAGGCTCGGTGCTAGGAGCGCACAGGATTCTCACCCGTCACTTTGCCATCTCGGCAGCAGCTGCAGCAGGGAGATTGCGTATGTTCAGCAAAGTCCCCTTGTGCCTGGCTGTAGCTCGGAGCTGGAGGAGTGAGTCCGTGCGCATGGCCTGGGAGCAGGGTCCTTCCTCCATCGGTGGCCTTTGGTGTTGGTCCAGAGTCCGGGGCCTGGCATTCCAGGGTCCCAGCAGTTGCCCCTCCTGCTTGCTCCCCGACAGGTACCACCCAGGGACCTGCCTAGTGGCCCTGAGCATGCTGACCGCTGCTCCATACACGAGTGCCCCTGCCTGGCCCCAGATCCAGCACAGGCTCCGCGAGCCCTTATCACACCTACTCATTCCGCCTTGCCCATGCGGCAGCCAGGCTGGGTGCTCCCCAGAGTAAGGCAGCCCCTTGTGCAGCCTCTACCTCCTGGCACCCCTTGCTGCCCGCTGCTCGGAGGGCAATGCCTAAGATGAGAGCATCCCTTTGTCCCTACTGGTGAACAGCAGGTGTCTCGCCCTCCACACCAGTGACACCTGGGTAGGCAGTTGCCAGAATGAGGCCACCCTGCCCACAGCTGGGTGCTCAGCCACATCCGTGCCTCAACTCACAAGGTGCCAGTAGCACCCCAACTGCAGTGGTGACACTAAAACATGTCCCAGGACTTTGACAGAGCAGATATGGCCAATGTCCCCTGGAGAGCAGGACCCCGCTCTGGCTGTTTTGCACTTAATGACTTTGCATCTACAGTTCTTTCTGCCAGGAATGCCCCCACCTCCAACTCCCCAACATCCAGGAACTCCTCGAAAGTTCAAATCAACTCCCATCACCCTCTTCGTAAGTTCCTAAGAGGCAGAGTCAGGATTTTTTCAGCTTTGAGTGACATGAACCCAACTCAAACTAGCTTAAGGGAAAGGGAAGGCATCAGTCTGGATCCAGACAGGACAGAAAACCCTCCAAGGCCTCCAGAGAGAGGGAACGTGAGGCCACGCATGTCCACGCAGGGACCTGAGAGCCGACCAGGGAGCACAGAGGCTGCCCAGGGATCAGTACCCACAGCAACCCAGCCCAGCTGAGCGGGGCAGGTTTCCAGAGCCTCCAGGCCACCCCGCACCACGTGATAGGGGCTGCCCGCAGGAACTGGGACATGGAGGTAGCAAGGGTACCTGGCAGGCACTGGAGGCTAAGGACTGCCTGCCAGCACCAGCAGATGGGCAGAGAGGAGGAGAAATACCCTGACTCTCCTCCCACGCTCTGCGGCTGAACCTTCAACTCTGTCGAGAAGCTAGAAACTGCACCAAGCTATAGTGCTGGCTGTGGGGGAAGGTCTCCATGGAAAGGGGGACCTGGAGAGACCCAATAATGACTGACGCTCACAAGTGTACCCCTGTGTACTCAGGATGAAGCCCAAACTCCTGAACATGCCTGCAGGGCCCTGAGCTCAGAGTTCTGCCTACTGCTGCCACATCCCAGCCACAATGCATGCATGGCTTTCAGCTTCTGAAACCTGTCCCTTCTTCCTGCCCCAAGGCCTTTGCCCACACTATTATTCCAGGGTCTTCTCCCACACTGTTCCAGGACCTTTCCCATGCTGTTCCAGAACCTTTCCCATGCTGTTCCAGGACCTTCACCAATCCTGTTCCAGGGCCTTTGCCCACGCTTTTCCAGAACCTTTCCCATGCTGTTTGAGGACCTTCATCCGTGCTGTTCCAGAACCTTTCCCATGCTGTTCAAGGACCTTCACCCATGCTGTTCCAGGACCTTTGCCCACACTGTTCCAGAACCTTTCCCATGCTGTTCCAGGACCTTCACCCACGCTGTTCCAGGGCCTTCACCCATGCTGTTCCAGAACGTTTCCCATGCTGTACCAGGACCTTCACCCACGCTGTTCCAGAACCTTTCCCATGCTGTACCAGGACCTTCACCCACACTGTTCCAGAACCTTTCCGATGCTGTACCAGGACCTTCACCCACGCTGTTCCAGAACCTTTCCCATGCTGTTCCAGGGCCTTTGCCCATGCTGTTCCAGAACCTTTCCCATGCTGTTCCAGGACCTCTCCCATACTGTTCCAGGACTTTCCCATGCTGTTCCTGAACGTTCACCCATGCTGTTCCAGGACATTTCCCATGCTGTTCCAGGGCCTTAACCCATACTGTTCCGAGACCTTTCCCATGCTGTTCCAGAGCCTTTCCCATGCAGTTCCAGGACCTTCACCCATGCTGTTCCAGGAACTTCACCCATGCTGTTGTTCCAGGACCTTCACCCATGCTGTTCCAGGACCTTACCCATGCTGTTCCAGGAACTTCACCCATGCTGTTCCAGGACCTTTACCATGCTGTTCCAGGACCTTCACCCATCCTGTTCCAGGACCGTTACCCACGCTGTTCCAGAACCTTTCCCATGCTGTTCCAGGACGTTTCTCACGCTGTTCCAGAACCTTTCCCATGCTGTTCCAGGATCTTTCCCATGCTGTTCCAAGGCCTTCACCCACACTATTCCAGAACCTTTCCCATGCTGTTCCAGAACAGTTCCCATGCTGTTCCAGGACCTTCACCCATGCTGTTCCAGGACCTTTCCCATGCTATTCCAGGACCTTCACCCACACTATTCCAGAGCCTTTCCCACTCTGTTCCAGGACTTTCACCTATGCTGTTCTAGGACATTTCCCATGCTGTTCCAAGAACTTTCCCATGCTGTTCCAGGACGTTCTCTCATCCTGTTCCAGGACCTTTATCCATGCTGTTCCAGGGCCTTTCCCATGCTGTTTGAGGACCTTCATCCGTGCTGTTCCAGAACCTTTCCCATGCTGTTCAAGGACCTTCACCCATGCTGTTCCAGGACCTTTGCCCACACTGTTACAGAACCTTTCCCATGCTGTTCCAGGATCTTTGCCCACACTGTTCCAGAACCTTTCCCATGCTGTTCCAGGACCTTCACCCACGCTGTTCCAGGGCCTTCACCCATGCTGTTCCAGAACGTTTCCCATGCTGTACCAGGACCTTCACCCACGCTGTTCCAGAACCTTTCCCATGCTGTACCAGGACCTTCACCCACACTGTTCCAGAACCTTTCCGATGCTGTACCAGGACCTTCACCCACGCTGTTCCAGAACCTTTCCCATGCTGTTCCAGGGCCTTTGCCCATGCTGTTCCAGAACCTTTCCCATGCTGTTCCAGGACCTCTCCCATACTGTTCCAGGACTTTCCCATGCTGTTCCTGAACGTTCACCCATGCTGTTCCAGGACATTTCCCATGCTGTTCCAGGGCCTTAACCCATACTGTTCCGAGACCTTTCCCATGCTGTTCCAGAGCCTTTCCCATGCAGTTCCAGGACCTTCACCCATGCTGTTCCAGGAACTTCACCCATGCTGTTGTTCCAGGACCTTCACCCATGCTGTTCCAGGACCTTACCCATGCTGTTCCAGGAACTTCACCCATGCTGTTCCAGGACCTTTACCATGCTGTTCCAGGACCTTCACCCATCCTGTTCCAGGACCGTTACCCACGCTGTTCCAGAACCTTTCCCATGCTGTTCCAGGACGTTTCCCACGCTGTTCCAGGACCTTTCCCATGCTGTTCCAGGATCTTTCCCATGCTGTTCCAAGGCCTTCACCCACACTATTCCAGAACCTTTCCCATGCTGTTCCAGAACAGTTCCCATGCTGTTCCAGGACCTTCACCCATGCTGTTCCAGGACCTTTCCCATGCTATTCCAGGACCTTCACCCACACTATTCCAGAGCCTTTCCCACTCTGTTCCAGGACTTTCACCTATGCTGTTCTAGGACATTTCCCATGCTGTTCCAAGAACTTTCCCATGCTGTTCCAGGACGTTCTCTCATCCTGTTCCAGGACCTTTATCCATGCTGTTCCAGGGCCTTTCCCATGCTGTTTGAGGACCTTCATCCGTGCTGTTCCAGAACCTTTCCCATGCTGTTCAAGGACCTTCACCCATGCTGTTCCAGGACCTTTGCCCACACTGTTACAGAACCTTTCCCATGCTGTTCCAGGATCTTTGCCCACACTGTTCCAGAACCTTTCCCATGCTGTTCCAGGACCTTCACCCACGCTGTTCCAGGGCCTTCACCCATGCTGTTCCAGAACGTTTCCCATGCTGTACCAGGACCTTCACCCACACTGTTCCAGAACCTTTCCCATGCTGTACCAGGACCTTCACCCACACTGTTCCAGAACCTTTCCGATGCTGTACCAGGACCTTCACCCACGCTGTTCCAGAACCTTTCCCATGCTGTTCCAGGGCCTTTGCCCATGCTGTTCCAGAACCTTTCCCATGCTGTTCCAGGACCTCTCCCATACTGTTCCAGGACTTTCCCATGCTGTTCCTGAACGTTCACCCATGCTGTTCCAGGACATTTCCCATGCTGTTCCAGGGCCTTAACCCATACTGTTCCGAGACCTTTCCCATGCTGTTCCAGAGCCTTTCCCATGCAGTTCCAGGACCTTCACCCATGCTGTTCCAGGAACTTCACCCATGCTGTTGTTCCAGGACCTTCACCCATGCTGTTCCAGGACCTTTCCCATGCTGTTCCAGGACCTTCACCCATCCTGTTCCAGGACCGTTACCCACGCTGTTCCAGGACCTTTCCCATGCTGTTCCAGGATCTTTCCCATGCTGTTCCAAGGCCTTCACCCACACTATTCCAGAACCTTTCCCATGCTGTTCCAGAACAGTTCCCATGCTGTTCCAGGACCTTCACCCATGCTGTTCCAGGACCTTTCCCATGCTATTCCAGGACCTTCACCCACACTATTCCAGAACCTTTCCCACTCTGTTCCAGGACTTTCACCTATGCTGTTCTAGGACATTTCCCATGCTGTTCCAAGAACTTTCCCATGCTGTTCCAGGACGTTCTCTCATCCTGTTCCAGGACCTTTATCCATGCTGTTCCAGAACCTTTCCCATGCTGTTCCAGGACCTTCACCCATGCTGTTCCAGGACCTTTCCCATGCTGTTCCAGAACCTTTCCCACGCTGTTCCAGGACCTCCACCAATCCTGTTCCAGAGCCTTTGCCCACGCTTTTCCAGAACCTTTCCCGTGCTGTTTGAGGACCTTCATCCGTGCTGTTCCAGAACCTTTCCCATGCTGTTCAAGGACCTTCACCCACGCTGTTCCAGGGCCTTCACCCATGCTGTTCCAGAACGTTTCCCATGCTGTACCAGGACTTTCACCCACGCTGTTCCAGAACCTTTCCCATGCTGTACCAGGACCTTCACCCACACTGTTCCAGAACCTTTCCCATGCTGTACCAGGACCTTCACCCACACTGTTCCAGAACCTTTCCCATGCTGTTCCAGAACCTTTCCCATGCTGTTCCAGGACCTCTCCCATACTGTTCCAGGACCTTTCCCATGCTGTTCCTGAACGTTCACCCATGCTGTTCCAGAACCTTTCCGATGCTGTTCCAGAACCTTTCCCATGCTGTTCCAGGACATTTCCCATGCTGTTCCAGGGCCTTAACCCATACTGTTCCGGGACCTTTCCCATGCTGTTCCAGAGCCTTTCCCATGCAGTTCCAGGACCTTCACCCATGCTGTTCCAGGATCTTCACCCATGCTGTTCCAGGACCTTACCCATGCTGTTCCAGGAACTTCACCCATGCTGTTCCAGGACCTTTCCCATGCTGTTCCAGGACCGTTACCCACGCTGTTCCAGAACCTTTCCCATGCTGTTCCAGGAACTTTCCTGCGCTGTTCCAGGACCTTTCCCACACTGTTTCAGGACTTTTCCCATGCTGTTCCAGGATCTTTCCCATGCTGTTCCAAGGCCTTCACCCACACTATTCCAGAAACTTTCCCATGCTGTTCCAGGACCTTTCCCATGCTGTTCCAGGACCTTCACCCATACTGCTCCAGGACCTTCACGCATGCTGTTCCAAGGCATTTGCCAATAGTGTTCCAAGCACCTGTGTCCATGCTATTCCAGGCAGCCATGACAATACAGTTCCAGGACCTTTCCTGCACTATTCCAGGTGTGTGTGTTTATGCTATTCCAGGTAGCTGTGTCCACACTGTTCTAGGCCTTCACCCACACAGTTCCAGGCACCTGCCCCACCCCACACCCTGGTGGCTGCCCCACATCGGCAGTGTCACCGCACTGGTGCACTGATAGACGTGTCTCCCTTTGCCTGATGGGGCAGGGCAGGTTGCTCTTCACAGCCCTGAAGGGCTGGCCTGAGGCCGGAGGTGCAGGTTGCTTCCGTGGAGCCAGAAGAGAGAGGCAGGGCCTGTTGGGGACCCTGGCTTGGTCTTGTGGGGAAGCTCGCAAGTGGAGGAAGGGGGAAAGCGTGTGCCTGGCACCTCTCACGGTGGCCTCATCCAGCCCCCAGACCCTCTGCACAGGGCGAAGCCAGTGAGCATGATTTTTTGTAGACCCTCAGTTCGATAAACGGAGGCTAGAGCTTTCCCTGTATGGAGTGGGCTGCCTTGAAACAGGTGGTAGCGAGACCCCCAACACAAGAAGCTGCCAGGCCCGAGCTGCAGGTGCACATGGCCGGGATGTCATGGAATGTTCTCCAAGATTCTCAGCTCTCAAAGGACCTCTGAGGTGCAAATGGTATCACCCAGCATCGGGGACAGGCAGAAGGACAAAGAGACACGGAGCGGGGGTGCTCAGCCAGCTCTGTCAGGGCAGAGGGCCAAGTGCTGAGGCTGTGTGCACAAAGCAGGTCACGGAGCGGTTGTGTGGCCCCATCTGGTGAGCGGCTGAGGCCCACAACAAGCCCCGGCAGATGAAGGGTTCACTGCTGAGGCCCCATCAGCCCACCTCAGCCCCCTCAACCTGGAGACAGGGCAGCTCCATAAATGTCCCTGGCCTCTGGCTGCCGGCAATACCCTAAAAAGGACCCTGGGGCAGAGCCCTGGCCTTTGAAGGGAGGAAGCTGGACCACCACTGCCACCCAGAGGCTGGCTGGGAGCCAGGCCGCCGGCTCAAGGACGGCCCTAGAACCAGCCAGCCAGTCCAGCAGGCCCTGCAGAGGGGGCGTGTGCCTGAGCCCGGCAATTCCCTCCACAGGCCCAGGGAGTTTTCAGGTCACTCCCTGAGGCCCAGAGAGGGCACAGAGATGCCCAAGGGCCCCGAGAGCCAGCGGCAGGCAGCACAGGCTCCCGAGCCTTTGCCCACTCCTCCGAGCTCACAGGTGCCCCTCCCGGGACTTGCAGCCTCAGTCAGGAAGGGGACCAGGATCCTAGGAGGCTCCCCAGCCATGTCGGGCCATGCCGGGCCCCAGCTCCCTCCATCATCCCCCAGCATCCCAGGCTTGCACATGGTTCTCTCCTCAGACCTGGGCTTCCTGGTCACACCCAGCAGACTGCCTGCCAGGTGACACCAGCTGCCTCCCAGACCCGCACCAAGGCCAGGCCTGGCCTGTTAGTTGCTTTTCCCCAGGATAATAATAATAAAGCATCATAAAAACAGGCCAGGCACGGTGGCCCATGCCTGTAATCTCAGTGCTTTGGAAGGCCGAGATGGGAGGATCACTTGAGGCCGGAGTTCAAGGCCAGACTGAGCAATATAGCGAGACCACCAACCCACTTGCTCTACAAAAAATTTAAAAATTATCAAGGTGTGGTGCTGTGCACCTATAGTCTCAGCTACTCGGGAGGCTGAGGCAGGAGAATCGCTTGAGCCCAGGAGGTCGAGGCTGCAGTGAGATATGATCACGCCACTCTGCACCACTCCTGCCTGGGAGACAGAGACCCTGTCTAAAAAAAAACCTTTAAAAAGTCATAAAAACAAAAGCATAACCCAGCCCCCAAAGCATGGGCTGGATGGGACAGACAAGTGTGAGGGAAAAGTTGTCTCCCACACAGCAGCTGAGCCCCTCAAGACCCTCGGCTGCTCCGGATACGCTCTCACTGGCTCTCCCGCGCCCTACAAACCTCTCAGCAGGTCCCCAATGCTGCAGCCCAGTGAGACCTGCCGCTCAACAACCTCCGGGGAATACCAGCGCGTCCAGTCCCAACTGTCTGCAGCGAGGCTGCCTGCTTTCAACCACACCCGAACAGCTTCACAGAGGACAACATTGAGGCCTGTGAGGGAAAGTGACCAAGTGCCCAGGCCAAGCCCACAGAGATTGTGTCCAGCATGGGGAGGGGAGCAATGGGCAGCTCTCTGGGGCTCCCTCCCAGGCTCTGCCACAGGGTGTGGCCTGGTTACACACACCGCTGCCCTTCAGAGGCAGGTGTCCTGCCAAGACATCACCTGGGAGGAGGAACCATGACTGAGGATGTCCCTGCAGCCTCCACCCCTCCAGGCCACACTCAGGACTTGAGTGCCCTCTCCCGCCGCAGCCCCTGACCTGCTTCCAGGCTCAACGACCAGTACTGTCACGCGGGGTTCCTCGTCTCCCAGCCCTGAGCCTCAGCTGTGCCCAGCGCCCCACAGAGCCTCGTCCTCAACTGTAAAACGATGGAAGGACCACCCGGGGGGAGCCACTGGGGCCGCCTCCCTGCACAGTTCCATGGGAGGGGATCTGGGGCCATCACTGCATGTCCTGAGCCCTACACAGGCCCTGGCACAGAGGAAGTACCGGTGCGAAGTTTCCTCCCTCCTGCAGTCTCAGAGCCAAGAAAGCCAGGCTGAAAGGGACCTAAGAAACACCGGGGATGGAAATGCCTGTCACATGTGTTCATCAAATGGGAAATTGAGGCCCAGAGAGGGGATACGGCCTGGTGCTTGAGACACAGCTGTGGTGCATCCCTGTCTCCTGGAGCCTCCTTTCATCAAACACACAGGTCCCTAGGTCTGTGATGGTCCATGCTCTGCCCTGGGTCCCAGGGAGGCCGGAGCGGGCTGGGGGTCCAGCATGAGGGCTGGGGGATCTGTGGATCCAGCCGGCAGGGCTGCGTGTCCCACCAGCAGCAGCTATGCAGACAGGAAGGAGGAGACAAGGGCCTCATCACTGACAACCATGGCAGTCACTGTGCTGTCGCTCACAGCCTAGGAGGTGGGGTATGTTCCCCTCTACAGGAAGAGGCAGGCCCGAGGCCACCCATCCGCAGGGAGCAGAGCTGGGGAGGGGACTCTGGCTGGCAGGGCCCAGAAACCTAAACCATTACCACTCAGGTTCCCCACGCTGACACACGCCAACGTGCATGCTCAGAACCACACAGGCCCTCCCAGGTGCAGCATGCATTATCACTATTATTCCAGTTCTAATTCTGTAATCGTCCTGGAGAAAATGTCAGTTCTTCTCTTCCTTTTCTCACTTGTCCCATGGACACCCTGCCATCGGGGCAACATCAGGTGGCTGATAGAATGATGGGAGGGTGTGGGTTGGGGAGGCAACCTGCAGTGTTTCTAGATGAATACTTACACTTCAACTTCACCAAAAAAGTAATCATAACAAAAACAATATGATTCCCTACCACAGACCACCACCGCCAGATGGCAGCTGTCTGAGACCACAGAGGGGGCTGTGTCCTCAGCCAGGGAGGTCACACAGACAGACAGCCCCCCGCAGCCCTTAAATGACAACCTGAAGCCAGCTGGGCACCTGCCCAAATCTGGCCAGGAGCTGGCATTGGCAGTCCCTTCTCCAGAAGGTGTCGCAGCAGGACCACCTGCCCGTCCTTCACCACAGGTCAGCTGAGCTGCAATCCCCGGGAAGGCCCTGAATCCCAGGTATGCTGGAGGGAGCGGAGAGTGGACCCCTGCCCAGAAGGGAAGGTGAGAGAAGGGGCAGAGGGCAGAGAGGGCAGGAGACCCCTGGCTGCCCCCTTACAAAGCAAGGAAACTTGGAGGCAATGACTCCAATCCCTTTCATTTTGCAAATGAGGAAGGGAACATCAGAGAGGGTAAATGACTTACCCAAGGTCACACAGTGACAGAGTGAAAATTATGCCCAGAGATTCCATCCACCAGACCAGGGCTTTTGATGGGCACTTAGCTCCCCCACTATCTAATTGCTAATAGGAGAGAAAGCCCAAAGTTTTGCTACTAGAAAGGTTGCAGGCATCATCCATCCCCTTACCCAAAATCTATTCATCCGGACATCTTCCTGTCCCACCACGCATCCCCCTATCTATTCATCCATCCATTCCTCCATCCACATATGCATCTATATCCATCCTCCCACCAACTCATCCATCCATCCATCCTCCCATCCACCCACCCATCCATCCATCCATCCACCACTCAACCTATTCATGCATCCATCTACCCAGCCACCCACCCATTCATCCATCTACCCATTTATCTGGCCACCCACCTCATCCATCCATCCACCCCTTCCTCATCTGCCCACCCATCCATCCAATCACCCTCCAATCCATCCACCCATTCATCCATCCACCCACACATCCATCCTCCCATCCATCTACCCACCCATGCATCTACCCACCCATCCGTCCTCTCACCTATCCATCTATACATGTACCCATCCATCTACCCATTTATCCACCCACCCATCCACCCATCCATCCATCCACCCTTTCATCATTTACCCACCCACCCACCTATTCATCCACCCCTCCATCCATCCACCACTCATCCACTCTCTCTCAGGGCCATCTATTCATCCAAGATTTGCTGAGCATGTATCTATGTGCTCCTGGCTATGCACTCAACAAGAGCAATATGCCATTATAACTGGAAAAGACCCCAAAACTCATCTGCCCTTTATGCATATGAGGTAGTAGGATTAGGAGGGAGCAGAAAATAAGAGGGAACAAATCATTCTTAAAAACAATGACTCTCCTGCCACTCCCATCCCACCACCCTCTCCAAGCTCCTCACTCTGTCACTCTACCCTGGACACGCAGCCTGCACTTGCCAAATTGCACGTGTCCCATTTCCCCATCCCCACCACCATTTTACCCACCAGGGTGAGGTGCAAGCCCTGGACCTTTACTTCCTCCCCTACCTCAGGCTGTAGCCAAAACCAAGTGGCCCTGGTTCTGCCTTCCATGCCTAACAAGACCCTAAGGAGCAGGCAGATAAGTCAGGTCCTCGCCCGCACACCTGCCTCCTGGTGTGGGCACCATGGGCCACACACGTGCTGTCTGGGTCCTCACCCTGTCCCTGCCATGAACCCTCTCTGGACCTCAGTCTGCCCACCTGTGCAAGGTGACACTAGGACTAGAGAGGTTCCAGGACCCAGGGTGCCCTGACTCACCAGGGCAGCCCGGGGAGGGGACCGGAAGCATGAGGTGGGAGTGGGGCCACGATGAGTGCACGGTGCTGGCATAGGGTCGGCCTCCCAGGCTGCACTGTCAGTCAGCCCTGCTCTGAGCCAGCATCTCAGACCCTGGAGACCGTTCCCCAGCTCCCCCTGATGACTCACCCCATCAACACCTGATGAGTCACACTGCTGGCAACAGGGGGCCCTGCTCCAGCCAACCCCACACTGAGGACTCAGCCCAGCCCTGGCACAGCCTGAGTGATCACTGCCCCTGCCAGGGAGAGAAGCCCTGGAGGAGGAGGCAGGTGAGGCTCAGCTCTGAGGGGCTCTGGAGCCAAGGCCTGGAGAAGCCCATCCTCGACATTTTTGACAGTGAGGCCACCGCGGCCCTGAGAGGGGCACTGGCTTGCCCAAAGCCACACAGCTCACCAGGGGCAGTGAGGGTGGGACCTCGGCATGGCTCCTCAGCACAGCTTCGCTGCCTCTGCCTGCTCTGTTCCCTCCCACCACGTGGGGCTCACGCCACCAGAGCCCAAGGCGGGGCAAAGGCCCCTGTCCTGGCCATACTCATGCCCACCTCGGGCTCTCGGTCCCCTCCTCACCCTCCCCAGAAGAGAAGAGGCTCTGCCCACGCAGGTTGAAGGCCCAGCCACTCCCCCACATGGGTGTTTCGCTGCCCCTGCCAGGGGAGCCAAGGTTCTGAGAGACTCTAATCACTTGCCCAAGATCTTAGGATAGGAACTGATGTGGCCGTATTGAGAGCCAGTGGGTCCGTCTGCCCACAGCACCCACCACTCCCATGGCCCCTCCCTCTGCTCTGGAGCACACGGGGCTCCAGTTTGAAGGCCCAAGGGGCCCTGAGATGCTGTCGATTTTTGTGTGGCCTCTGGATGGGACAGGGCCCTAAGCACGGCCATCTGCACAGTTCACCCTCACTCACTCATTCACACAGCAAGTGTCTAGTGAGCACCCACCCTGTCTGAGCATTAGGGCTGGGGGGAGAGGGCCACATGTCCACTCTCCCAGACCCTACAGGCCACAGAATGAGGGCCCCCATCCTCAGCTACGAGGAAGCCTGCCTGACTGCCTCTGACCCCACCCCAACCTGGGCCTTCCCAGCTGTGAGCCCTGTCTGGGCCCTGTCCACACCTCCAGTAGGTACCTTCAGCACCAGCTGACTGCCCGCCGCGATCCAGCCCACTCCTGTGACCAGGAGTAGGGCCAGCCTCACAGCAGGCACTTGGCCAGCACAGCTGAGTGCATGAGAGTAGGAATAAAGCATTGGGAATCTGTTCCTGTCATTTCACCAGACCAACCAAGGACGCCGCAAGCAGAGCCTGCACCCTATGCTAGGGAACAGAGACAAAGACAGCAAGGCTCTGTCCCGCAGGAGAAACGGGAGACGCCTCCTTAGAGCACGTGGAGAGGCCTTGTCCTGGGCGCTGGCGGAAGCCAGGCTGTGGCCGAGGGAACAGCAGGGGCTGGAGTGAGAAGATCTGACGGCAAGCTGGGAGGGAAGGTCAGGGCCAGGGGCCTGCAGGAGCTGTCCTCGAACAGCCTGGGGATTGGGGGATCCAATCAGCACTTTATGGGTGTTCAGACATGAGATCAGAACTCAGAATCTCACCAGGCCCCTGCGGCCCCATAGCGATGCCAAGAATGGCAGCCAGGCCTGCCTGGGCATCTCCAGGGAAGGTGCTCACTCCCCCGGGTAGTAGAAAGAGCACCCCTGCCACCAGCAGCATGGAGAAACACAGCACCTTGTCCATTCCAGGATTTGCTCTGCCTCCTGGGGACAGAGGGTCAGGCCATGACCTGGGCACCGTCACCAAGGAGCTCACGGCCACGTGGAGAGCAGGTTTCAGGGCCTGGCAGCTGTGGACATGGTGTGAGACGGTGTAGGAGTGCCAGCTGCTATGAGGCCGCGGAATCCAGGGCCTGCTCTTGGGACCCTTGAGCTCTGCAGATGCGTGCCTGTCCACCGGTCAGCAGCTGGCCCCTGCTGAGAGAACCCATCCACGACCTCCGCCAGGGAGCCAACTTGCAGCGGGCCAGTTAGGCCTGTTGGTGCTGGGTGAGCAAAGATGGAACAATGTTGGCAGAGGCCCCGTGGTGCTAGGTGAGCAAAGATGGAACAATGGGACCTTGGGGAAGGGCGGCACTGGCCCAGCTGAGGATGCCAGGCAGAGTCAGGTGAGTGGGGCAGGAGCGCCAGCTGGGAACTGGCTCTTCTCAGGCTGCAGTGATGTGCACACAGCCAGGCCCATGGCCCAGGCCCACGCACACACAGCCCCCAGGACGTGGCAGCCACAAGCTGAGAGCTTGGACCCAGTACCTGTAGAACCGGGCCACGTGTGCTCCGGGCGGGGCCTTCACAGCTGCAGCAGCCCCAGTGGCCTCAGTGCTCAGCCCTCCCATCAGCAGCCTCCCCTGGGTGGGCTCTTATTGGCCCCACCTCCTCTGGGCCTGGACTTAAGGCTCATGTGATGGGCCAGCACAATGCCCAGACCCCAAGGCACTAGGACCCAAATCCTCCCCAAAGAACCCCAGGTCAGAATGGCCACATCAGCCCTGGCACCAGGGGCCTCCAAATAGACCTTCACAGGGCCCTGCACAAGCCCCTCAGGCTGGGACCCAAGAGCAGATTGGTGTGAGCAGTGGCACCGGAGAGGTTCCGTCACCACCCGAATGACAGTCGTAAGGACAGTGAGCATCAAGACTGACCAGGTGATGGGAGTGGTGGCCACTCAGTGACGGCCGATGACAATGGAGTGGTGACAGTGATGGAGATGCAGTGATGGCGAGGGTGACGTGGTGATCTGATGACAATGGCAGTGACGATCATGGAGGCAGTGATGGGGACAGCAATGAGGACATCGATGGTGAAGACAAGAGTGACAGCGGTGATGAGGTGATAGTGACGTTGCAGTGAAGATCGGGGCCCTGCCAGAGACAGAGGGGTGGTGGCGGTGGGGACGGCGTGGGTGGTGCTCACGGTAGCGGGGCTCCCCATGGCCTGCGGAGGAGGGAGGTGCCCCTGACCCTCTGGCAGCAGCAAGGGCTGGGAGGAAGCTGGAGGAGCCCCACCCTGGACAGATGCGTCTCCTGCCGCTGCCTCCGCAGTTCCGTTCTCACCTCCCCTGCTTCCCTTAATCTATGTTATTATCTAATTCACAATATCAGTGTTTTAATACTTAAAGTGGATTTGAATTAGCATAACTGGCCCTAAGTGGAAATAAATTAATGTTAGTGCATATGAAGTTTCTCCAGACAATTAGAACTCGAACTAAATTAAATTAATGTCTCTAATCTTCCTTATTCTTACTTCAGAGCCTTAGTTTCCAGATGGTACAGGGTCTCTGGTGGAGCAGAGACCCACCTAGGCCAGGAGGAAGCTGGCCCAGCACCACCCTGCCCACAGCCTCGCAGAGACGCTGGGAGGCCAGGAGTCGGAAGGGAAACTGAGGTTCCGAGGGGCGATGCGCGGGCCACGGGCATGCGGTGGGAAGCTGCTGGGCAAGGCTGAGCATGGTGTTCGGGTGGCTTTGGGCCTCTCAAGAGAGGGGCGACCTCAGGAGCCCCAGCCTGGAGGGAGAGTGACCCCAGGGGTCGGCAGTGTGAGTCGCCGCTGTGGACACTTGAGGGCGGATTTTCAGTGCCTTGGACTGAATTTTGAGAGGGGTCTTGAGGCAGCCACTCTGCACTAGACACCGACATCCATTTCCGTTTTCTCCCCAACAACCTCAAAAGGCAAAGGCCCTAATCCCTACCCCACACCTAGAAAAACCAGGTCTGAGCCTGAGGCCACCGAGGGGTGAGGGGCTAGCAGGTACTCCAACCAAGCTGCAGCGTTCAACCCAGCTCTCCACGGGCAGCGGCTGCCCTGTCTTGGTCAGCATCCGGGTCTGTTTCAGAAACTCCACCTGGACTCGCCACTGCCCCAGCCCAGTGAGGGCTGGCAGTGGAGATTGCTGTGTCCAGAGGCTGTCCGGGAGCTCCACGCCCCTGCAGGAGCCTGGGTGGACAGTTGGGCTGCCATGTGCTTGAGTTAGCCCTTCTGCCCCTCGAGGATCGTCCAGATGAAGCTGGGAGGCAGCTTACAGCCTCACTGTCCAGCCTTGGCCAGAGGGGCTCCGGGAGGGCCAGCGTCCACCCAGCCCCTCCTCAGAGGAGCGTCAGACACCCTTCTCAGCCCCCAGGAGTCACCGTGTTTCTCCCCTTAGTCCTCATCTCCTTACGATGGCTGTGGGGTCATCTGTGGTCCCCGTGCCCCATGATCTGACCCCATGCCTCCTCTGTGATTGGCTGCCAGGGAGCTCGGTGCCAACCTGCCTGCCCCTAACAAATGTACAGGGCCTCAGGATGTCTTCCTCTGCTCAGTTCCTCCCTGGCTGGGCTGTCTCTGACCCCCACTTTGCAGCTGAGGACATTTCAGGTTCAAAGACATGAACTGACTTGCTCAAGGTCACATAGAGAGAGACAGGGTTGGGCCCAAACCAGGCTCTCCCGACCCCACCTATGCATTCTCTAGCTCACCCCTGGGAGGCAGCTCCTACAGGAGAGGCCCTGCCAAGGGTCTCCCAGGTGGGCAGCTGTCATGGTGGCATGTCTTTGCTGCGAGGACTGCGTGGGGCATCATGGTGACAGGGGACTCTTTAAGATTCCCCCTCACTTCCCAGATAGGAAAACAGTTCCTGGAGTGAGCCCCACACTGGTGTGGCAGCCAGGAACATGCAGGGCTGGTACCCGCAGGTGCCACCCCCAGCACTCCATCTTGGATGAGCAAACACTTCTGGCAACAAAGGTGAACACCCCCCACCAGCATCCCGGGGTGCGCACCACCCTCGGCACCTGAAGGCCCTCGCCTCCTTCCACAGCCCTGGAGTTGACGTCTTTGCCCAATCCCCACCAGCATCCCTGGGTGCGCACCACCCTCGGCACCTGAAGGCCCCTCGCCTCCTTCCACAGCCCTGGTGTTGACGTCTTTGCCCAATCCCCACCAGCGCTCCGGGGCGCCCACCACCCTCGGCACCTGAAGGCCCCTCGCCTCCTTCCACAGCCCTGGTGTTGACGTCTTTGCCCAATCCCCACCAGCGCTCCGGGGCGCCCACCACCCTCGGCACCTGAAGGCCCTCGCCTCCTTCCACAGCCCTGGTGTTGACGTCTTTGCCCAATCCCCACCAGCATCCCGGGGTGCGCACCACCCTCGGCACCTGAAGGCCCCTCGCCTCCTTCCACAGCCCTGGTGTTGACGTCTTTGCCCAATCCCCACCAGCGCTCCGGGGCGCCCACCACCCTCGGCACCTGAAGGCCCTCGCCTCCTTCCACAGCCTTCGTGATGACGTCTTTTCCCAGGATTGCTTTTCTCAGTGGGAGTCTAAGAGAGAAACGTCAACTGAATGACTTTTGCCAGAAAGGACATAACCCAGATGCCTCCTGGCCCCCCAGTTCCCCATGCCTCATCCACTCAAAGTCTTGGCTCGGCAACTGCCCCTCAGTGGGGACTCGCTAGGCAGTGCTCCTTCTGTGGCGCCACAGTGGCTGCTAGGTGGCTCTGGCCCTCTCTTGGGAGGGGTCCTGGAGGAGACAAGGGGACAGACATGCCCACCACAGCACCATGGTGTCCTCTCTGCAGTGTCAGCACACAACAGCAGCCTGGCACTCCCTGAACCGCACAGCGCCAGGACCCTGAGGAAGATGCCCATGTCCATTTTCCCTGCCAGCCGCTCTCCTGTGTCCTCCCCTGGGCATGTGGCTTCAAGCTGGTTTCTCCAAAGTCCTGCCTCCCTGTCCTAGTGCCCAAAAGCTGATGGTACCCACACACCCCAGTTTGTCAAACTAATAGCAAGGAGCCTCTGAGCCTGGCAGAGGGTCTGCTCCCCATCCCCTGGGAATTACTCTTTGATTAGCCAACTGATCTGATATTGACTCCTGTATGAGAAGCAGCTGGGAGGCTGGGGAGCCCCAGGTCACCACTGCAGTGTGGAGAGGCCTCCATGAGACACCCAGCCTCTCCGCTGATGGACAGCCTAGTGCATGTCATCCTCGCTTGGAGGGGCAGGGATGTCAGGTAATCAAGGGCCTGAAGAACCATCACTAGGCCCACGCCAAAGACCCAGCCATCCCGGCTCTGTCCCCTCTTGCTGATGGCCTCAGGCCAGTCACTTCCATTCCCTGCGCCTCAGGGTCCCTTGTGTCAAACAGGGTGCCAATGCGGCCTCGGGGCTCAGCTGCATGGACTTGCATCCACCTGGGTAAAGCTCCTTGAAGCCAGAAGCTCCTCAGCAAATGCCAAGCTCCCCGCTTGCAGTGAGAGAAGAGCGCACTCCGTATTTCAATATCTGCACTGAAGCAACCCAGAGGCAGGCGTTAAAGGGCACCCGCCCTGGGCCCAACTCCCAGGGAGCCCTATTTTTGTGTTCAGTCATGGAACAACTGTTGCTCAGGGCCCCATCCTGTGCTAGCTGCACCCGGGGAAAGGGAGATGGCAAGGCCTGGCGCCCGCCCTCGGTAGTTCACGGTGCAGGAGCTGGTGGGGGAAGGCCATGACCACATGAGGAGTCACGCACAGGCTTCCAGGATGAGCAGCGTGCAACACCCCACGCAGGCAACCGCAGAGGAGAGAGGGGTGAGGAATCCTGCTCGGAGCCCTGGCAGACACCCTGAGAGATGCCACATGGCTTGGATTTTGAAGTATTAGAAAAGCATGCAGCAAAGCAGTACAGGGGTGGGGGATGAAGGTGGATGGAAGGATGGCCCGGGATGGGGAGCACCTCCTTAGCACAGGTCACACAGGAGGACATGGCGAGCATGCTCCCTGCCTTATCAGAGTCCCTCATGTCCCAGACCATTGTGAGTGGTTCAGGTGTGGACATGCCACCCAGCTTGGGCCAATTAGAAAGAGCTCCCTGGCTCCCTGGTTGCAGGGTGCTCTTTGTCTCTGGAGTTGGCACTGGGAAGATGTGGGCTGAAGTGGATGGGGCTGTATTGCTGCCACGTGGAGCCTGGGAAAGAATCCAGCCAGAAGGCAAGCAGAGGTCTGGTCCTGATGGCATCATTAGACCCCTGGATCCAGCCATACCTAAATCCCACATCCACACTGGCAGCACACGGGCCCTTCATGAGTTGGGCTCCCTGTCTCTCACACCCAAATAAAGCACCGTCTGGTTGTGGGGAAAGTGGAGATGGTGTGGCTTCAAGCCTGGCTCTGCCCTGTGGCCATGACCTTTAGCAAGCCACTGACCACGCCATCTGTGCTCCGTCCTCCCCGTCTATGAAGAGAGGCTGCTGCCACTCACTTCTCTGCAGGGTTAGTGCCCGAGAGGTGGGGCTTCAATACAATGATTGCTGTGAAAGTGATTTGCTACTTTCTCAATTGTTGTTACACGTGATGCCGTACTTGACTTATTCATTTGTTCTGACCTCTGCAGCAGGGAGCCTGACCTGCCTCCATCACTCCAGGGACACATACACCTACAGCCTGGTCCGTCTTCATCACCCCAGGGACACACACACCTACAGCCTGGTCTGCCTCCATCACCCCAGGGACACACACCTGCAGCCTGGTCTGCCTCCATCACCCCAGGGACACACACACCTGCAGCCTGGTCTGCCTCTGTCACCACAGGGACACACACCTGCAGCCTGGTCCACCTCCATCACCCCAGAGACACACACATCAGCAGCCTGGTCTGCCTTCCAGAACTCAAACCCAATGGGAACCCACTCGGGCTGTGAGGCAGGCTTGGGGACATTTTGGCAGGGAATCCCATGGTTGCTGGAGCATGGTCTGGAACTGGTATGAGCTGCAGGTGTGAATGTTTCATTGCCCGACAGCCTTTTCGTGTGGTTCTCAAAGATGCAGCACCTGTCCCTACCCAAATTTAAGGCATCCCAAAGTGAGCACCCTGAAGTCTTGGAAGCCTCCCCTTGCACCATCTGGTTGTGTTTGCCATGAGCCACATGTGTTGAGCCTGCTTGGTGCCAGCTGCATGCAGGACGCAGGTACTTGGCAGACCACACAGCCTCTGGCCTCCAGAGACTTCCAGGGGGTTCCGACCACAGAGCCCTTTGGGAATCCCAGGGTGTGGAGACAAAGGCGCAGATGGAGGCAGGCACCTCTGCCCGGGGGCCTCCGCAGCGCCTGCCCTTGCCACTTCCCCGAGAGGCTTTGCTTAACACCTCTTATATGTTGGAGTCTCATGCAAGATTTTCTTCCAGAAAAAGATTTGCACTGCTCTATAAAAAGTTAGAGAAACCACGGATCTGTGTAGACACATGGGATAAAATAGATAAGGCGGATAAAATGGCTGGGACAACGCGGATGAAAGGTGCCGGCCTTGTCGCACCCGTGGGAGGACAGAGGCTGCCGTGGCGAGGGATTGGAGGGACCCCGTTGGAGTCCTCCGTCCCCATGGCTCGGCACTCGGTAGGATAGATAAGCATTTAAAGAACGACTCTAAACCCACAGAGCAGGGGGCAAGGAATTCCTTTGATGGGGAAGAGGGAGGGCAAGGAGCATAGCCGGCGGGTCCACGTGGCAGAGAGCATTTTATTCCTGAACATGGAGCACGGGACACAGGGCACAACCACCTCACAGCAGCCTGAGGTGGAACAATGAGATGTTTCCAAGCAACACAGGAAACCAAGAGCCCGGGGTTCGTGACGCCTAGGAAATGCCGAAACAGCAGGGGCCAAACACACCCCACCCCCTGCAGGTCCCTGGTTCTCAGACCTCGGGTGCCTCTTCTACAGGCTAACGGGAGGCTCTCATCTCATTCCCAGAGCACCTGAGCTGCCGCAGCCTCGCTCTCCAAGCATTTTCCTTGTGCTCCCCCAAACATGTAAGTGCACTCCCGGCCTGTGCATATGTATTTGCGTACAGGTCGTATAACGTCGTGCCAGCGTTAGCTTCTAACCAAAGGCACATGCATGCTGAGGAAAAGATCAGCTGTTACTGACAGTGCATGTAGTTCATATCTCAAATGATTTTTTAATTATTTGGAATCACTTTGCCCATTTTTTCTGGGAGCTGGTCAGTTGTGATGTTTTGGATGGCATCTGCTGGCAGAGCTCTGGTGTCGGGATTGAGAGAAGCGTCACACCACTGCTCCCGGGCTTGTGGGGCGCTTGACCCTCTTCAGCCACAGTCTCTGGAGGTGCAGTAGTCAGGCAGGCTGGTTTACATGGCAGGAACAAACAGCACCCCCAAGCCTCAGGAGTTTCAACAACAAAGCTTAGTTTCTCACGCACACTGTGTGCCCACCAAGGGCTGCAGGAGCCTAGTGCAGTCTCTCCTCCCTGTGGTCATCCAGGAACCCAGTGGAAAGAGCAGCCCCATCTCCAATGCTGCCATGGACGGGGGAGGGGAGAGGGAGCCTGGAAGCCACGTGCCTGGGAGGGGAGGCACTTAAAGTTCCTCTAAGCAGCCCTGGTGACCTCCAGGGACACATTCCAGGGCGCCTGTCCATTCTGTGAGGTTGATGTGAAATATGGCTGGAGAAGTTGGCGAATAAATCCACAGCACTGGGCACTCATAAACTGCAAAAGGCGCAGTACACTGGAAGGGAAGGAGAGAGTGGGTGCTGTCCATTCCTCCGCACTGTGGACCCCACTCAGGGGTGCCCTAGGGTCCACAGTGCACGCCCCTCCGACATCAGGCAGGAGCGAGGGCCAGGGCACTCCCTGCCTCAATGCTACCACCGCAGTTCCACAGTGCACAGAAAAACCACCCTACACAGAAGCTCTCACCCGCTCCCTGCTCTCTGATGGGCGATCCTGCACACCCCCATGACCACGCAAGCCACTTGAAGACCACTGCTCCCCAGGAGGGGGCCACACCCACTGTGGGAGCCGGGCAGTGAGTCAGGGGGACACACCTCCAACTGAAGCTGTCAGGAATCCTTCGAGCAGCCATTCCCAAGGGGCCATACCTGATGGCTCCCACCAGCCCCCTGCCCGTTGCCTGGTCAATACCTCTTCATCCAATTAAATGAGAGTCCAGAAACCAGGGACACAGTGGATGCTAAGCGATCTGGGCATCTCAGGGGATGTGCCGAGTGCCCAGCAAACAGTGTGTGACGCTTTCTGCCTGAGCGTTCACAGAGCAGGGCTGCGAGGCCAGCGGGGCAGCAGGAATAAAGCCTGTCTATAACCAGCCTTTCCTTGGGGGACAGGAGGACGGGAGACCCCGTGGGTGTTGGGGACACAGAGAGCTGGGCTCTGTTACAGCCCAGCTCTTACAAACAAACCACAGCCCTGCCCTTGGAGGAGAAGGGCATCTCCCCAAAGCACCTCTGGACCGAGCGGCACCCCCAGGCTGGACCACGCCTGATTCTGCGGGAGGTGCCCCCACCTCACCTGCCCAGGATCTCAGCTGGAGTTGGGATATCGCAGAGGCGTGCATTCCCAATGTTTGTTTCTAGCCACCTGAAGAGTTTCTTACAAGTCAGGGCATTATAACAGAAGAAATGAATTCATCAGGAACTATTTGATCCACGGCGGAACAGCAAGCATTGCAGTTTTATAGAGTCATTCATTGTTAGTATACAGGATTGACTACAAAATAATGAGGAATCTCTTTACCCCCCCTCAAGATTGTTGGAAACCATGACAACCACTTTTGAAAACCTGGAGGTCCTCTTACAATGTCCTCCCAATTCTCTGCCCTCCCTGGAGCCTGTGGAGGTCCTCAGACCCATTCCATGAGCCTCGCAGGCCTGTCCGACCCCAGGGCCTGGAAGCCAATGTGGTCAGGAGCAGGGTCTCCTCTCCAGGCACACTTGAAGCTGAGCCAAGCCTGCCCCACTTCACGGCTTCTCTCTGATGATCCCCTGCTCCTGACTCCGACACCGGCTGCTTCCCAGAAAAGGCTGGATCCCCCTCTCCTCTGTCCTTGTCCACTCTGGCTGTACCATGGTCACAGCGGAGAGGTCACAGGTCACCCTGGGCCCCGGGGAGGGGGAGGAGAGCAGCTCCCATGATGAATACAGCCCCTGGGCTGGGGGTGGAGGGGAGCAGGAGGCCTTTCCTGTCGCTCCTCCCTGGCCTCTCTGATGTTGAGTCATCTCGGCCTCTCAACCTGCTGCCACTAAAACAGCTGTTTAGTTCTTGATCAGACTTTGGGGCCCCAAACTGGTTTGATTAAAATGTAACACCTCCCTCCCCCTGCTCCAAGGAAGAAGGCCTGAGATTTCTGGCTCAACAAAGCCAACTTCAACCCGTCTCAGGTCCTGCAGCATGTGGCTGGGGACTGCTCCATCACCACGGTGCTTATAAGAGGAAGAGTTCCCATGACCTGCAGATGGAAAGGAGGCCCAGAGAGGGGCAGCCACTAGCCCATGATCACACAGCTCATGGGGGACACATCCGTCCGCTTCGACTGTGCACACCACGCCTCCACCACTGGAACCAGCAGGCGCCTTCCTTCCATCTGGAAGCAGGGAGCACTCGAGGCAACCGAGACACAGACGGGGACAGATGAGGGAGCTGAGGTCACTCAGGCCTGTGCTGTCAAGACAGCAAGGCTCTGTTCCAGACAGGAAGCAACATTTGGCTAGGTCAAGTGGCCAAAACCAGTGACCAAACACACTTAGAGCTATTCGATTCCTAGAAGAACACGGAGGAGTGACTCAGCCAAATCAAATGGAAAATGCATTCATTTGTTCAGCTGCAGAGATCTGGGGTCTTATGATGACTTTTTCTGTGGGGAATACGCATGTAGTATGGGGGCCCAGGCCCCCCAGCCCTGGCCAAGGAACTACAGATGTTGTGAAGACAACACTCGTTCAGTGTGGCCACCAAACCCCACGGGTCCCAGCTGAGCCACCAAATGGGTGGTGGTCCCAGCGTGGCCACCAAACTCCATGGGTCTCCACCTTCTCCTCCCAGCCCACTCTCCCCATGGCCTGTGGGTCAGGGGAGGGAAAGGCCCTCTTCCGAGTTTCCCCCCACAGGCAAGATCTAGGCTTGCCAGATTCATCAACTAAAATTACAGGAATTTAGATTTTTGAATTTCAGATAAACAACGAATTATTTAGTGTAAGTATGTCTCAAATACTGGATGAGATATACTTATGCTGAAAAAATATTCATTAATTATCTGAAATTCTAACGTGACCAAGCATCCCTCATTTTACCTGCCAACTCTAGAAGGCGCACTAGGGTGATTGTGGCTAATTCCAGGCCACTCCCAGGACTGCCATGCTCTCCAAAGCCCTGCCCATGGGGTGAGCTGTCCCTTCTCCCAGGGGTCCCCAGCCCCAAGGCCACAGGCATGGAGCTGCCAGTGGCCTGTTAGGAACCAGGCCACACAGCAGGCAGTGAGCAGTGGACAAGTGAGCATTACTGCCTGAGCTCCACCTCCTGTCAGGTCAGTGGCATTAGATCCTCACTGGAGCTTGAACGCTGTTGTGAACTGCGTGTGCAAGGGATCTAGGTTGCTCGCTCCTTATGAAAATCTAATGCCTGATGATCTAAGATGAAACAGTGTCATGCTGAAACCGTCCCCTACCCCGTCCGTGGAAAAATTATCT
Organism: Homo sapiens; assembly: GCF_000001405.40. Classification (NCBI taxonomy): domain Eukaryota; kingdom Metazoa; phylum Chordata; class Mammalia; order Primates; family Hominidae; genus Homo; species Homo sapiens. The sequence continues at coordinate 141,612,838 of NC_000008.11, read as the reverse complement.
TCCATGAAACTGGTCCCTGGTGCCAAAAAGGTTGGGCCACTGTGTTCTGCTCCCTGCTGAGTAGGCTGGGCTGCCTCGTGCTTGGCTGGAGACATCTTACTCACAGCTCAGCCTCTCCTTCCGCTCCTCTTTCCAGTCCCAGCTCAGAAGACATCCCCAGGCACACAGCAGGTACTCAGTTACTACCTGTTGGGTTGAGCAGATAAAGAGTCAGACGCCAGAACCCAGCTAGCTGTGAAGCTGAGAGCTGGCCAGGAGCAGGGAGGCTGTCCTGAACCCTGGGCACAGCCCGCCCCTCAGTTCCCCAGTTAGCCCGTGGCCCCGGGTGTGGGCACCAGCGTTGCTCACCATAGTGATGCCTGACCTCTCCTTGCTGACTGTTCCCTGCCAATGTGCACCAGGAGGAGCTCAGAGGGGAGGGAGTGAGGACAGCACATCAGGGGCCAGGCTTCCGCACCCCAGGCACCAGCTCTGTCCCCTCAGCCTCTCTCCATCCTCCCTGACAAGTGCCCCAGGGCATCCAAAAGCTGCAGCCCTCCGGCTCTCTCCTGGCCCCTGCTAGGGTGATGAGTGAGGCTGGGCATCTCCAGCCCAGACAGGGCCACAGGTTGGCTACAGAGTAGAGATGCCCACGAGGGGCTGATCCGAGGCTGGGAGGGTAGCAGCGATGCCATGGCCCCAGGCAGCACTTGAAGGTGGCCAGATGCCCGTGGAGCCTGGGGCAGCACCAAGGCGGATGTGGGACCCTCAGGGTGAGCCACAGCTCTCGTAGCCAGGCCAGCGCTGAGCAAGTGCAGGCTGGAGGGCTCCAGCTGGGGACAGCAGGGATGGGGCATTGGGGATGGCACCCAGCAGTTCTCACAGGCCTCCCCAGTCTCTCCTTGCTGCCCTCCAGCAGGGTGAGCCCCCCAGATGTGGCTCACAGTGCCACTCCCTGCTCAGCCTTCCACGACACCTCCACACCAGTGGGACGCCTACCCTGTGACAGTGGAGCCCACCTCTCTTCCTGCTGGGCTGAGGGGCCACCCACCGGGAAGGCTAAAGTCCTTACCCAGAAGTACAAATCACTCAGAGCCCTGAGTTACCTTTCCACTGATGCCATTTGCTCTGTTTTTAATAAGATGTCAGGCCTCCCACTGCCAGGAGAAAATCTCATGTTCTGAGCAGCGGGGATCCGGCAGCCCTGATCTGTTTTACGGCTGAGTTGAATGCAACCTGAAAAGGAAGTAGAGACGATGGGGGCTGAGGAGTGGGCTTGGAGGTCAGGAGGCATCCCTGGAATTTAGGAAGCAGGCCAGGCACAGGCAAGACACAGCTCCTGGGCTCAAAGCAACCGATTCACAAACTTTGCTCTTGAAGTTTGTGTTAAAATGGCATCACTTGCTGGGGCCCCTGGATGAAGAGGACGGGCTCTCGGAAGGCGGCAAGCAGTCAGCATGTGACATCAGCAGTACGAGGGGCCCTAGTGTGCGCCAGCGTGATAGGGATGCAGGATGAGAGACAGGCACCACTGGGACCCCTGCATGCCCCAGAGCCAACGGCCCCTGGAGCATAAGGAGACAGGGAAGCGCCTGGCGGACGCAGCCCCAGGCCCCAGCCCGGGACCCTCTGCAGAGCTCGGCTATCCTGCCACAGGAGCTGGACTCGGAGTGAGGCCGGTGATGGCAACCACTGGTTGGTGCTCACTGCGGTGCTTTAGGCTAGGAAAAGACTGCCAATTTTCTGGTGCCACGTCCTCGTGCAGAGAGGGAGGGTGGGTGTAGACGGCAAGCGATTTTTCTGCTGTCACACGCTCGGCCTCTCTGAGACCACCCTCTGATGTGAGCCTCTTGGTCTCTTCAGGGCACCATGGATGGGCAAACAATGCCTTCTGGACTCCTCCACCTGGAAGTCCTAAAGCGTCCCAAGCTCAGCACGTCCAAACCCAAACCCAGTGTCTTCACCCATGTGGGTTTTGCCGTGGTTTTCTATTGCTGTGTAGCAGATCGCCCTATACTTAGTGTCTTAAAACAACATCCTTTTTAGCTCCGGTCTTTCTTGCCATATGAGTTCAGCTGGGCTCTGCTCAGGGTCCCATGGGCCAAAATCAAGGTGTGGTGGGGCTGGACTCCAACCTGGAGGCTCCGGGAGGAATCTTTGCCCAGGCTCACTCGGGCACTGGCAGAATCCGGGTCCTTGAGGTTACAGGCCTGACACCCCTGTTTCCTTGCTGGCGTCCACGGAGGCTGCTCTCTGCCCTAGGGCCCCCATTCCTCCTTGGGTGACCCCTCCACCTGCCAGTCAGCCACATGCACTGCATCCTCCTCCAGCTTCAGTCTCTCTTCCTCTCCTGCTCCCTGCCAGAGAGCATTCTCCAACTAGGGGATCACCAATGACATTGGGCCCCCAGGACAGTTCAGGCTCTGGTCCCTATCCCAAAGTCAGTTGTGCCCAGAGGGGCCAACAGGGCGAGGTGGGCATGTGTGCACAGGGCACCACGTGCCCCACGGAGCCAGATACAAGACTAAGCTGCGTGCCAACCATGACGTCAGCTGCGTAGGTTCAACCTGTGGAAGAAGAAACAAAAGATCAGAGTGGTGAAGGGGCTTGCCAAGGCCACATGGCCAGGAGATGGCAGGGCCAGTTTTGGAGACACTGTTTAATATATGTCTGGGGAACAGTGGCGTGACTTGGCACTGTGTTGAGGCATCAAATGAATGATATCTGGGGAGAGAAAGGCAGGCCCTAGGGACAGGTCCTGCAGGGCACCGGGGCAGTCTCACCATATCTCAACCCGGGTCCCTGTGCTCACTGGGGCCATCTCTTCTCTTCTGCAAGAGCAGAGCCTCGCCCAGGGCAGGAGCAGAGGGAGGAGGCGGGCACTGCCGGCGTTCTGGGCTGAGAGGGGTGGGGCCAGATGTCCAGGACCCGCCGGTGGGTCTGTTCACACCGTGACCTTCAGCAGCATCACAACACTCTTTCATGTTTGAAAAGTATAATTGTCACAAGCTAATCATTTGTGAGTTATTGAGTGAATTAAAGATAGATGAATCCTAGCTCTGAAGCCTGGCAAAGCTGTGCAGAGCCTGGCTGGCGTGCCGCTCAGCATCTTTGTTGCTCCTTGCAGGATGGTGTGGTTCCGGCTTAGACCCCCTCTCGGAGCCTGACGTGGCCTCCAGCCCCCTCACGCTGGACTCAGAGCCACTGGCAACCTGGAGACTCATGGCTGCCCATCGGGAGCCACCAGGGATCCCGGTCATTACAGCATGTCTTGAAACCACCTTCCCCTGGCCCTCGGCTAGAAGAAAAGGAGCTGGTAGGGGAAGGCAGGGACATTTTAAATAAAAACAAAAGAGATGACATAATTTACTACTCCGGAACAACTAACTTCTTGCTGGCATCTGCTCAGAAAATGTAGTCCCAGCTGCTGGAGCTAATTACCCTACCAGCGCAAGAGAGCTGGATAAACGGGCCTGCTGGTGGAGGCGGCAGGGCAGGGCCCCCGGCCGTCACCCACCCCAGGCATCGGATTCTGCAGGTGCCTAAGCAAAGCTGTGGTGACTAACGGGCCCCACACTGTGGCCGGTCTGTACGGCCTCCTCCGGGGCAGCCCCACCTTGGGAAGGAAGCTGGAGCCCCCAGACTCTACTAACTCCACCACCACCTCCCCCCAACCCCCCAGCACAGCCCGGCTTGCCCCCAGCCCCCACCCCCTGCCACTGATCCCTGCAGGCGGCGGTCCATGGAAGCCGCCCGGAGATGCCTGGCACTAGGTTCTCGGGCTTCAGCTCACAGTTCTGCCACTTTGGAGCTGCTGAACCTCAGAGATGCAGATCACTCTCTCTGCTTCACCTGTCTTCACCTGGACAATGGAGAAGTACCTGCCAGCAGAATTTCTAGAAGGGTCAGATGGGGAAATGCAGGAAAAATCCTAACATCCCACCTGCTCAGAGGATGTGCTCAGGAGCCCTCGGCCGTTGTTACCATCACTCCCCGACCCCCGCAGCGTGAGCCCCGGCAATGCCGGTGGATCAGAGGACACCAGCACTGGTCCCTGCTCCTCATGCAGCTCCCACAGCCTTGGCCACCTAGCTGTCCCTGCCCTGCAGTACCTGTTCCTGCAGTCACTAGACGTGGGGTGCAGCCCTGGTGTCCCCAGATGCCCAGGGACAAATTCCCCTCAGCCCCTCTAATCCAGCCAACCTGGGAGCTCATCCTCAGGCATGGCTCATGACCCTGGGGGCCAGCAGTGCCTCCAATGACTGAAAACCAGCCCTTGGGCATGTGGAAGCCACTTTGCACCAACAGGAGGCTGGGACTGAGCCCCACGGGTGTCTCTAGGGACATGGAACAGCCATGGAATAGCCAAGCAGCTGACAGCAATGAAGTGCCTCCTCTCCTACGACGCGCACCTGGGCCGCACCACCTGCAGGCTGGACCCCTTGAAGGCCTGGTGTCTGAGCCCATAGAAGCTGCCATAACAGAATGTCAAAGCCTGGTGGCCTGCCTGGCAATGGGGACAGATATGGAGCCTGGACAACAGTGGGAAGGGAAGCAAGCTTATCAACAAGAGAAATTGATTTCGCACAGTTCTGGAGCTGGAAGTCTAAGATCGAGGCACTAGCAGATTTGGCATCTGGAGAGGGCTGCCTCCTGGTCCATAGATGGCTGTCTTTTTGCTGTGGCCTCACATGGTGGATGGGGTAAGGCATCTCTCTGGACTCTCATTGTTTAAGGGCGCTGATCCATCATGAGACTCCACCCTCAGGACCTCCTTGCCTCCCGAAGGCCCCACCTGCCCATCCCATCACCCTGGGGGTTAGGATTTCCTCATGAAGACTGGAGGGACAGAAACATTCAGCCGTTAGTGCCCGGCCACTACCACAGGCCAGGGAGGAGTGCAGCTGAGGCAGGAGCTGCGGGCGAGACTCCACCAGGGCCTCTGTCTTATTCCCACCACTCCTTGCCCCTTGCAGCAGCCCATACTGCCGGCAGGACAGGGGGTGTTTGGGACTCGTGGAAAGGAAGCCCAGCCTCAGAGAGCCCAGCCACTGGCCTGTGGCCCAAGGACAGGACCTGCATTCTGTATCAGAATTGCCCTTTTCTAGGTTGTCTTTCCAAAGACTGGGGACTTCGTCAAGTTTTCCTACAGTCCCAGGGCCCTCCTGGCCTGAAGCAGGGGCTGCCCAGTGAGAAGGAGGAAGGAGGAAGAAGCCAGCACCAGATGCTGGGCCTGGATGGCCTCGGGCCCAGGACCCTGAGGCTGAGGGCGGCAGCCTAGCCCTAGGCTTACACAGGCAACTCCGTGTTTGACCTGCAGCACCGCTCTCTCCTGCCCCATCTAGCAGTGGAGAAGAGAAAATAATCCATAGCAGAATGATAAAGCAGCAATGAGCAGTCATCCCAGTGGCTTTTTTTTAGTCCAAAAGCCTGGATGGAGGAGGGGGTTGCAGAGAGGAGGGCGTAGAAGACGTCTGAGCCAGCCCAGGAAGCCAGCACCTGAGTGCTTTGTCTTAAAGTTGCATTTATGAAAAGCCATGTCCATTTTCACTTAAATCCCGAGCCTAGGATACCTTCGCCTAGGATTCTATTTTAAAATGTCAAAAGCACTATTTCAGGGCAGAAATCAATAAAATACACCCAAAAAAAACGGAAAAGGAGCCTACTGGGCAAAATATCTTCCTGCCTCTTAGCACACGCTATTTTTCGAAAACATCAATAGCTGCAGTTTTAAACTTAATTCTGGGATCTGCAGTTGGTCTGTTTAGATATTTTTATGGCGACGCGGCACCTGCTGTCTTGTCCCAGACTACACAATCAGGGTGGGCAAACCAAAGCCAGGCAGGACCTGGCAGCTGCTGCCCGAGCCCCTGCAGGAACGGGGTCTCAGCACTCAGTGCCACGGCTCACAGCTCCAGGCCCTCTGAGGTGGTTGCACAATGGTCTCCAAGTCCACCAGGAAGACATGCCCAGCTTACGGAAGTCAGCAAAATCCTCACTTACCCCTAACTGGGCAACAACTAAACCGCAGATAGAATAAACCTCACAAGGCTCCAGTGCCTCTGAAGCTGCAGTCTCAGGAGGCCAGGGCAGGTGGGAAATGGAGGGGAGAGACAGGGGGTTGGTCAGGGGGGCCCCAGGAGTGGCCCTGAGTGCCCCAACATCCCAGCTCCCCCCGTTCGTCAGGATGAATGCAGGATGAATGCCTACCCTCCTCCTTGCTCCCTCTCTTGGGCTGACAGTCCCTACACCTTATCAACCTTCTCTTTTCTCCTCTGTCTTCCCTAAAGGCCCAGGAGCTTCACAAAGGTGTCCCTGCACCTACCTGGCAATGAGGGCAGACGTGAAGCCTGGACACCCTCAGGAAAGGAAGGAACCCTGCCCTGTGGACTCCAGGGGTGACTCCAGGAAAGAGCAGAGCCCTGGAGGATGAGACCCCAGCCCATGGCCTGGCCCTGCTGCCACCTGTCTGGGGGGACTTAGGCAATTGCCTCTCCCCTCTCTGAGCTAAAGTCTCATTGGGCCAAAATGCCTCCCTAGCATAAATGGAGGTTGGGCCAAACCAGCTCATGGGACCCTCCTTTTTCTCAGATCCAGTTGTCTGCTGGGAGGCTGGAGACCAGGGTGGGCACCAGGCACACCCCAGTAGCTCTGCCAGCCTTTCTGTGCCTCAGCTCCCCACGGACCCCCATCGTCCTGCAGGGCCGGGAGGCAGAGGAACCCGGCCCCTGCCTAGAAGCCCCTAGAATCTGCAGCTCACCTGCACTTGGACATTAGGGGCCCAGGCCCACTTGACCCTCTTCAAGACAAGCATCCGCTCCCATGTGGAAGCACACACAATCCTAGGTGCCCTTCCAGAAGCTTCCGAGGCTTTTGCTGAGGTCACCACCTGCCCTGATGCCCACAGCCTCCCAGCAGGAAGTGGACAAACATTGAAATTAAGAAGCATCCAGAAAACTATCAGTTGTGCAGTTGCCTCTGCCCACTCCATCCCCAACCCTATCACCCTGCAGAGGCAGGTAGGGAAGAGGAGGGTGGGGCGGGAGGGACGGGGCAGGAGCCGGCGCTCAGCCAGGCAGGAACCCACATGAGCCTCCAGCCTCCACTGCTGCCAGGAAAGAGGGTGGAGAGGAGCCCGGATGTGGATCCTGGAAGCCCGGTGTTCAGAAGCTGCCATCTCAGACGCCTGCCCACCTTGAGGCAGTGGCGGGGGAGGTGACTGGCATTACAATGATCATAACAAGGGGACGATGAAAAGCCCTGTTTGCTGAGAGAAGCCTCACTGCTGCGATCAGCTCCAGGTAAGCCAGGCCTCCGCGGACCCACTTTACAGGGGATGACTCCATGGCTTAGGGACACGGCTGCCCACCTGCGGGGGTGAGCTAAGGGTGGAGAAGGATCTGAACATGCACAAGTCTGCCAGCCTGCTCCCCAGCCCCGAGGCGCCCCGGTCACACCCCTTCTGCTCCCCTCCAAGGCAACCCTCACCCCACCTGCTCAAAGGTCCCAAGTGAGGGAGGCCTCCCCTGCCCACCTCCTAGAAACTGCCCCAGCCTCCCTGCGCCTCCGGGCTCTGGCTTTCTCCAGGCCCTTCTGGCCCCCTGACTCGGGCTTGCTGCCCCTATTTACTTCTCTGTCTAACCCCATTAGGATATAATTCCAGAGGGCAGGGCCGGCATCGGTATCCTTCAAACCCACACTGTTCAACCGCCAGGCATCCAGGGTGCCCCAAGTGCAGGGGACAGGGCAGCCCTGGATCCAGCCTGTGGAAACTTTGGGCTCAGGACTGGCTGCCCACAGGTCCCCACTCACTCCCTCAAGCCTCAGGACACCGGCCTGGGCTCACCTGCCACCTGGCTGCCCAGAGCTCTTCACCACATCACTCAGGTGCCCCACGGAACACACAGCCAAGGGCCTGGTGCTTCTGCCCCCTCCTCACTCCAGACCCTCTGGCGGCCTTTCTGGGTAGGTGTGAGGTCCCCCTGCCCACCTGCCTGTGCACAGCACTGCCAACTCGGCCCTGCCACGAAGCCATCTGCCATAGGGGCACTGGCCATGGTCAGGCTGGGCCAGCAAGGCCCAAGCAACACCCACCCTGGCCTCTGGGCTCATTCCTGCCTCCCATGCAGATGGAGGCCACTCAGGAATTACCATGCCCTCCACAGGAAGGACAGCCGGGGCCTGCCCTAGGGCCCCACAAGATTGTCACCCAGACAGGACACCATGAGCCCTCCCCAAGCAGGGGGCACCCCCACACACCCATGCACAGGGCAGCGAGGTCGGGGTCCCTGTCTGCATGGCTCCTGAGGGCCTTGGACAGGAGAGGCCAGTGGCTCTCGGGGAAGGGGGGAACCTTCTGGAGGGCAAAGTAGAGGCCCTGGTATGAATGACAGCTGTGGTCTTTGAGCTCCGCGCATTGCCGCATGCCTTCAGCTTCTTGGGAATGAGATGGGGATCCAGCAATGTAAGAAAGGATAAAATTAAAAAGATAACACAGCATGCAGCGTGCGATCGATACCAACCCTCACTGCAGACTTACGGGAGGGGCACCCTTTTTTAACGGGGCTGCTGTGGCTTTGAGATTAAGGGTCGCACTGTGGTCACACCAGGCAGGGATATGGACACTGGGTTTTCTCTTCTCCAGCCATGTCTAACCTCGCTCATCGAGACCCAGCCCACACTCTCTCTCTCTGAGCCTCACCTGGGCTCATCCTGTCCCTCTTGGGGCCCAGCAGAGGCTGCTCCTTCCAGACCTCGACCTGTCCTGGGGTCTCTGCCCAGCTTTGAGGGAGCCAGGCCCCTTGAGCCTCTGCCCGGCTCATCCCCATGAACAGGAAAAGATGGTCTGATGCAGATCGGGCTCCCGCGGGAAGGCTGAAGCGTGGCCCTAAAAAAAGATATGGCAAAACCCTAACCCCTGGAGCCTGTGAAAAACCTTATTTTGAAAAGGGGCCTTTGAAGATGTCATTAATTTCAGGATCTTGAAATAAGGAAATCGTTGTGGATTATCCAAGTGGGCCCTAAATCCAAGGACAAGCATCCTTAACTGCAGGAGAGGCAGAGGGCGATTTGGGCCGTCTCTTCTAACCGTCCCAGCAGGCTGTGTGAGCTTCTTTCTGGGAAGAAGAAAACTGAGGCTCAGAGAGGCCAGCATACTTGCCCAAGGACACCCAGCTGTGAAGGGAGAGAACTAAGACTTGAATCCATGCCTGGGTGGCCACAGAGTCCCTCTCTTTCCCTGATACCTGCTACCTCTCCAAAAACCCAAAGCCAGATATTGATAGCAGCTGGTTCCTCCTGGCCTGAGCGGGACTTTCACAGAGACCGCCACGCCCAACTTCCCTGAAGAACGCGCCTCAGACCCGCCGAAGAGGAAAGACAGCTGTGGAGGCCCTGGATCTGGGAGGGCCGACCCAGCCCCCAGCCTGTGGGGAAGTGCATTCAGAACCCGGAGATTCTGCTCACCCCTAGCTGCCCGACGTGGGGAAACCCCCACCCTCTCCATTAGAAGAGATCGGTACCGTCTGGCCGCATCACCAGCTCACGCTGACACACGTTTATTGGGGGCCTCCTGTGTGCTGGGCTTGGTGGGGGAAACCACCCACATTCCTACAGCCTCCAGAGGAGGCCAAGGCCCCCTCCCCGTCATCTCTCACGCCTCTTCTCCTTCTCCAGGGAGCTCGTACGAGAGCCTGCAATGTGCCAGGCATTATGCCAGGGCTGGGGGCCCCTAGGGACACCGTAGCCTTGAAGGCTCGGGGTTTTATTCACTGAAAATGGTGAGGATGGGGGAACTGAAGGCACAACCGGACCAAGAGAGGGATCGATCGTTTTCCCCCGGGGGTTGGGGGGTTAGAGGGGGTGAGAAGACAGAGATAAGGTCTCCATTTCACACCCGGGAGCTGCGAGACTCTGACGGCCCAGCTGCGCCTTGTGTGAAGCGGCAGAACTTAGGTTCTCGCTCATCTCGCTGTGGGTTTGTCCCATGTTCCCTAAGGCCCCAAACCCGCCTGCTGAGGCTGAGACTTTGGGCATGAGAAGCTATGCCATGGACCGATTCTTTCAGGAGCTGACGGTCACCCTGAGGAGACAGCTGCCTTCCAGTAAGCCACCGTTCCGAATGGGGGTGTGTCCAACGTGGCCGAATCAAACCAGACTGTCTCTGAAATTCCTTCAGGCGGGCCCACGGTGGCCTCCCCACACAGCCTGTCCACCGACCAGCCCAGCAGGGCAGGAGCTCCCAAGCTGCCCTCTGGCTGCCCCACGCCCGTCACAGGACCCTCTAGGCACGGAGATCTATAAGGCAACACCAGGGCCCTGTGTTCCCAAATCGTCTCCACCATTAACACCACTGGAGTTGCCCTTCGCTCCTCCTGGGTGTTGAGGAAGCAAAATCTGATTAAACCCCAGTGTAACACACACAGGAAAGGTACTATGTTCCCCAGCACCTCCCTCAGCTCACACGCTCTCGCTCTCACTCCTGTGCTCTGTCATCCTCTTTCTCCCCTCCTCCCTCCCTCCTCCTCCTCTCCCTCCTCCCTACCTTCAGCATAAGTGCCAGCATCAGCTGGGTATCAAAATACCGCATGAAGAAGCTAAGTGTAGATATGTAGATAATATTATATAATATCTGTACACGTACATACAGTCACATACTACGTATGACATCTTAGAGACAATCGGCAAGTAATAAGTGGGCGTTTGTCTGCACAGGCTCTCTTTGTGTTGGTGGTGGAAGCAACACAAGGCAAGTTAGCCCCAAAGTGGGGCTTAGCCAGCAAGGGTTCTTGGCTTCACCCAGGAAAGAACCCAAGGGCCAGCCAGAGGTAGAAGGGAAGAGTTTTCCTGACGCAGCAGCTCAGGTCACAGCTCCGAGGTGGCTCCTGCGGAGCAGGCTCCCCGAAGGCAGGGAGCAGCAGCCCACGGCAGTTCAGCAGTCACAGTTATACCCACTTTTAACTGCATGCAGATTAAAGGACGGTTTCTGCGGAAATGTCTAGGAAAAGGGTGGGAATTTTGGGTCTTGGGTCATCGCCATGGAAAGGGGCGGTCACTCCCAGGCACTGCCATGGCAATGGTAAACTGACAGGTGCACTGGTGGGCATGTCTCAGGGAAAGCAGCTTCCACCCGCTCCCTGTTTTAGCTAGTCCTCAGTGTGGTCCTGCCTCTGGAGTTGAGTCCTGCCTCCTACCTCAGAAGGAGGGTAGGGAAAGGCAGAGAAAGACTGTGTTTGTATCCAAACAGACCCGAATAATTCAAACAGCAGTGCTTTTTTCAGAAGGACACTCAATGAGTATCTGCTCTGAAGAATTAAATTTTTCATCTTCACCACGTCATTAAGTGAAAACAAACACATTGCTTGACAAAAACAACAGCTAAACAGCTAACACATATGTGCGTGCTGGGCTCCAGGCACGTATGATACAGCCTACCAGGTCAGTGCCATCACAACCCCACATTATAGCCAAGGAAACATGCACAGAGAGACCAAGTCCCCCAGTGCAACCCACATCCAGGCCCTGGCTCCAGGCTCCAGGTTCCATCTCAGGAGGGAGGGGCAAAGGGCAAGCAACAGGGCCAAAGGTCACTGGTGTAGGTATCCTTAGGCCAGGGGTCACTGGTGCAGTTGTCCCGGGGCCAGAGGTCACTGGTGCAGGTGTCCCGGGGCCAGAGGTCACTGGTGCAGGTGTCCCGGGGCCAGAGGTCACGGGTGCAGGTGTCTCGGGGCCAGAGGTCACTGGTGCAGGTGTCTCGGGGCCAGGGGTCACTGGTGCAGGGGTCTCGGGGCCAGGGGTCACTGGTGCAGGGGTCTCGGGGCCAGGGGTCACTGGTGCAGGTGTCTCGGGGCCAGGGGCCTGAGGTCCAGGTGTGCTATCTCTGCCCTTCTGTAGCAGTGAACTTCCGGTGGCAGTGAGGGGTAGATGGTTAAGGAATAGGAGGCCCAGAGAGGGTGCGCAAGCTGTCCAGAACCACACAGCCCAGAAGAAGTAGAGCAGGCCTGCTCACACCTGCATGTGTAGAGGGTGCCTGGCTGCAGCCAGGACCAGGACCAAGTCTCCACCACCTGCAGATGCCAGGCCAGGCTGCCCTCCCTCCTCAGGCCAGCCAGCCTCACCTGCCTTTTCCCCACCTGTGCCCCAGAGCCCCCAGCACAGCCACTTCCTCCAGCTCAGCTTGAGATTTCTCATCTCGCACTTGGGCTCCACTGGCAGCCACCCTCATGGGCCCGCCCCTGTAGCCAACCCCCAGAATAATAACATAACGGCATTCCCTGCTCAGCCAGGTATGCGATCGCTGCCTTTGTTTATTTGATATTAATGTCCATCCCCTGGCAGCCAACACCTTCGTCGGGCTCTGCTGCATTCAAAGGGAATTTATGGCTGGTGGAGAACAAGATAAGATGTGTAAGGCCTGACGTGCTGTGACCTTTCTTTTTCCTCCGAAAACCACTTGCTTAAGAAAACTCTCAGCCATCGTAAATCACCATCACTCAGGAGCACGTGGGCCCACGCTGGAAGCTCAGGGGCATTTATCATGGTTTTGGGACTTTGACAGCCCGTTCACTCTCAAGTTTACAAATTGCAGCACCTTCCCCTCTGCCACCACTCCTCCTTTAACAGAGTAAAGTTCTTCAACTGGGATCCCCTTCCCCCTCCAGCCTCTAGGTGTCACCTCCTATTTCAAGGTAGCCTCAGACATCACCTCCTCTAGGAAGCCCTCCCTGACCGCCTCCCTACGACTGAGTTTGTTCATGAGAGAGAAATCGGTGCTGTTGACAAGGTCATGGCAAGACTTTCTAATGATGATGTTCATTTCTCCAGGATCTGAGCACGCACAAAGGGATTTTCTTTCCTGTTGACCAGTCAGCATCCCATAGCCTGCCGATCCCATCCAGCCCGCTGTCTGTTTTTATAAATAAAGCTTTATTGAAACAGTCATGCATACTCATTTCTGTATTGACTGTGACTGCTTTTGCACTACAATGGCAGAGTCGAGCAGCTGCAACAGAGACCATGTGAGCCATGAAGCCTGAAATATTTACTCTCTGGGCCTTTCCAGAAAAGGCTAGCCAAGCCCTACCTTTGACCTTGACTACTCCCCATGAGTGACTGCTCTCCTTGTGAGCACCTCCCGGTGAGCTGGTGCAGAAAGAAAAGGTTCAGAAATGGTCAGAGGACCTCCCAGGGCTGCACAGCAGCACATCCTGGAGGCAGAAGGCTGGAACCCAAGCTGAGCTCTCCCAGGCCAGGCCACACTCTGCTCCCCAACAGCCCTCCTGGAGGTCTGCATGTTCGACCTTGAAGGCTGAGCTCACCTGGAGAAAGAGCCAGAAATGGGACATCCAGAGGAGGGGACAGCGTGATCATTCCAGCGGACTCCCCCGAGGCTCAGCAAGCCCAGCCCCAAGCCTGCCTCTTCTCACGTCCCAGCTTCAGGAGCAGCAGCTTACAGGCCTCAGCTGTGTGACCGCGCCACTCATTTCCTGAGACCGACCCCCTCTGCCCAGGGGAAAGCTTTCTCAGCCCAGAGTTGACCATGGGGGAGCGACCCCCAACCCCTGGCAGCCAGGCCGCATCACACATCACAGAGCACCCAAGAAGGGGGACAGAGGAAGCTTCCAGAAAACCAGCTCCAGGCTGCAGGCTCAGAGAGGGAGGAAGCCCCAGGTGGCACAGCAATGCGGTGGGCACCTGGGCTGGGGTCCTGACGGGAGCGAGAGGACACAGTCACGGGTCACTGAGGAGACTCTAAGGGAGGAGTCTCACAGAGGACGGGCAGGGCTAAGGACCCCAGCAAGGGACACCGAGTCACCTAGAGAGTGGCGGTGGCAGGAGTCGGGACCCGCCTGTGGCACAGGGGCTGGGCGGGAGAGCAGGCATTGAGACTCTGCCAGAGCCAGAGGGCAGGGTCGGCAGGGTCTAGGGGTCAGGTGGAGGAAGCCACTGCCACACAACCACAGCTGGAGCTGGCATGGCCGTGGAAAGAAACCGCAGACCTCTTTCTCCTCCCACCCCCAATCTCCTGCCAGGGCCTCCCAACGCCAAACCCAACCATGACCTAAGGGCAAGGGAGCCTGGAGGGGCGCAGTTCAAGGGCATGGCTGTGGCAACGTACCTGTGCTGTGTTCTAAGACTGGCCTTTCACCCGCCTGGTGGGGCCAGTGAGAGCTCCTGCTGTAGGGATGGAAGAGACGGAGGCCAAGGGGGAGGAGGAAGGAGGCTCTGCAGTGCTCCTGCCTCAGAGGAGAGTCCTCAGGCCGTGGAAGGTGTGAGAAGTACGAGTTCTGAGTCAGGAATAGCCACTGAGTGAGTGGGAGCTGCAACCTCTGAGGCAGTGCCTGCCAGAGAGCCCCAGGCTCATGCAGCCTGCAGCTGAAGAGCTGAGGTCAATGGAACTAGCGAGCTCCAGTAGAAGCAAGCAGACCCCCAGGAAAGTGAGGGCAGGTCAGGCCTGAATTAGGAGGCGGAGATGGGTAGGGAAGAGCCTCCCAGGCTGAAGGAACAGCCTGTGTAGAGGCCCACACGGGAGACGGCGAACACAGTCAAGAAATAGGAGGTCAGGCTCAGTGGCTCACGCCTGTAATCCCAACACTTCGGGAGGCCGAGGCAGGAGGATCCCTTGAGGCCAGGAGTTTGGGACCAGCCTGGGCAACCTGGTGACACTGTCTCTATAAAATTTTTTTTTTAATTATCTGGGTTTGGTGGCTTGTGCCTATGGTCCCAGCTACTCGGGAGCCCAGGATGTCAAGGCTGCAGTGAGCTACAATTGCACCACTGCATTCCAGCCTGGGCAACAGAGCACGACCTGTCTCTAAAGAAGGAGGCAGAGAGAGTCGAGGCTGCAGGGCTGTAGGCACTGAGCACATAGGGCATCACTGGCCCAGCAAGGAGCCGTCTCTGTCCTACGGGCAGCGGGACCCAGCCCTCCGGCTGCCTGGTGGGGACTGTGTTATGGGAGTCTGGAACAGGGCTGGGAGACCACACTCACCCACTCTGCCAGGACTCAGAGGTGTGGGGTGATGGATTGCAGGAGCTAAGAAAGAAAAGGGGGAATTGATGGTGGAGACCCCCACAAGGCCTCCTCCTTCCCCCACCCCCCGCCCCAGCCACCATGCCGGGTGTTTTCGGCCCTCTTCGGAGCAGCATCTTCTGCCAGAGTTGCCGGCATCGGAACAGGACACCATACAGCCAAATACAGCCATTAGAACAAATGCCTCTGAAAGCCTGTGCCCCCATGCTGATGAAGACAGGAAGCCACTGCCATGCCCATGGTTCCTGTCGGGGTGTATGAAGAGCCCAGAGAGGCTCCCTCCGGCCCACCCTAGTATGCACTCTGCCCCGCCCGGACCAACATGGGAGGAGAGACCCAGCCCTGGTTAAGGGAGCCCACGGTCTACGTGGGCGCCTGACACAAAAGCAAGAGTGGTGCAGACAGTCACACGTGCATTCATTCAGTGAGCGCCTACTGCGCACCGGCCCTAAAGGGGAGCAGAAGGCCGGCCTGGCTCCCACCCCACGGCCACGATTGGTCCTGCAGGGGTCAGGCACAGCTGCTCACCAACCAACGTCAAACCTCTGTGGAGGGAGCAGGCCCTGGGAGCAACTCTGATGGGGCCTGACCCAGCTGGGCAGGGGAGAGGGACTGGGAACTGCATGCCATCGGCGGGGAACAGAGCATGTGGAAGGGAGGACACAGGCCGCAGCTGGAACTGGGGATGTGGCGGTGGCGGAAGCCGGAAGGAGCCTTGCGGACCTACATGAAAGGGTTTTGTCTTTATTCCAAGAGCGAAGAGAAGCCATTGCGTGTCTGGGTTTTTGGTTTGGGCTTTTTTTTTTTTTTTGCCGGGCGGGGGTGTGCTATGATCAGCTTCACAATGTGAAGTGGGAGAGCTATTTAGGGGGAAAAATTGACAAGGCAGGGTGGTGGGTGGGGTGAGGGGAATCCAGACTCCAGGCTCAGATCCTCCATGGAAGGAGGGCCCTCCCCAAGCTGGAGGGAGAGCAGGGGAGAGAGAGAGAGAGGGAGGGAGGGAGGGAGGGGGAGATCAGGAGAGCAGCTTTGACTCGAATTAAAGGGCCCATCTCTCTTTCTCTCAGGGGAGGCACGGGGCTAAACTCTTGGGCTGCCAAAGGAGGTCTGCCAGAATGGGAGCTCCCCCAGGGCGCCCTGACCTTGTCCAGGAATCTCCTCCTCCCACTGGACAAGCCTTGGGAAGTCCTGAGGCCTGTCTGGAGCCCAACCAAGGAAGGAGACGCTAACACCCCTCCCCAGCCTCCTCCTGAGTCTTAGATGAGGGACCCCGTGAGGGGATGCGGGAATACGGTCCTCAGAAAAGCTGCCTTTGGGGACAGGACAATGGTAGGCATTCTGCCGGAATCTGTTTGTTGGAATTTTCTTAAATGCCTGGAGCTTAGGCCTTTATGAAATCTGCCTGCATATTCATGCAAATAATATGCAAATCACACCACCCCCAGATCAGCTGCAGGGAAGTGTAGCTCTTTGTCCTCCTCCCCGAGGGTCAGCTCCACCCAAGCAGCTGGGCCAGGAGGGACCTTGTCATTTGCCCTCACACACCTACAGCTGGGGAAACTGAGGCCAGGGAGAGGGATGGGCATCCCTAAGATCACCCAGCGTGCCTGGGTGGAGCAGGGCAGGAAGCCCCCAGGCTAGGTGCTTTCTAGACCCCCTGCTTCCTTCTACTTAGAGAGAATGAGCCAGGCTCCCCACTCTGGCAGGGACCCAAACAAACAATGTCTAGGATCTCACTGCTGGAAGGAGGCGTCTGCAAGAGGCTCCTAGATGCCTCTGAGAAGAAACAGTAATATTTGCTCCTAAATCTACTCCCAAGGGACATAGCTAACAATACCCTCCCCAAATCAAAGCCAGCTCCAGAAATAAAGCATCCGCCAGCCCCTGCATAGATTAAATGTCACCACAGAGAAGCGGAGGAAGAATGATTCTATGTAGAGTCGGCTGAGGGAGCTGGGTGCCGAGGGAGAGAGCGCCTCTCGCTTTCAGATAACCCCTGAAGGCCCGGCCCTGTGCCTGCTCTGGGCCGGTGCTGGGCTGGGTGCTTAGTCACCTTGAGTCTGCTCCCCACAACCAAGCAGCTCTCAGCCTCTAGCGCCATTGCTCAGGTGAGAAAACTGAGGCTTAGGGAAGTTAGTAATGCTTCAGGAAGAGCATGTGCAGGGGCCGAGATTAGAACCAGGTCTCTGGTCTTTGGCTCCCATGCGGGGATGTGCAGGAGGCTCGGATCTGCCTCTCTGAGGTTCCCCAGGCGCCTCGGAGCCAGAACACCAGGGAGACACGTGTGCTAGGGTTCAGGGCCATGGCCCCCTCTGCTCTGGAGCCTGAAGGCCCCGTGCGCTGCAGACAGGCCTACAGGATGGAACCCCAGGGGTAGATCCCACCGTGCTGGCACAGCATGGGGGGCACTGTGCAGGACCTGAGGGGCCTCTTCTAGGGAGTGGAGGCCAAGAGCAGGACTCGCAGTGAGACAACATGAGGCCATGCCCTGGCTCTGCCACTTGTGACTCACTGGGGCCTCAGTGTCCTCATCTGTAAAATGGTGTCAAAGCAGTGCTTACTGCTCAGGGCGGCCATGCGGACAGGGTGAGATCTGGGCTCTGGAACATTAGCACTAGAAAGAACCACTCATGAGTGCATGACAAGGGTTTAGGAGGGTACACGGCAGGGTGGGGAGGCTCCAAAAATGCCAGCTGTGGTGGCCGTTAGCACTCTTAGAGATGAGAAAACAGGGTCAGCAAAAGCTAACAGCTCCGGGGCCCAAGGGCTGTCTTCCTCCACAGAACTTCTCCAAGCTACACACGCAGAAACCTGTCCACACTCCCCCAGTATTTCCTAAATGGCCTCCGGGCACTTCTGGGGACAAAGGGACACTGAGGAGGGAGGCCCAGACTGGGAAGTCTGGAGCTTAGCACAGCAGATGAACACTAAAGGGAAACCTCAGACCTGGGACTTCTCCGGACACTCAGCTGACCTCTCGCCTCGTATAACAAATTACCCAGAATCTAGTGACTTCAGAAGACAACCAGGTGCTCATGAATCTGCAAGATGGGCAGGGCCCTGCAAGGATGGCTCATCTGTGCCATGAGAGCAGCTAGAGTGGTGCCGGAGGACTTCCTTTTTACGTGGCTCACTCAAGTGGCTGGCAGCTCAACCAGGGCTGTGAGCCCTGGGCCTTGGCTTTTCTCCACATGGGCCTCACCACGGGCGACTTGGGTTCCTTACAACATGGCAGCTGGGTCCTAAGTGTAAATGTCCTCTGAGAGCAAGGCAGAAGCTTACCACCTTCTGTGACCCAGCCCAAGAAGTGACCTAGCATCATCTCTGCCCTCATCACAAGGCCACTGGGGTGCAGGGGATGGGGACACAGACTCAACCTCTCTCTGGGAGGAATGGCAAAGCCACATGGCAAAAGAGCATGTGGCATGGGAAAGATTGTTGCAGCCTATTTGGAAGTGGGAAGCATCCATGGTCTCTGTCATTACGTGATGGAGTGGGAGAAACCCTCATCACCCAGCCACAGGATCTGGACCCCTGCTCCCTGTCACAGCCACCCTGACATGTCACCTTTGTCCAACACACCACAAGCCCCAGCATCCGGTCTGGCAGCAAATTCTGTTGGCTTCTCCCTCAAGGCACACCCAGGTCCCAGCCAAGTTTTTCTGTTCTCACGGCCACGGACCCCACCATAGCCATAGGTCCTGTTAAAGCCCAGGTCACACCCTGTCCCTCCCTGTGTGGCCCCTGACCCACTCAAAGTAAAACCGGATTCCACACCACAGTGCATGTCCCCTGGCTCACTCTGCTCCAGCTACACTGGGCTCCGTTCTGCTCCTGGGACCCCTGCCCGCCCCTGCCTTGGGGCCCCTGCAGCACCGTTCCCCCTGTGGGAACTGGGCTCTCCCACACCTCCTTCACGTTTCTGCTCAGAGCTCCCTGCTCAAGGAGGCTACCCAGACCCCTCTTCACCCTCAGTTCCACATCCCCCTCATTCCTCTCAGCTTTTCCTTTCTCCTCTTGTCCAGCTTGCTCTAGAAGGCCTTGATTACAATGTTTCATATGCTTTGTCACACATACACACCCCTGCACACATGCACACACACCCTCATGTGCATGAAAACACGTATGCACATGTGCACCAGAAGGTAAGCTCCACATGCCTGCTTTGTCACTCATGGCTCTGGGGATTCTGCTGATGACACACGCTGCCCCGCTGTCCCACCACCTTGCCTGTGCAGACACTGGTCCCTCAGCCTGCAGTGCCTTCTCCCAGCTCACAGTGCAAATCCCCTTCATGGTCCTGCCACATGCCTAGGACAGGGCAGGGCGCCACCCTCAGCGTGCTCCAAGGCCCTGGGTGCCCCTTCCCAGCCTGTACCTCCATGTGTGGGAGCCGTCTGGGGACCAGCTTGGGTCTCCCTGCACAATGGGGGCCCCTTGAGAACCAGACACAGGTGCCCTCAGCCACACCTGGGAGCCACGCCACCTACCTGTCCCCGTGACCAGGCGTGGCTGTGATCTCCATGCCCCCTCTTATGCCCACCCGCGGGTGTCGCCATCTTGGATGTGTGGCCACTGTGGGCCTGACCACGCTCCCTGGCAGGAGAAATTGTGACGCCTCCCGCATCTCCATGATGAATGGTGTGTTCCATACCTGGAGCTCCCGAGAGGAGGTCGCCTTGGAGGCGGCATGGCCTCCCAGGCCGGAGGGAATGAGGCTGAGATTTATGAAATGGCAAGAAGACACCAGGGGCAGGAGATTTAGGGAACGTGTGAGTCCCACAGCTCTCAACCAAAGAGGCTGGTACGAAAAGGGGGGAAAGTCCATCTCTGCAAGGAATCAGTGGCAACAGTCAATCTCAGCGCTTCCCGGGGAGAAAATAGAGCCAAGGAAGGCGGGGATGGAAAGAGGAAGGAGGGCAGTTTGATCCCTGGAATTTAAACACACGCCTCAGAGCTCAAGACTGGGCCCAAAACAGATACACACACTCAACTGAACCAAGCAACACACACCCAAGCTGAGGGAGCAACACACACCCAAGCCGAGGGAACAACACACACACACCCAGGCTGAGGGAGCACCACACACACACCCAAGCCGAGGGAACAACACACACACACCCAGGCTGAGGGAGCACCACACACACACCCAAGCTGAGAGAACAACACACACTCAGGCTGAGGGAACAACACACACACACCCAAGCTGAGGGAACAACACACACACACCCAAGCCGAGGGAACAACATGCACACACCCAAGCTGAGGGAACAACACACATACACCCAGGCTGAGGGAACAACACACACACACCCAAGCCGAGAGAACAACACACACACACCCAAGCAGAGGGAACAACACACACCAAAGCTGAGGGAACAACACACATCCAGGCTGAGGGAGCAACACACACACACCCAAGCTGAGGGAGGACCACACACCCAAGCCGAGGGAACAACACACACACCCAAGCTTAGGGAACAACACACACACACCCAAGCCGAGGGAACAACACGCGCACACCCAGGCTGAGGGAACAACATGCGCACACCCAGGCTGAGGGAACAACACACACACACCCAAGCCGAGAGAACAACACACACACACTCAGGCTAAGGGAACAACACACACACACCCCCAAGCCGAGGGAACAACACACACACACCCAAGCCGAGAGAACAACACACACACACCCAGGCTGAGGGAACAACACACACACACCCAGGCTGAGGGAACAACACACACACACCCAAGCCGAGAGAACAACACACACACACTCAGGCTAAGGGAACAACACACACACACCCAAGCTGAGAGAACAACACACACACACCCAGGCTGAGGGAACAACACACACACACCCAAGCCGAGGGAACAACACACACACACCCAAGCTGAGGGAACAACACACACCCAGGCTGAGGGAGCAACACACACCCAGGCTGAGGGAACAACACACACCCAGGCTGAGGGAACAACACACACACACCCAGGCTGAGGGAACAACACACACACACCCAAGCTGAGGGAGGATCACACACCCAAGCTGAGGGAGGATCACACACCCAAGCTGAGGGAGGACCACACGCCCAAGCTGAGGGAGGACCACACGCCCAAGCTGAGGGAACAACACACACCCAGGCTGAGGGAGCAACACACACCCAGGCTGAGGGAGCAACACACACCCAGGCTGAGGGAACAACACACACCCAGGCTGAGAGAACAACACACACCCAGGCTGAGGGAGCAACACACACCCTGGCTGAGGGAACAACACACACCCAGGCTGAGGGAGGATCACACACCCAGGCTCAGAGAACAACACACACACACCCAAGCTGAGGGAGGACCACGCGCCCAAGCTGAGGGAACTTCGACCTCTGCCCAGGTGGGAGGAGGAGGAATGAGGAACAAGGGCTGTGTCCGCCTGGGGTCCCACACAGGGCAGGCACTGAGACGCTGCCTCATTCAGGCTGCACGACCTCTGTGGGAGAGAAGTTCTGTGACCCTGTTTCACAGAAAAAGAAACTGAGGCTCCGGAAGTTCCAGGCAGAAGCATGGATGGCAGGGCTGAGACAAACCCACTTCCACACAGCACAGGGCCTCCCCCAGCACAACTCCGTGAAGGCGAAGAGTTCTCTCCCCAGTGTTGGGCAAAGTGTGCTCCATCTCCCCTCACCAGGCTCCACCACAATGGGGACGTCACCCTCCAGGGAACCTTTTCAGTGTTCCAGCATGGGGGCTTGGGAACGTGGGGGACAGTCTCCACTAATCACCAGCACTCCAGGTGAGGAGACCTCCCACCTTCACTCAGAAGGGGAGGGAGCCAGGCCTTCCAGAGGAACAGGAGCTGGAGCCGCCAACGTCCAGAACAACACTGAGTGCCCTGTAGGTCTCTAGGGGTGTTCCCTGCACTGTCCCGAGGTGTGGCCCCTGGGAAAGCTGATGGGGCTGAGGCGGTTTCCAGGGCTGAACATTCCTTGTTGTTCCCTTGCAGGGACAGCACCCTCCCTGCCTGCCCCTGCAGGCAGCCCCCCTGTGTCACCCGTACTGCAGATGCTGGGGAGGTGGAGAGAGTGTGGGGCTCGGATGGACATAGGTTCAAGTCCAGGCTGGGGCATTCCTGAGCTGTGGGGCCTTGGAAAGCTGGGTCTGCCTGCAGGAACATGAGGAGGGCGTGGAACAGATGGTACCGGTCGGCGCTGCCCCTGCCGGACTCAGGCGGCCCCCATAGCAGCCCCGCCTCTGCCTGCAGATGACCGCTGTCATTGCAAGCCCTGATCCCTGACCCAAGCCCTGGGTCCAGAGGGAGCGTGAATCAGAGTGTTTGGGATTTTAGAAGAGCGGTATGGTGCTCTCTTATCACAAAGTGCCTATCATATAACACCCTCTTGGGGCTGGGGGCTCCCACAACACAGACAGCAGTAGTTTCGCAGCAAAATCCATTCATATTCACACTGGGTGAGACAGACAGAGATCCCAGATGCATCTGTTGAGGTTGGGTGCACCGCCACACAAATTTCAAGTGGGCTGGTTTGTTCAAGCACATTTTGGGTTCATGTTGCGGATGGGGGCTGTGAACCTGCATGCACGATTTGCGGATGAGGAACCTGAAGGTCAGAGATGCTGAGTCATTCACCTAGGGTCACGCAGGCTGCAGGAGAGGGAGCCCGCACCAACCAGGTCAGGCTGTCAGTCGTAGGTCTGGCTGGCTGGCTTCAGCAATTTTGCTCACTGGCCCTGTCCAGTCTGACTCCCAGTAGGGACAGCAGGGGAAAGTGTGGGCTTCAGAGATGGACACACTAGAGGTCAAAGCCTGGCCCCGGCCCTGGAAGTTCCAGGGGTTGATTGATTTCCTGAGCCTCAACCTTCTCCTCTGCGAAATGGGAAGAATACCCACTCTAGGGGACCACTGGAGGGGTAGAGACAAGCTGTGTTGGGCATTATCAGAAGGCAAAGGCAAGGCATCCAGTAAAACTCTCCAACTCTTCAATTCTCTCCTTCTCTCTGGCACACACACACGTGCACGCGCACACTCACACGCCTGTACACACGTGTGCACACACATACACATGCACACACACGCCTGCACACACATACATACACACACACATGCACATATGCACACACATCCCTGATATGTCAAGGTTGAGAGCCATCGTCGGGAATGTGCCCAGCCTCCCGGCCCCACTGGCTGTCTGCCCTGCACAATTCCTCTAGCTCCCTGACCACTCTAGGCCCTCTTAACTTTTCTGTCGCCAGACACGGGGATCCCACCACTCCTTACCTTGAGGGACTCTGGGTCTGAGAACTTGCCTGGATCTGGCACCAGGCAGCTGACATTGACCTTCCGCTCATCCATCCTTGACTTCTACTGATTATATATTAGCAGATGTCTTCATGCCTGCCCAATTATCTTGCCCCTAGGAGCACAGTGTTCTAGGGCCCCCTATAGTTCCCCCCACCTTGCTTCTGCAATGAAGTAGAGTCCCCCACCAGCTTCTGCAAGTCTGGCACCTTCTCACCCTGTTGCTTCTGGGGGAGCCCAGTTCAATAACAGCAACTCCTGCTGTCAACAGCTAGAGAGGACAGGCATCGCCGAGCCTCTCCTCGCACAGGTGGCCCTTGTTGGGGCAGTCCTGATCACCTTGGTGAACACCTGGTGGGCTCCAGTTCCATGCAGTGAAACTCTCCCGGCAAGACCACTCCTCAAAGCTTCCTGACCCCATCCTCTGGGGCTGGGCGTGCAAGTGCTGGCCTCTCCTTCATTTAATGGAAAGCTTCCAGGAACTGCCCCAGGAGCAGAGCAGCCCGGCTGCCCAGGACCCTGGTGGGCCAAAATCCAGCCTCAGGGGAGAGCACCCCGAGACCCACGGGCTCCTTTATCTCCCTCCGTGCCCACCTCCCCGCCACTTCCAGCAGCACCTCGCCCCAGGCCTGCAGGCACCACCACCAGGCTAGCAGCTGCCCCCTCAGCAGGCCCAGCTCCTCCCTCCCATTTTGCTGGGATTTGACCCTATTGTGAGTCCAGCTGGCAGATCCAGGAAGGGGCAACACTGTCTTGCAGGTACCCACCTTACTCAGTGCCTCTAGGGCCGTGTCTGTAGAACCCCAGGGCAGGGCAGGGTGGGGAGGGGCTCAGGGTTCTCACTGCATCTCTCCAGAAATGCCCCCAGGCTCAGGGTCTGCCCCTTCCCCGTCAGGACCCAGCGGTGGTAGGAGACCCAGCTTCTGAGAACTCAGCTCCTCTCCTTCCTTCCAATTCAGTCCTGTGTGTCTTCCCAAGCCTGCTTGGCCCCTGATGCAGGGAATTAGTTCTCTTCCAATGCTTCCAAGGAGGCCCTCCGACCCCCACAATTTGTGTTAAATTGATGACTAACAGATCTGAGTGTGTCAATTTGTCTCTTGTAATCGTCAACGGCTCTTAGCCGCAGCCTCCAATTGCGCTGTCCTCATGGCCGTGGTGCCTCTCATCCCCTCCGTCCCCGCCGAGATGTGCCTCCGCTCCAGGTTCTTGTCCACCCTCCAGCTCTCTCGCCCATGTCCCCTTCCACCTGGGCTCCTCCTGGCTCACTCTGTCCATCAGGGAAGTTTCGTCTTGTCCCCTAGCCCCACTCCCAGGCTGGCACCCTCCTGGGGCAGATACAATGGCAGGACAGTGTGAGGGCCCCAGAAGCTGTCCTGCTGGTGGGGTCCTTGCTAGGACACAGCTCGCTGATCTGGGGCGGGGTTGGAGGGCTCCCTCATTCTGCCTGTAATTACACGAATATAGGGGGACAGTGGGGACTGTGGGAGCCTGCCTTCCCCTCCTCTGGCTTTCCATACACCCCAGCTTTCAAGCACATCTCTAGAGGACCCAGAGAATCATCCCATCACGGACATTAATAATGGAAGACTGCACCCGGATCATAGAATAAAATAATGAGATCACAGAAACAAGTCATGTAGTCAAAACAGAAACTGAGCCTCCCAGAATAGAATCACTGCACTTAAGTATTACCGTGGGGTTGGGTCACAAAACCACTGGACAGGCCCAGAGAAGGCTGGATCTAGAAGGACCGCAGGGGTTACTGAGTGGACACCTTCAACTTCTGGATGAAGAGACAAGAAGTGAACTGCCCAAATTCACAGTGAGTCATCACGTCCCAGGCTTCCCAGGAAGTTGCTGCTGGGAGTTGGGGAATCTCAGGGGAGGGGCACCAGCCTGCAATGAGCTATGCTCCCTTCAATCCAGCAAGTCTCCGCTGAGCAGCCCTGGAGGCCCTGCCCCACACACCGAGCAGGAAACTGGAGGCAGAGGTGTTGACTGAGGGTTCAGGCAACCGGGAGTCTGGCTAGAGCCACACCCAGTGGCACAAACACGTGGGCAGGAGTGGATAAGAGGCAGGCAAAGCCACAAGCCAGCAGGAAATTGAAGGCAGTCATGGCCACACTGGAGTCTGGTCTCGGGAGCCGGCATGCCATGGGGCTTCACGACCTCGTGCAGGAGTTTGTTGAGTGAATAAACAAGTCACCAGGATGCAGACTCTGTGAGAACAAGACACCCGCCTGCCCTGCCAACCTCTGTGTCCCCAGCCTGTGCCCAGCACAGTGTTGGTGCTCGGTTGGTATTTCTGGAGTATCTGGTGAAGAATCACAGCTAAGGCTTTTTTTAAATTGAGGCAAAATTCACATCACACAAAACCAACCATTCTGAAGTGTCCAATCCGACAACACTGAGCACATTCACGATGCTGCGCAGCCACCCCCTCTCCCTAATTCTAAAACATTTTCATCACCCCAGAGGGAAAGCCTGCACCCATGGTCAGTCCTCCACATCCCTCCCTGTGGTGCCTGGCAACCCCCTGTCTGCACTGCGCCCATCTCGGCAGATGCACCCGTCCTGGGTATCTCCTGGGTGGGATGTGAGGCCTTTTGCATCTGGCTTCCTCCCCTTTCACTAACACTTCCTAAGCACTGACCACATGGCAGGTGCTTCCTCTTTGGCTGTGGGCAGCTGTCCCCCTGCCCTCCAGTGGAGAACTGGCCCCAAGACAACATAGCAGGGCTGTGCCTTTTCTCCCCATTTTACAGACAAGGAAACTGCAAACCAAAAATAAATTTATAAGCCCCCCAACCATCTTCATGGACTTCCTCCTCATCCAGGGCACTCTAAAATTGAACCTGAAAGACTGGCTTAGGTCATGACGGGAAGCAGGGGGGTGGACACGCCTCATTATACCTCTCCGGCATTCACATCAACACAGAACTTGAGTCTGATAAGAAACATTTGCAATCTCTTTTCTCTAAAGCCTGCTACCTGGAGCCTTCATCTGCATGAAAAAAATAATTCTTCCAACCAATTGCCAATTCGAAAAATTTAAATCTACCTATGACCTTGTATTAGTCCATTTTCACACTGCTGATAAAGATGTGCCTAAGACTGGGCAATTTACAAAAGAAAGAGGTTTAATGGACTTACAGTTCCACATGGCCGGGGAGGCTTCACGATCACAGTGGAAGGCAAGGAGGAGCAAGTCACATCTTACAGGGATGGCAGCAGACAAAGAGAGAGCTTGTGTAGGGAAACTCTCATTTTTAAAACCATCAGATCTCTTGAGATTTATTCAGTATCACGAGAACAGCATGGGAAAGGTCCATCCCCATGATTCAATTATCTCCCACCAGGTCCCTCCCACAACATGTGAGGATTATGGGAGCTACAAGGTGAGATTTGGGTGGGGACACAGAGCCACACCATAACAGACCTGGAAGCCCCTGTTTCAAGTTGTTCCACCTTTCTGGATCAAAGCAGTGTATATCTTCAATGTATTTGATTGATGTCTAATGTCTCCCTAAAATGGATAAAACCAAGCTGTGCCCTGACCAGCCTGGGCACATGTTCTCCACCTCCTGAGGCTGTGTCATGGGCCATGATCACTCATATCTGGCTCAGAATAAATCTCTTCAAATATTTTACAGAGGTTGACTCTTTTCTTCAACAAAACTAGGATGCAAGGAGACTAAGACACGTGCCCGAGACCCTTCAGCCAGGGAGAGCCCAAGTCGCATGAAAACCTGCCAGACCTGGCCCTGGGGTCTGTGTCCTGGACCATGAAACTGACCCGCCTCACTCCATGACAGACTGAATGACCAGGGAGGGCTTTCTGGGGAACATGAGGCTGGGCTGAACCTTCAACAAGTGCGTGTGAAGCATCTACTATGTGTTGATCCAGGGTGAATGACCAGGGAGGGCTTTCTAGGGGACATGAGGCTGGGCTGAACCTTCAGCAAGTGTGTGTGAAGCACCTACTATGCATTGGTCCAGGGTGGGTAAGTGTGCAGTGGACTCATGTCCCCACTGTCCCCCCCACATTCGTGTAATTACAGGCAGGATAGGGGAGCCCTCGGGTATATCCATCGCGTAGACAGGTCCCCCTATGGGCCTTTCACTCCATCCACACCTTGGCTCCTCTTGCTCCTGACAGTCCCCAGCCTCGGCCTGCTGCAGTCTCTCGGGGCTTGGGGAAGACAACTCTCCCTGATTGCTGTGACCCTGAAGGATCTGAGACAGACCTCAGTCAATTTAGAAAGTTTATTTTGCCAAGATTAAGGACACACCTGTGACACAGCCTCAGGAGGTCCTGATAACATGTGCCCAAGGTGTTCAGGACACAGCTGGGTTTTATACATTTTAGGGATACGTAAGACATCAGTCAATATATGTAAGATGAACATTGGTTCAGTCCAGTCAGGCAGAGCAACTCGAAGTAAGAGGCTTCCAGGTCGCAGGTAGATAAGAGACAAGCAGTTGCATTCTTCTGAGTCTCTGATTAGCCTTTCCCTGAGTCCTTAGTGTAGCTCAGTGAATCTGCATTTTTACATAAACAATAGGGCAGAGGAAGTGCATTAGTCTGTTTTCACACTGCTAAAAAGAACTACCTGAGACTGGGTAATTTACACAGAAAAGAGGTTTCATTGACTCACAGTTCCGCAGGGCTGGGGAGGCCACAGGAAACTCACCATCATGGTGGAAGTGGAGGCAGGCACATCTTACATGGTGGCAGGAGGCGGGGAGCAGGGGAAGTGCCACACTCGAAAACCATCAGCTCTCGTGAGAACTCACTCACTATCATGAGAACAGCAAGGGAGAAATCTGC
Source organism: Homo sapiens (assembly GCF_000001405.40). NCBI lineage: Eukaryota > Metazoa > Chordata > Mammalia > Primates > Hominidae > Homo > Homo sapiens. The sequence continues at coordinate 141,584,689 of NC_000008.11, read as the reverse complement.
CCCATGCTCCAGTCATCTCCCTCCAGGCCCCTCCTTCATCACGTGGGGATTATAATTCAAGATGAGATTTGGGTGGGGACACAGAGCCAAATCATATCAGAAAACAATCAGATAAGTATTTGTCTCAGGTGAGCGGAGGGATGACTTTCTGTCCCATGCCTGTGAAGATAAGCTATCAGTTTACATTGGTAAAATTCAACAGAACTGCTTCATAGTAAAGATCTTGAGGTCCACAGGGAATACCCTGTGGGCAAGTGGTGAGGGAGCTGTGTAGCTTTTTTATCTTCGTAGCTGTCCTATTTAGGAATAAATCGGAGACAGGTTTGCCTCACGCAGTTCCCAGCTTGCCTTTTCCCTCTAGCTTAGTGATTTGGGGTCCTGAGATTTATTTTCCTCTCCCATTGTCATTGTCTCAGTCCGTTTGGGCTACTACACCCAAGCTCCACAGACTGCATGACCTACAAACAACAGAGATCTATTTCTTGCCATTCTGGAGGCTGGAGGCTGAGATCAGGGCACTGGCAGTGTCTGGGGAGGGACATTTCCAGGTTTCAACCCCACCTTCTCACTCAGTCCTCACACGGGACCAGGCACCTCCCTGGGGTCCCTTTTATCAGGGCGTGGTACCATTCATGAGGACAACATTCTCACGCCCCCCTCCCCTCCCATAGGCCCCACCGCCTCATACCATCACCTTCGGGGCTAGGATTTCAATGTGTGAGTTTGGGGGACACAAACATTCCATCCTTTGCACCATTTAAAGCCGCTCTGCTGCCAAGCCCACTTTCCATCTCTGGAAGCAGGACTGGCCCAGAACTGGCTTTGGCCTACAGAATACGGCAGAAGAGATGACCCCGAGCCTGGGCCTCAAGACACGGCATGAGCTTCTACCCCCCTGCCTCCCCAGACCCAGCCCCTGCCATGAGAAGCCCGCAGGGGAGCGAGCCCACCCAGCCCCACTGTCCCAGGCATGTGAGAAGGCCCAGGCCAGACCAGCAGAGCCTCCCGGCCAGCCCGTTGCTAACCACAGACTTGCCAGCAAGCCTCGCAGGTGGATTAGACCCACCCGAGGCTCGGGAGAAACCACGGCACCTTGTTGTTTTGAGCCACTAAATGGCGGGACGCTTGTTCACGCTGCTGCTATGGCAAGAGCTAGCGAGGCGGCTGGTACCGGGTGATGCTTCACCACGGCTTTCCAGAAAGCGCTCCGTGACCCCAGGCCCACCCTTCCCGACACTCACGGCTCCCTCAGAAATGCTCCTCTCAAATCTCTCACTCTCCCGGCAGCCTTTGTTGTTTCTTTTTTCTTTCTTTCTCTTTTGCAAGATGGGATCAAGGAAAGGTCTCAGACACAAAACGCAACATTTTTCTTCCATGACAGATCAGATATTGAAGGGCTCAGTGAGGAGCCCTGCTCTGGGACAACTCCATGATTAGCGCTCCAAGAGGCAGTCACAGGGAAGCAGGTGCTCTGTTCCCCTCCTGGCTCAGCAATCCCGCAGTCCTCCCGTCCCGCTCCAGGCCCAGCCAGCCTGGCTGCTTGGATCCGAGACAATAGCTTGGTCTGGAGGCGGCTCAGGGTGGGAGGGACCCAGGGACCCGGGCACCAGTACAGCAGCTGGGAATTCAGGCCCAGGGATAGGGATGGGGCACAGGACACCACCCCCATCTCACACAGGGAGATGAAGGTGGGATCCAGCATGGGGACTGGACATCCCTGAGTCCAGCTGCCCCGTTACAATGGGGGAACTGAGATCCGGGGATGGGATAGTTCTCGAGCATCTCCCAGTTCTCACAGAGCTGGGAAGAACCGAGATTCCTGCCCCAGCCTGTGCCCCTCAGCCTCACAGTGCCAGCTCACAGAGAAGGGGGAGGTGGCAGCACGCACTGATGCCCGGGGGAGCCTGGAGGCCCTGCGGAGCCCGCTGCTGCTCAGTGCGGCTCCTGGGCACAGTCACTTACCCTCCTGAAGCTGCAGCTTCCGGTCTCTGCAACCACAGGCCTCTGCGGGAGCCCACGGATGGACCCAACCCAGAGAAGGAGAGGCCAGGTCTTTTCCAAGACAGAGTCCGGGGTTCCCACATTCGAGGAAGGCAAGTGGAGGGAGCTAAGCAAACAGAGGTCTCTGCTCCCCGCGGGAAGTTAGACAAAAAGAGAACAGGAGTCAAATGCAGCTGGATTACGACCTAAGATAGCTGCTCAGCTCAGCCAAGAAAGAGCCTGGGCGCCTGCTGGCAGTCGGGGGCTGAGTGTCCAGGTGCTGGCAGGAAGGCGGCCTTTGCCCTCAGCCCACCCCCATCTTGGGGCCCAGAGCACAACAGCATGGCCAGCATTGACTGGGCCCTGGTTGAGCACTTTCTATGGATTAACTCATTTCATCCCAACCACCCCCTTATGAGGTAGCTAAGACTCAGAAACCAAGGCCCAGAGGTCCACTCACAGTCCGAGGTCACACGGCTGGAAGGTCGGAGAACCCCACGTGTACCCTTTCATCTCCGATGGCAGAGCCAGTGCTTGTAACTGTTATGGGAAGCAGCAAGGCCTGGGCTGAGGAGAGAGACGCAGGGTGACCCACCTGGGAGCGCAGAGCCCTAGGGAACCCCAGTCACGCTCTGGGGGAAGACCCAGCACAGCACAGAGCTCTCTACATCCCTCCTTGGCCTCACCCTTTCATCTCTGCCCTCTGCCCTCTGATCTCAGCCTGCCCCTTGCTGAGTCTGTCCCCTCCCTTCACTGGTCCCTCCCCTGTCTCTCCTGCCCTCTCCCTCCCTCCTGCCTCCAGCTCACCCAGGCTGAGCCTTTCCAAGGGCCGCTCAGACCAGGGACAGTGCTTTCAGGCAGTTATTCTCCGTTCCTGTGCCCGTCTTCAAGATGGAACTAAAAATACTCCTCCCTTCCTCGACATGCTGGGGGCGGGCAGGGGGCCGATGACTATGGGAAATGCCCGGCTCTGGGCCTGGCACCCAGACGGAGTCAGGCATGTCCCCTGTGCCCTCCTCAGCGCTGACTCCTGCTCCGCCTCCCAGCCTCGTGACTGCCTCGCCGAGGCGGTCTCTGTCTGTCTCTCTCTCTGTGCATCTGTCTGTATGTCTCCCCATCCCTGGGTTTCCCGCCTCTTTCTGTCTCTCTCTATCTCCCTGTCTGTCTCTCCCCAAGTTTCTCTCTGTTTCTGTCTCCCTGTCTGTCTCTTTCTCTGTCTCTCTGTATCTCCCTATTTCTCTCTCCCCAAGTTTCTCTCTGTTTCTGTCTCTCTCTCTCTGTTTCTGTCTCCCTGTCTCTGTCTCTTTCTCTGTCTCTCCATATCTCCCTGTCTCTCTCTCCCCAAGTCTCTCTCTGTCTCTCTCTGTCTCTTTCTGTCTCTCTTCCTGTCTCTCTCTCCCAGTCTCCACCTGTCTCTCTCTGTCTCCCTGTCTCTCTCGGTCTCTCTGTCTCTCTCCCAGGCTCTCTCTGTCTCTATCACTGTCTTCCTGTCTCTTTCTGACTCAACATTTTGTCCCCCACCCTCTCTCAAGGGGTGGACGGCCCAGGCCCTGCCATCAGCTCCTGAAGGGCCTGGTCCAGCTTCACCAGTGTTGCCCCAGCTGCCTCTCCCATCACTCATCACAAAGCCATGAGGGGTAGGCCTCAGGAGGCAAGAAGTGTCCGAGCCCCTTTGCCCCATGCGGAGCTTCCTGTCCACTGCACACAATCCTGAGGCTCCCAGCCCCACCGCGGCTCTGTGTCTCTGGCTCCTCCGCGGGGCTTTGGGTGGAGGGTCCTTCGGTCTTTTCGCTGTTAGTCGCAACAGCTCTGCCCTGGGGACCCTGACTCCTGACTCTCGAGGTTCCGCCCCATCTCAGTCCCATCACAGTGTTGTCAGCCGAGGGGCGCTCCCGGCTGGTGGCTCCCCCAGGCAGTGTTGTCAGCCAAGGGGCACTCCTGGCTCGCGGCTCCCCCAGGCAGGAAGGGTCTTCTTCAGTTACGATTTGATGGGTCTGCTGTGTGGGTCGGGCTGAGGCCTCCCCTTCTTCATCCTTGATGGAGAATCTTCTTCCACTACCCCCGGGGCGGGCGAAGAGACTGCAGCCGCATCTAGCTCCTTCCAGGCCCTGAGCACTTTAGAAGGGCTGCTGTGGCCTGGGGGGCTCCCAGGGAAGGGGAGACTGACTCAGGCCTGGAGGCATCCACAGAACTGTGTGGCCAGAGTGAGAAGCACTGCCCCTCAGCAAAGAATCACCTGGATTTCTTTTGGGGGAGCCCCCTTCCCTCCCTGGAGGTGCATGACAGAGGGTGACCCGGTCAGAGCACCAATGCCCCTGGCCACAGTGGCCGGCTCAGAGCCGGGCCCGTGGCGCCAGGTGGTCAAACAGAGGGATCACTGGGACTGAGAGGAAATTGCTGTGAAGATGTTTCCCGTTTGCCATGAACATCAGCCTGGCAGGAATCTGGCCAGGAGGTGAGGGCTGTCACTCCGCCTCCGCGGGAGCCCACAGATGGACCCGACCCAGAGAAGATCAAAGGAAACGAGAGAGGCTGAACGCTGCAGATACTGTTTGTGCAGTTGGAAATGAACGCTGGAAACGAACGCTGATCTTTTCAGTTACACCAGCCAATAAATATCCTTTCATGTTTAAGCCTTTTTGAGTTTCATGTTCTTCCACTCACAGCCCGAGCATCCTGGTGGTTAAGCTCTCTTTTCCAGGGGAGAGGGACACATCCCAGAACGTCCTTCCCATTTTGCACCCTTACTCCTGGCCCTCCTCCTTCTTGCAGGCAACACGACGGCATGGACAGTAGGGGTGGGCCCAGGCCACCGTGCGCTGAGCCGCATGTTGTCATGTGGCCCAGAGGTCCTGTGGGCTCTTGCACAGCCAGGCCACTGCTCCAAGCATGTATGGGGACCCCAAGACAGCCGGAGGCAGCAGAGCAGGAGCAGAGAGCCTGAGCGACAACCTGAGAGACCAGAGTCACATCAACCCCGCAGAAACCTCTCCAGGAGCCCAGGGCCCCACATGCCCCGTGGAGAAGAGAAAAGGATGCAGGGGTCTGCCATGCCTGCCTTAGGGCCTGCTGGCCTCCCACACCTGGCACTAGTGGGCCCTCGGCCCCCCGACACCTAGGTGCTGCCCCCATGTCCACACAGTCCTCTCCCCACCAAGCCGGCTGTTCTTGGAGTCCCTCGGCTTCCAGCTTCCACGCCAGGAAGCCTGCCTAAATTGTCCTGACCACGTAGCCAAGCTGACTTCCTGGACTTCCAGAGTACAGATGGACTCAGCCTGATGCTGTTACTTAACTGTGTCTGGAATGTCCGTCTCATCCCTGTAGTCACACTGTAATCTCTTTAGAGGGATTGGTAAGAAGGCATCAAGATTCAGGCTGTGAACAGAATCAGGGCTCTGTCAGTGGCCAGGATCAGGGCTCAGTATATAAGGGGATCAGTGCCCAGTCTATAACCAGGGTAACAGTTCAGCCTATGACCAGGGCTCAGTCTGTGACCAGAACCAGGACTCAGAGTGTGACCAAGGGCAAAGCTGTTTCCACAGTCCCTTCCAAGAGTGGGACATTTCTGCAAAACTGGAAGAAAATTCGGGACCAGCAGGACCTTCCAATGGCCGTGTTTTCTCTATGTCCACTGAGGGAGCAGGAGCCTGGCTCGGCCCTTCTGGCAGGGCCTCCTGACTCTCGTCCTCCTCCCTCACTCCCACCCTCCTGGATGGACCTGCCTCTTGGGCCTTGAAAAGGAGAAATGAGCTGCCAGCACCTCTCTGCCCATCTCTTCCCTGCCCATCTCTTCCCTGCCATTCCACACTGTAAGCTCCAACTCATTATTCCCCTTCCCGGCAATTGTGAGACTCTCAACCAATTCATCATGATTCCCACAAAACCCTGAGCCATCTCTGGGCTGTGGGATAAGAGGGAGGACGCTGAGGGCTCACAGGGGGTCCAGCCATGGGGGCAGCAACGCCAAGACACTGGCCCAGGATCCAGCCTGCATTGCAGCACAGAGGCCGGGTGACCGCACCTCCTGCTTCAGTTTGCAGTCTTCAGAATGGGCTGGTGGAAGGGGGTTGCTGAGGAGTGAAGGTGAGCAACCTCTCTGCTGGCTACTCCTCTCCTCCTGCCCTTGAGGGGTTGATATGACCCAGCCCCATCTGTGGGGTTTTCACCTCAGGTACCATCTGTGGGATTTTCAGCTCCAGCCCCATCTGTGGGACCCTCACCTCCAGCCCCATCTGTGGGACCCTCACCTCCAGCCCCATCTATGGGATCCTCACCTCCAGCCCCATCTGTGGGATCCTCACCTCCAGCCCCATCTGTGGGTTCCTCTCCTCCAGCCCCATCTGTGGGATTTTCACCTCCGGCCCCATCTGTGGGATCCTCATCTCTAGCCCAGCTCTCTCTTCCAGGTTACAGGTTCCAGACCAAGTGCTCCCATCTCCCAGGAGGTCCCTCAGGTACCTCAACCTTATCCTGTCCAAAGCCAAGCTGTCAGCCAGCCTTGCTAGTCACCCCCCAGGACTTCGCAGGGGAAGTGGCTTAGGCTCAGAACCAGGTTCTGACCTGGGTTGAAACCCCATTTCTTCCACTTTCCCATTGGCCGACCATGGGGAATGTCTTTGCTTCTCGGAACTTGCTTCCTTGGAGGCAGAATGGGAACAACAGTGGCTGCTTTTTGTGGTTGTGGGCATTTGAGACAATGCGTGACAAGTGTCCTACAATGCGTAGGCTGCTGGGAAATGGTGGCTGCACTGGTGGTGCCCGTGTTGCTGGAGCGTGGTGTCTGCTTGCCTCAGCCTCACCTGCATTTTGGGTTCCTGTTATGGGTCCAGGTCACAGCCACAGCATATCTGCTCAGGCCTCTTACCTGGGCACTGCCCCAGCTCCCTCCTGGGGCTCTCCAGCCCCTGCCTGCCCATGTGCCCTCCTCCAAGCAGCCTCCACCTTCCTTCTCTAAATGATCTGGCTGCAGCCCACGTGTGCCCAAGCACGGGACAGGCAGCACCACTTCCCGTAGGCCAACCCCACCTCTCAGGGGCTGGGGAGACCTCACAGCTGTCCACAGGGCTCCTTCCACCTGCAAAGAGAGAGGGGAGAATCCCCAGAGGAGGCTTCTCATTATGTCCTCCACCCGCCAGAGCCACACATCAGGGCTCTGATTGTTTTGCTTTACTGTATCTTGGCAGGGAAACAATGGGAAGACAGAGCCTCAACCTCCATTCGAATGCCAATGCCTCCAAATTCCAGGGGAGGGTTTCTGAGCACACACCCTGGACCCTGTGGCCAACCGAGGGGTATTTGGACACTGTGGGGATACAAGGCCAGTCCCAGCTCCTACTACTGCCTCAGCAACCCCAGAGAAACACCCACTCCAGAGCCAGAGAGGAGCTGTGGTCCCAAAAACGGACACTTCACAGCAGAGGCTGGTAATCCAGTGAAGAAGCTGTAGGAACCCAAAGAAAGCAGCAACCACCTGGAGAAGGTGGCCTTGGGATGGAACCAGGGAACGAGGGGCAGGGGAGGAGATGGAGTGAGACAGGCCCGGGAAGGGGTCATGGGGTGCACTTGGATTCTCCTCTTAAGAAAGAGTGGGGGCTGGGGGTGCCAGGGCCTGAGCTGGTGGAACTACAAGGTCAGGGTGATGAGATCATGAGGCTGGCAGTTTGCAGAGGACACACCAGGTCGACATCTAGGAGCTCCCCTGGCAGCCGTCTATGGTGGGGAAACTCCTGACCCTCCATGTCTGGCCCAGCCACTGGCTACGCTCCTCATACTTACCCCTCAGTCCACATTCTGCAGCCAAGCCCACGCTTTCTCTCCACTGTAGTCTCTGCTCAAAGGCCGCCTCCTCCGAGAGGCCGCCCTGACTGCCCACCCAGCCAGCAGAGCAGTCACTCAGAGACGCTTGTTCTTGACTCTCGTCACTCTGGGGCACCGTGTTCTTGTGTGTTTATTACCAGCATCCGGCAGGGCTTGGGAGCAGGAGCCGGACCACCTGTGTGCCAATGCTGGCTGTGTCCCTCCTGAGTGGTGACCCTGGAGGTCACTTGCGGTCCCCATGCCCAGGGTCCGTGTCTGTAGCACAGGCAAGCGCAGCCTCCCCTGAGAGCTGTGGTCGGGACTGAATGGGGTCAGATTCACGGAGCACTTAATGCCAGGCTGGGTGCAGAAAGTGCCCTGTGGATTTCTGTCATCTGAAATATAAACTTCAACCCTCTCTCCCAGCATGGCTGCTCTCAGGGCTGGGCCTTCTCTTGTTCACTGCTGAATCTGAAAACCTATGACAGTGTCTGGCTCACAGAAGCTCTTGGGGAATATTTCTTGAATGAGCAGACAAGCCCCAGCTCTAGGCATCCCAAGATAGCAAAGCTGTCACAGAGCTAGAAAAAGCTCCAGCCTGCCATAGTGCTGGGGACAAGGATTAGGGGTCCCCAGCATCCCAGGTCATCCCTGCCTGGGTGTACCTGGCTCCTGCAGTGAGTGGGCAGCAGTGGACCGGGGCCTTCTGAGCTGCACCCTCATCAGTCCTGGTACCCAGAACTTTGAGGGCTGGGGGATCTGCAGGCTGGGACCCCAGCAGCAGCACCGAAGCAGCCCCTGGAAGGGTTTGAACAGGGCCTGGCATCTCAGAACCATCCCTGGGTCACAGAGAGACCCCCTCCTCTCTGACAGACAGCCCAGCATGCTTGATTAACAGGGCCTTGAGCTGTTTCCTATGACGTCTGCTAAAACCTGATCATGCCCTCATTTATTCAACTCGTCAGCTTTCATCTGCCACCCACTACTCGGGCACATGGGGGGTTTTGGAAGTGAGCGCTGAGTCTTCTCCTCTCCCCAGGCATGCTTCCTGGAGGGAACCTGAAACCACTGTTGTCCCCCGAGGGCAACACGGTTCTTGGCAGGCAGGCAGGATCAGCACTGGGAGGGGCAGGGCAGGGCAGGGACCACCCGGGGCATGTGGGGCAGATGAGTACTGGCTGGCAGGGAGCCCAGAGAGCATCTAGGCCAGCCCCTCCCTGGACAGATGGGGAAACCGAGCCCTGAGGATGAGAAGCTATTGGCCCATAGTCAAAGAACTCAGTGAGCCAAGATCGTGCCATTGCACTCCAGCAGTCTGGGTGACAGAGACAGACTCCGTCTCACAAAACAGACAAACAAACAAACAAAGAGCTCACAGTGTAAATGCCAGCCCCACTCAGAAGCGAAGGACTTCAGCACCTGCCCTGAAGACAATGTGGCATTTGCCACCTGAGACGTGGGTTCATGTCCTACCACCGCCATGGTGGTGGTGGGGCTGACTGGCACCTTCAGCAAGTCACTGGATCTCAACGAGCCTCCACGTCACTCGAGAAATGCAGCTGCAAGGATACCCCCATGGCCCAGGATCAGGGATAACTAGGACAACAGATTACCCAGAGCCTGCGGCTCGGCCAGTGCCCTAGAAACACAACTGCTATTCAATCAAATGTCTGCCTGTGGGCCCTGCACCCCTCTGAGGGACAGCCCCCTCCCATGGTCTGTGCCCAGACTGGACCCCACAGGGCTGAGCCACAGGGTCTTAGCATCTCAGGCTGGGGATGGCCTGTCTCTGCAGCAGGACGTCTGTGAGTTCAGGAGACGTCAGACAGGCTGCAGGTGCTTCAAGTGCAGCCACACCAGGGCCACTTTCTGCTTTGCTGTAAAGATAAAGGTGAGAACCCATGGTGGCTGCACAGAAAAGAAAAAGCCAAGGCAGGTGGGAAAGGCCAGGCTGTTCCCTCAGCTGGAATGTCCACCTCTAGTCCCCTCAGTGCTTCAGGGTCTCACTGCAGAGCCACCTCCTCCAGGAAGCCTTCCCTAATGCAGATTTCCACCCGTCACCCGTGGACGGCATCTCTTCTCCTCCAGACTCTCTCAACACATCTGCTCCTCTTCAGTGCCTCCTCTGGGTTATTTGAAGCCTTGTGGAGCTGCTGTATGCCTTTCTGCTAATGCATAGTCTGTTCACTGTGCATTGAAGAGTCCTCTCCTCCCCTTCTCTTCCTGACAAACTCTTACTCATCCCTCAATACCCAACTCAACGCTCACCTGCAAAGGGAAGCATGCTCTGTCCTCCATGAGCTCCTGGGCTTCCCCCACCATAAGACGTCCCACTCCTGCCTGGAACTGCCTACGGAAGCTCCTCTCCCCCTGCAGGCCAAGGCATGTTCCCTGCTCATCACCTGTCATGGGTCCTAGCACACAGGAATGGCCTAATAAATGCTTGTTACATGAATGAAGGAAGGACTGGAGCCCATTGGGGCCTCTTTAGCTTCCTCCCTGGCCTGATCAGCACCAGGAGTTTGAAACTGCCCCGTGGGCCTCCCAGGTCACCACAGACAGAGCTGCGGAGATGGGCAGGGGACTGAGCGGGGGCTCAGGACTGGACACATCAAGTGACCCAAGGACTCACCGCAGCTGCCTGGGTATGAGGAGCCTGGGGGTTGTCTCCAGAAGCCCCCAGCTCAGAGGGCTCCTGAGTGCACAGTGGAGGACACAAGCAGCCGACTCTTGTGCTGCTTCCTGTCTCTCTGGAAGGAGCTCCCTGCTCTGCCCAGACAGGACCATGCTCCCTCCCCCGAGCTGTGAACCCTCTGGGGACAATCTGCAGTGTGTCCAATCCAGGGTCCACTGAGTGCCCCAAATCTGTTGCTCCTGGTTGTGTGACTTGTGACCACTTTGTACCCTCTAGGAGCCTCAATTTCCCCATCTGTGAAGGCGAGCAGACTCCAATCCCAGGTCCAGCTGAGGCTGGCAGGAGTCACTGAGGAGCATGTGAGGTGGAGTCACTCTGCGGCCATCCTCCCCGGGGGCTGCCGGCTCTGCTGCCTGCCTCTGGAATTGTTACCAGTTGAGGGTAGTTGTCCAGGTTCTTGGCGTTTTGAACAAAGAATTAGACAAAATGCACAAATAAAGCAAGGCAGCAAAAGTAAAGATTTATTTTAAATGAAAGTACACTCCACAGGGTGGCAGGACACTCAAGCAAGCAGCTCCACGGCCATCAGTTACAAAATTTTCTGGGGTTTAAATACCCTCTAGACTTTTCTCATTGGTTCACTCAAATGAAGTAGTGGCTCACAACCAGTCTGATTGGTTGCATGAGGGGACCAATCAGGATGAAGAGTAGCCCTGCAATCAGTCTGATTGGTTGTGGGAGGGGACCAATCAGAGTGAAGCATAGGCCTGTGACCAGCCTGATTGGTTGCAAGAGGGGACCAATCAGAGGTACTTTCATTTTTCAGCCGCTGTGCAGGAAAAAGAGCAACCTCTGATATCCAGTGAGTGTGAATCAGCCTTAGGTTCCCTGCATGCAGATCCTATTCTCCTACCTCAGAATCACCTCCTGGGGGCCCTGAGGACCAGAACATCTCACCAGCCTTGCTCAAGGCCATACAGGCCAGTGGGAGCTCCAGAACCAGCTCCCCCATCCTGTTCAGGCCATAGCTCAGGTTGTCTCCTGCCAGCCAAGCCCAGACCCCAGCACGCCTATGGGAGACAGTGCTGTCCTCGGGCACCTGGACCAGCCTCAGGCCTGGCACATCCTGGAAGGTGGCTCTGACAGACATCTGCTCCCACACTCGGCCTGTCCAGGGGTATTAAATGGTTGGTAAAGTTTAATACCAAAAGCGGGTTTTAAGTTGATTAAAGTTTATGACCAGTGCCAGCTCCATCATAATCACTCCAATGGCTCCTCCGCCCTCCCCGTCCCCCCCCGCCACCCCGCCCTGCACACAGCTGCATTGCTCTCAGGCCCCGTGCAGGCCACTCATCACCGAAGTGTCCCTGGCAGTCATAAAAGTACAGCCAAGAGGGCGGTGCATCGGCAGACAGAGTAAGTCATGGCCTCCCAGAGTGATTCAAAATACCCCCACTGACTGTTCCCTGGAGAAGGTGTGAAGGTCGCACCTGGAAGATGTTTGAGGAAAAGCTCTGGCATCTGCAGGTGGGGCCCGAGCAGCCTCAGAGCCCCCTTCTGCACACTGCTCTTCCTCACTGCCCCCCACCGAGGACTCAGGCTCACCCCAGCACTGAGACAGGCCCAGCAATGAGACCACCGCAGCCAGGTACCCAGAGGTTTCCCAGGAAGGTGGGCTGTGCCTCCGGGACCCTCCCTCAAGCTTTTGACAAATAGTCATGGGAAGTCCACTCAGAGCTGGGTGCGGGGGCCAGGGGATCAGACCCTGCCCGTTTCCCAGGGGAGCACCAATCCCTGTGGGCAAGGAAGACACCAAGGAAGAAAACCGGAGAGCCAAGTGTTTCAAACTTCCTTGCGTCTGCCGGCTCCGGGGCTCCAGGCATCTCTGGTGCATGTCCACAGCACTCTAATCTCAGCTCCCGGTCACACAACCCCATCCACCATCTTAACTGCCCTTCCCTCCCTCTAACAAGGACCCTTTACAAGGTATGTTTCTCCTCCCAAAATCCTCCAATTAAACACATCGGCAAACAACAGTTTTCCAAATAGCACCCCGTGCACAGGTTCCAGTGATCAGAGTGTGAACATCTCTTGGGGGGCTACTTTCAGTCCCTGACAGTGGGGAGCTGAGAGTTGAGCATGGCTGGTGGGCGCAGGAGGGCCGCTTCCCCAGCTCCTCCGCTGTCACCTCGCTGAGGCTGAGCAGCTCCCTCCATCTGGTTCCAGGAGACACCCCCTCATCATCCAGGCAGCTCTTCTTGACTGGGGCTGGGCCACTCTGCCCCCTCTGCCATGTGGTCCCAATAGCAGGGCTGAAAGTGTCTAAGGACATCCCTGGGGAGGGGCTTCTGGTTCAGGCAGCCCAAGCCTGGCTCCTTTGGGTCACCGGGTGGACAATGGATGGGAAGGCAGAGACAGAGCAGAGCGTGGGCTCCAGGAGGCAGCCCAGGAAGAAACTGGAACATGGGGCATGGGGCGTGGAGGGAAGTGTGGGAAAGGATAGTGGAAGGAGAGGTGGCCGCGGACTGGATGATGGCAGATCCAGGGCCCCTTTGTGCTTCCTGCAGATCTAGGGCTGCTGTCTACTCAGGAGCCTCCATTTCTTCACCTGCCACCAGCTGGGTAATGACACCTGCTCCAAACCACAGCTAAGAGCAGAGCTGACCATAGGCTTGGCCCTGCCAATCCACCCCCACCCCACTGGAAAGCAGACTTGGCCATAGACGACTGGGCTTGGGTGGAGGAAGCCCATGGGGTATGGAACGTGAGAACTGCCGGTCTCTAGTGTTTGGGGCAAGCGTCCCAGTGAACAGGATCCCACTGCCACTGTCCAGCCCTCACCCTGGAGAGCCAAGGCTGCTCTGCTGGGTGCTGCATGGGGCCGCCAGTGTAGACAACCAGGGCAGGTGCCATGGGAGCTGGGGACAGGCTGGCTGCCCACACTCCCCCACAAAAGCCAATAGGGTTGGGGAGGGGGGCTGTGCTGGGTATTCCTGCCACGACTGTGAGCCCTGGGTCTCAGGGGCACCCCCACCCCACTGGGGAGCCCCTGGGACCCTCAGTCCCTGACCTGAGACATGACCCCCAGGTGTCACCCACCCAGCTCCCTGCCCCCGATATGATTTGTCTGTGTTCCCCACCCAAATCTCATCTTCAGTTGTAGTTCCTATAATCCCCACATGTCGTGGGAGGGACCCAGTGGGAGGTAATTGGATCATGGGGGCGGTTACCCTCGTGCTGTTCTTGCGATGGTGAGTGAGTTCTCGCAAATCTGATGGTTTTGTAAGGGGCTTTCCCCCTTTTACTCGGCACTTCTCTCTCCTGCCACCACTTGAAGGAGGACGTGTTTGCTTCCCCTTCGGCCATGATTGTAAGTTTTCTGAGGCCTCCCCAGCCATGCTGCACTGTGAGTCAATTAAACCTCTTTCCTTTATAAGTTACCCAGTCTCGAGTATTTTTCATAGCAGTGTGAGAACAGACTAAGACACTCCTCAAGCATGAGAGTTCAAGGAGACCAGGTCCACTGTCCAGGTCTTGGCCAGGGCACAGTGGACAGTAGGAACTCAATCAGAAAGCTCCAGTCTCTTGCCTCTACCTTGTCCCCAGGTCCTGAAGCCCTTGGTGCAAGTAGGGCCTCCTGTGCACCCTGTGCCCTCCTGTGCACCCTGTGCAGCCATCAGCGTGTCACCAACAGTGCGGTGTTTATGACCAGGACCACCCAGGAGGTTTCTAATTCGGACCACAGCATACTGAGGAAACAGCTTTCTGGCTGAACTACACCTTTCCCCAAAGCCCAGCCCCCTGACCCCCGCAGGGCCGGGGAAGGGCCTGATTGTGCTTCTAGGTTACCACCCTTGCCCCTACCTAGGCCACATACAGCAGGTGGTGTCAGTAAACATCCAGCTGCCGAGGGATCAGGCAGGCCTTTATGGGCCCAGAGTAGCCCCAGCCACCCCATGTCACCTCTCCCTCCACAACTTCCCCCATGCCAAGGTCTTGGATTTTCCAGCTCAAATCATTCATCACCCACTGAGCTCAAATATCCTCCTTACAGATGAGAAGGAGCACACCTGGCCCAAGGTCACCACCAGACTCGCCGGAGGGTCCTCAGCAGTGGTGTGGCCCCAGCATCACTTTCTCATCAGCACACAGCCCACCCCCATGAACTTGAAGAGGCTTCTCTCCCAACTAGAAATGCACAGATAGAATGGGCTGAAAAAGCCAGCCTCACGCAAGGAGAGAATTTCAAGGAATCTGGAAACATAGCTAGTGAGAGCTGGAAGCTGAAGGGGTCAGGCCTACTGGGGGCGAGTCTGTCCAGGAGGCTAGGCTGGGGGACCCCTGAGCTTCCTGCATAGCCCTGAGAAGTTGCTCAGCCTCTGCAGCCTCAGCCTCCTGCAGGATGGGGTGCAGGTGGCACCTGCAGGACAGGATGCAGGTGGAGCTCCAGGGCAAGGCACTCACAGGCTGGCCTGTGATGGGTGCTGGGGGGATCCAGAGGCCCTCCCCTCTTCCTTGTGGGAACTGTATTCTTTCTGGGGGCCCTGACCCAGCAACCACAGCCAGGCCAGCACCTGGATCCAGGGGAGGGGCTTCTCCCCCTAATACTTCTCCACTCTTCCCTACACCCCACCAGGCCAGCAGACTCCAGACCACTCCACCTGGAGTGTCCCAAGGCCACTGTCCCTGAAGCCCTCCCCCACTCCTCACCTTTGTTCTGCCTGGGTGTTTCAGGTGGCTCTGCTTAGGGTTGAGGCCTCCTCACCCCAGCCTACCCCTGCCATCTCTTCCAAGGCTCTCCTGGTCCCATGGTGGGGGCAATGCAGCTGTCAGTGCAGGACAGGGAATGTGAGTCTTTTACTGCTTCACCAGATGGATGGATGAGCAGCACCACGTTCCCAAGACGGCAATCCCAAAACCCCTGTCTCGCAAAACACAAAATCCCAGGAGATGCTACGGAAGAAAGACTCTAGGTCCAAAAGATCTCAGGAAATGCTGCCTCCTACAGCCTCTGCTCTTAGAGAGTCACCACAGGCACAAGCTTGTCAAAGTCCTGCCGCAGAGGCCCCTGCTCAACTGTGTCCAACCCTGAGACCCCCAGACTCCACACACCCACAAGACTCCCAGAGCCCCAGGAGTGTGAGGGGTCCCCAGAACCCCCAACCAGGACCTAGACGACATGAGACAGGTCTGTTGGGTCAGAAACAGCGGCCCGGCGGGGTGCTGCACCGATGGACTCAGCACAAAGCGGCCTTGGTCATGGGGGCCGCAGGCTGCAGATAAAGTGCTTTGACATCCCAGGCCTCACCCCGTGCTTGGTAGCAGGGCAGGGAGCACTAGGCCCCTTTCTCAAGGAGGGGCCCAGCCCGTGGCCACAGTGCAGCCAGGAGAGGAGTTTGCCATCCCCTCTCAAAGTGCAGCCCTGGCCTCACTGAGCAAGCCACATTCTCCCCGCGGTCCTCTATACGCTGCCTCGTCCACTCCCACGTCCCTTCTTGAATCAGCATTCTGTCCATTTCCTCATGGCCTCCCCAGCCCCTCCCGCATACTGAACCTGCAAGCACCATGACTCAGCCAGGCTTCCCAGCTGCTTGGGCTTCCTGGATCTCCAAGGAGGAATGCTAGGAGAATCATTCCTTCCAGAGGTGACTCAGAGGGCAGGCTGATCCCCAAGGTTCTGCCCAGAAACAGAGAGAAAATTACAGCTGCCGCTTTATTAGGGCACATAAACATCCTGCGTGTTTGATGCCCACTGCAACCACACACTGCCATGAAGCAGGCAGGCCGTACTTCTCTCCATCTCCCCATGGGTCCCATTTGAGCCTAGCATGGCCGAGTCATCTATCTAAACAGGCCTCCCCTCTGAGACAGGTCTGTCTGGAGACCAGCCTGTCCAGGTAGCCAATCTCCAGTACTGACCAGGCTGCAAGGGCAGCAGGACTATGGCCAGAAGGAGAAAGACAAGGCAGGGTCCCCCCTGGCCAAGTCCAGCCTCGGACTGCCACCTCCAACCAACCATTCCTGAGGACTTTGATAAGCAGGCAGGTGCAAGGCACTTTCTCAAAGAGGTGCAATCTCATTTAGGGGGAAGCGTTAGTGCCGGATTCCTAGAGGAGAAAGCCATGGTTCAGAGCGTACCTTGCTGCAAGTCACACAGCCAGGAGGTGGGAGAATCAGCTACACGGTGGGCTTCTTAGGAGAAACCAGCGAGGGCTCCGTGCATAACAAACTCCCCCAGCACCACGCTGAGCACATGGCGAATGCTGAATAAACACTGCTGTGGTCACCGCGTGCCTGGCCCCACTCTCGGCACTGCTCCCACTAAGCCTTGTTTCTACCCACATTCAGCCCAGGGAGTCAGGCTATGAATTCAGGCCTTGAAGCTGAGAGAGGCTAAGGCAGGCCCTGATTCCTCCGGCAGGGGCACTTCACGCCCAGCCTGTAAGCTCAGGTCAATCTGACCCACATCCCTGCTGTAAGAGGCTGACCTAGTTCAGGAGAGGAAGTGACCTGGGGTACAGAAGACTCAGCATCCCTCTTGGAGGCCGTGACAGGGAGCTGAACAACTCTCAGGAGTGTCGTGCTGGAGATGTGGAGGCTGGCATTGTCTGTCCTCAAGGGTGGAGCTTTGCTCCTGGGGCATGGGGCCCCCATCTTCCCAGCTGCCCCCGTGCATCCTGAGCGCCTCCTGGGGCTCCCATGACAGCTGGACAGAAGCACTGAGAGGCACAGGCGAGCTTGAGGCTGGAGCCATCGGTGTGCAGGGCAGGGTCAAGAAATCCCTCTCCAAGGAGTCCCCGGGGGTTGCCACCTGGAAGATGGCACAGGTCTTGGCCAAGGGGGGGTTTCCCTTCTATTTCTCCCCACACAGACGATGCCCTCTCAGGCCCTTGAGCCGGGGCACCCCACCCACTTTCCCGCTTTGCCTGCACTCTGGCCCCCTGGCCACCTGCATAGTTGTGCTTCGGGGAGCCCTGTGGCCTGTGATGGGCAGTGAGGTGCTCTGTCCATCTCAAACCTCCCTGTGGTCTTCCAGCAGGAAGCTGGTCTTCACACCCCTGAGCTGCCTTCACGCCCAGCCCTGCCCCTCAGGGCTCCCCTTCCATCACAAATGCCCTCATCCTTTGGTGCTGTCCATGGTGCTGATTGACAGAGCGTCTCTCTTTTCAACTAAGTTTAAAACCGGCCCCAGTGTCTGTCCCTTCCTGCCCCACAGCAAGAGGCGGTGGCCTCCACAACTGCTCTCAGGAATTCTAGAATCAGGGCCTGGTAGCAGCTGTCCCCAGGATCGCTGGACCTCACATCGCAGGGCCTGACCCTCTTTACATGGTCGAAAAGGACGAGCTTGAAAGCAGGACCGCTGACCAGGCGGGGCTTTCGTCCCTCCGGGGGCAGCGTCTGCTGTGGAGTGCGGCCTGCATCTCCGTGACAGGTCGTTATCAGTGAGAGGGCATCAGAGCCTCATCATCTGATCTTCTTAGAAAGCCTTATTCTTCTGCAAAAGGACAGAGAGGTCACATTCATCTTCAAATCCCCAAAGGAGAGGCTACGACCACAGCTTTTCTGGGACAGAATCACGCAATCACCAGGCCTGACCTTGGCACCTGGGGCCATGGCAAGCTTGGAAAGAGGACCCCAGATATCCCCTCAGCACAGCCAACTAAATGCCAGGAGCTTTTGTGTATTAGGCACTTTATGTTTGTGAACTAATTGTAAACTCACAACAAACATACAAATCCTTCCACTTATAGATGGGAGGACTGAAGCTCAGAGAGGTTAGGCAACTTGTCTGAGGTTGCACAGTGGTGACTGGAACGGGGCTTGAACCCAGGCCCCAGGCTCCAATGCTCTTGGAGGTTCTCTATGGTTCTTGTCCCACTGCTGAGAACAAACACAGTGACAAACAGATTGAGAACTGACCACTCTACAGCACCCAGAATGCCACTGACAGAGCCAGAGCTGAAGGAACCTCATGCTCCCTCAGAGACAACCCCCTAGCTCAGACCACAAGGCTGCTAAGTACACCACAGGCCACCCCAAGCCAGAAGATTCCTTCACCCGCCTTCAAGGGCCCAGTATATCCTGCGCCTGAGGCCAGCAGGGATGCCTGTGTCTCTACTAGGAACAGGTAAGAATCTTTGTTTGTGAGCTGATTCAGCTTCAAAGAGATCTCTGGGGGCCAAAGAGGTGGGCCCAGGGCTTCCCAGGCAACCATGGGGAAGAAGGGGAGAGAAAGGGCAATCCCAGAAACAAGGCAGGGAAGGGCTGGGGCGGGGGACAGCAACCACAAGTCACCCAGCATGGCTGGAGCAGGGCAGCCAGGCTCTGGGATTAGAGGTTTGGGACAAACTGAGTTCAACAGACTTCACAGAGCCTGTACCAGGCTGGTAGCAGTGACTCCCCAAGAGCGGCATGGGAGAGGTTGTGGTTCCCAAATACACGTGCCCCCCTCCTTCCCCACCCTCACAGAGCAAAGTCTGGGAAACCTGAGGGGGGACTTCAGGGAGGGGCAAGGCCTGATGGGGGATAAGGCAGAGGCCCTGCCCAGCCTGTCATCCAAGGCCCTCCAAGTCCAGTCTGAGGATGAGGGCACAGGGAGCTGTGGGTGACTCCAAGGAGAAGAGGACCCTGATATGATTTCCAGAGAACAGAGAAAAACACTGCAGAGCATGGGCTGAGTGAGATGAGCTCATGGGCCTCAGATCGGGGGCAGGAAAGGGCAAGGGGAAGAGAGTCAGTCAGCCAGTGAGAGCAGCTGGAAGTCTCATGAGGCCGTGAACCCACATGCCTTTAGATGGTACAGGGCTGGTGATAGGGAGCCATTGAAGGTTTTAGAGCAGGGAGAGACGGCATCAGGGTGGAGGTTTGAGAAGCAGCATCTGATTGTGATGGGGGAAAGGTGAGGCCTGAGGCAGGGGCCTAGCGAGGGGGCTGAAGCAGCTGTCTTTGCAAAGGACTTTGAGGCCAGAGGGACTGCCCAGATTGGGGTCACACTCCAGGCAGGCCACACTGTTGTCAGGAGATGCTGGGGCTGCCTGCCAGGCAAGGCCTGGAAAGCCCTAACTGTGCACCACTGGCCCCTCAGCTGCAGCTCCTGGGGACCATTAACCTGGCCACGCAAACTCTTGAGGGGGCAGCTGGACTCAGTGGGCCAGAGTTTGGCCTCGCCATGGAAGGTCAAGAGCGAGGTGGGAGTCAGGGACCCTCTCACCCAGAAACACAAACCCCATTATTCTCCTCTGCTCCTATTTGCACCCCCTATCCTTTATGAACAGAGCTCTAGACCAAAAGCTGGGAGACCTGGGATCAAGTCCAGCCCCTTCCTGACCAACTGGGCCCCGGGTGCATCACCCAACCTTTCTGAACTGCAGTTTGCTCATCTCATGAAGAAAGGTTGCTCAGCTGCCTCAGAGCATGTGATCTTGCACCACGCCTTGAGGGTGGGAGCACTCAATAAATAACTGCTTTCCTGCTCCTGGCTCAGTCTACCCACCTGCAGAATGGGAGTAATCTCCAAGTCCAGCCTGTCTTCTCTCCTGGAAGGTGTCATCATAACTTCCAATCCATCACCACCACAGGCCTTTGCACACACCGGCCTCTCCTGCAGGAATGCCCACCTCTCCTTGTTTACCACAACAACCTGGGTTAATCTTCACAGCCCCTGAACAGAAACAGCTTTTCCTCCTCCCAGCTCCCTGGGCGCTGTGTCCCCCTCAGCCCCCATCACTGCTCTGACTACATTGGGTTTCAAGGATTTGTGCCCAGATCAGTTGCTCTAGGAACAAGGGAAAGGCATCTTTCATCCATGGTGTGTAATAGAACCTTCCAGAAGGAACGCCAAACACACCTTTGGGAGTCAGTGATTGTCCACCCCAAGAAGGGTTTCACATGTGTTACTTTATGTTGAATATTCTCTCCGATTTCCTTTTCTTAACTAGAATCTGTGCTGGGATCACACAGATCCTTCTATCAGGCTGTACTATTTTTAAATGCAAAGGATAAATTTAGAAGTTACATGTGTGTCTCATGCTAACATGGCACTCCCTGACAATATGGCCAGCACTGTTTTAAATGCTTGACTTGAATTAACTCTTTTAATCCCCCACAACAATCCTGACAGGGGAGGTATCATAACGATCTCCATCTTAGAGATGAGGAATCTGAGGCACAGAGAGATGAAGTGCCTTGCCCAAAATGGGGAAGTGAGTCCTTCCCTACTCCCCAAGGAGTAGTTACCTCACCAACTTGGCCCCCAGTTCCACAGCCCACCCCACACCTCAGCTGGCTACAGCACAGAGCTTGGGGATAGGGGGGTGGTGTTTCCTGCCACTGACCCCTCACCTGCCTGGGAGGGCCTCCAGTTCAGGGCCCATGTGGATGATTCATCCTTGGATCCCCAGGGGCTGACACAAATAGAAACTTGGTGGATACTTACAGAAGGGATGAGAGCTTGCCAGATGGATAAACTGGTGGATGGATGGATGAATGAGGTTGGAGGGGTGGATGAATGGATGGACAGACAGATGGATGGATAAATTGATTTATCTGGATGAATAAACTGGTGAATGGGTGGATGGATGAACAGATGAATTGGTGGATGGATAGATTGGATGGATGGATGGATGGATGGATGGATGGATGGATGGATGGATGGATGGGTGGATGGATGGATGCTTAGAATGAAGGATTGGATTGGGTCCAGCTGGAGTGCTACATGGGTAGGGCCAGCCCCTGCAAAGCCCTGGCACCCAGTGGGTGCTGTGTGCATGTGTGTGAGCATGTATGAGCAGGTGAGGTAGAGTAAGTGCAGGAATTAATCACACCGGCATCCCCTGGGCCCTTTATTAATCATGCAGGGATGATTTGCTCCTGCGTCTCTCATACACGGCCGTCATTTCCGTCATTAAGAGCAACATCAATCATGATGCCAGGCACGTTTCCCTGTGGGAGGCCAGCCAGGGGGCACCAGCCAGTTCCCTCAACTGGGCACCATCTTGGCCACCGCATTGGGCTGTGTCCTGGGCCCCTGTAAGCAGTGAGGAAACTGAGGTAGGGAGGGGTTTGGCTGGTGACCCCTGATGAGCAAGGCCTGGGTCTGGGTCACCCCACTGTGACCCCCATGCCTGCCTGCAGCCGGGCATGCCTGTGCATGTGTGCACACATGTGAGGTGGATGTGTGTGCGCTCATAAGCTTGTGTCAGAACACGTGGACAGGGCAGCTGCATGCCATGTGGCCTGTGCATTCACATGGGGCCCGAGCTCTCCAGGCCTGCTGCTTGGTTTAATGCTCTGCTGTTGCCGTCGTGGAATGATTAATAACTTTTTAACAATGGGCTCTGAGTTTTCATTTTGGAGTGAGCCCCAAAATTCCACGGGAGGCTACAGTCAGGGGCACCTGGTATCAAATGCCACCTACCTCAAGTAGCGTGGCCTCCTGTGGGGCACCAGCCTCTCCCGCTGTCTCTGCTGCTGAAATGGGTGCAGTGCTGTGCAGAAGAAGCCCCTAACACTCGACCAAGTTCTGGCCAGTCACAGGCTGCAGAATCAGTGTCTTCCCCTGCTTGCCACCCTCTTCACCCACCCGCTGGGCCCCGTGCACAGTCCCTGGCTCCATCAGTGTGCCAGGAGAGAGCAGTGTGTCCGGGAATAACAGATAACGCCATTAGGGAGGCAGAGCGGCTCCATCCTTCCGAGGAGAGAAATGAGGCTGTCAGGTGGCGGGGGGACCCAGGCCTCCAGGTCATGATTAACGGGATCTGGCGGCCCACACGCTGCGGCAGAGGGTGCCAGGGGATGATTGCTTACAAAATGTACCAATTACCTCCACGCCTTCCCTCCCGCCCCCGCTGCCAGGCAAATAAACACATCAGCTGCCAGCCTGCTCCAGCCTGGGCTTGGAGAGGGCCCAGCAGCCAGTGGGCATGGTGGGAGGGGCTGGAAATGTCACATTGGAGGGTGCAGGAGGAACACCCTGTCCCCACAAACCTGGGCAGCCGATGGGACAGTCAGTTGGTACAGGAGGTGGCATCATTGCCCAGGGAAATGTTTAATGTTTAAGCAGGGATACGGGAAAAGACCGAAGGCCTGCCCAAAAAGCTTCATTGAGGCCAGGCACAGTGGCTCACGCCTGTAATCCCAACACCTTGGGAGGCTAAGGCAGGAGGATCACTGGAGTCCAGGAATTTGAGGCTGCAGTGAGCTATGATTGTGCCAATGCTCTCCAGCCTGGGTGACACAGTGAGACCCTATCTCTAAAAAACAAAACAAAACCATAAAAACCTCACTGAAAGGGCTGCTGAGGCTGGGTGCACCAAGCTGTGCACACATAACAGGCAAACTCAGGGCCACTCCAGGCTTCCTGCCAGCTCTCCAGAGCCACCGGCTGTGTCCCACACGAGGTGTATGTGTCTGTGTGCTCATGCTTGTGTCTGGACATGCACTGCATGTGGCTGTGGAGGTCCACGTTCTAATGTTCGTGTATCTGCGTCCGTGTGCCTGTCGGGTTCATGGGATGCGTGTGCATATAGCCACGCCTGTGTGTGGCATATGCATCTGTGGACCTGCATCTGTGCATGTATCTGGGTCCCTGTGTGTGTGTGCTGTGTGTGTGCAAATGTGGTGTACCTACATCCATGAGTGTGCCTAGGTGTCCGTGTGTGTGTGTGTGTGTGCTGTGTGTACATATGTGGTGTATCTGCATCTGTGCATGTATCTGGGTGCCTGTGTGTGTGCTGTGTGTGTGTATGTGGTGTGCCTACATCCATGCATGTATCTGGATCCCTGTGTGTGTGCTGTGGATGCATATGAAGGCACAAGTGCACTCTCCACACCCCAGTCCAGACCAGCATGAATGGGCAAAGGGAGGTGCTGGTGAGGTCAGGAGCCTCCTCGGGGCACCTGGCCTTCATCTGGAGGACAGTGGCCAGGGTCAGACTAGAAGGAGGCTGGGAATTTTACTGCGGGAGGGCCTGGGGCAGCAGCATGGCCATCCAGGGCCTCCATGGGCACAGCCAGGAGCAGGGACACGAGCGTAGCTTGGCTCAGCCCAAGGAGGGACTTTCTCACAGGCTCACAGTGTGCACAAGGCAATGGGTTGTCCGCAAGGTGGTGAGCCTCCTGGCCCTGGAGGTGTGCAAGCAGGTTACCTCCCTTTCCAAACAAGCCTGTCATTTAGGACACTGAGAGGCTCCTCCCTTGAGGGGGATGGGCCAGAACAATGAAAGAAGCTGAGGGAGAAGAGCAAAGAGAGGCAGGGCCCCGAATCACACACGCATGCACACACACACAGGCTCGCATGCACGTGTCTGTTCACCTCCAGGCCCTAGAGACAGCCCCCAGTGACTTCATGACGTTCCGACATCGACACTGGTACATTCTCAGACACAATCTGGGCTTCTGCAGGGACAGGGAATTTACTCCCGCTGACAGACATGGAGCAAGAACCTTTCAGGTTGATGCCAATTCTGGCCTCACTGCTGCGAATTGGCCGACAGTAGGCTGGTCACACACCCTCAGTTTCCAGTCTTGGAAAACGCAATCATAGCTGCAGCCTTGGCATCAGTCCCTCCTCCCTGGAAAGCCAGTCGCCGCCCACCATCAGCCATGCCCGATATGGGCATGGACTTCTGGGTACTGCCCGGCCGACCCTCGCAGCCCCTAGTGTTACGGCTCGTGCACTCGAGTCCCTCTTCCCCTGGCTCCCTCCCTCCTCCCCTGCCCTCCATCTGGCTCCCTCCTGGGAGGAGGACAGAGGCCTCAGATTCCACCTGGGGCTGGAGGACGCTGACGGTTCAGACCCCAGAGAGCACCCTGCCCTCAGCACAGAGCCTGGCACGTGGCCACATCCAGTGCCTGCCTCCCTGTGTCCCCTGAAAGGCAGCTGTTACATTTTTGGACTCTGTCTCCACTCAAAGATGCCCCCCTTCCTGCCTCCTAGCCCGGAACCACACACCCCTGCACCCCGCCCACCCCACCCCCTCTCCTGCATTTTCAGTGCACAGCAGAGCTGGGTAGAGGCACTTGTGGCGGCCCCACAAGGATGAGGTGGCCAGTCGGCCATTCACCAGGGGTGGCCTTCCACTGTCCAGCCCCCATGCCAGCCACCAACACTGTCACAGGAAGGCCCGCTGGGCTGCATGGTGGGACCTGAGCTCACTCGGGTCATCCCCAGCTCCAGCAGACATTCCAGGCCTGGGGCATGGAGATCAAGTCTGAGGATGTCGCCCCTGACCTCCCAAGCCTGGGACTCGTGTCCTGCCAGCACCTGCTCCTGGGATCCACGTGCCTCCAAATACCCACCTCACTGGCCAGCACTTGAGTGTGTCCAACTCCAGGCCAGCTAAGAGCAAGCCCCTTAGCTCTTGCTGCCAAGTCATGACAGGAAAGTGAGCCTGCCTGGGAGCCATGCTCACACTTGCCAGGGCAGAAGGAGAGGATGCGGGGGCAGAGGTGAGGGAGTGAGGGTGTGGGGATGAGTCCCAGCCCCTGCGCCTCACGCTGAGCAGCTCTGCTGGGCTGCCTGTCCTCTCTGAGCCTCGGTCTCCACTGGCTGCTCGTGAACAGTATGCCTGTTCCCTGGCTCAGCTATGAAGGGTGTGGCCCGTTCCCTGCCCTGAACAGGAGTGACCTCTCACTGCCTCTCAGCCCAGCCAAGTCCTAACCACCCTGCGGGCCACTGCCTAGGTGTCCCCACTCCCAGGAAGCCCTCCCTGACTGGTCCTGCTGTGGCCATCTTTCCCTCTGCCAGGCACAACTTCTCTCTGCCTAATGTTCTCGGCACACAGAGGCCAGGGCCTGGGACGGAGTTGGGATTTTCATTCCAGCCTTGATCATGTGGTAAAGGTCCTGAGTAAGGCCTCTAATTTCCTGAGCCTCAGTCTCCTCATCTAGAAAATGGGGACGGTCATATCAAGAGCTTGCACTTGCTGGGCTCTCATTGCCCATCCCAGGCACCATGAAAGCCTGTGGCCTGCACTTCCCCCTTTCAGCCTCACACCAGCACTGTGGGGTGGGTACTGTTACCAACATGCTTTATGCATGGGGAGACCAGAGCTCAGAGAGGTCAAGACACCTGCCTGAGGTCACACAGCTGGTCCGTGGAGAAGCCAGGGCTCTGCTACCCAGGTCTGCCTGACCTTGCCCCACAGCCTCCATCCGATGCTCTTGCTGAGGGCACCACATGGCTGTGGAAAGGGTAAGTGAGGTGGTGAGCTCAAATGCCCTTTGAAGACCAACCTCCGGGCGACTGTCAGCTGCAATGCCTCTCTCTGGCCCCCAAGCCAGACGAGCCATCTGAGGCGCAGGACGAGGTCTCTGATCCCAGCCCCAGCCCTGCTCCCAGCACAGGGCCCAGGAAGCGAGAGGCCTTATTCAGCAGCATCACCAGCACCGCGAGAAGGTGAGAGGGGCACATGGGAGGGGTAGAGCCCATTTAGGGAGCACCTGCTAAGTGTAAATACGTCCCGACGGCTGACCTAATTTATCTCTAATGACCCCAGAAATCCTGTGCGGGAGAAATGGGACGCCCTGTGATGGTTTATTTATGTGTCAACCCGACCGGGCTAAGGGGTGGCCTGGCTTGGGGTCCAGAGAGAGGCATGACAGCAGATAGTCGCCCAGAAGTTGGTCTTTGAAGGGCATTTGTGCTCATCACATCACTTACCCTTTCCGCAGCCATGTGGTGCCGTCGGCAAGAGCATCGGATGATGGCAAGATCAGGCGGACCTGGGTAGCAGAGCCCCGGCTTCTCCACAGGCCAGCTGTGCGACCTCAGGCAGGTGGCTTGACCTCTCTGAGCTCTGGTCTCCCCTTGTATAAAACGTGTTGGGAACAGTACCCACCCCACAGTGTCAGTGTGAAACTGAAAGGGGGAAGCGCAGGCCACAGACTTGCGTGGCACCTGGGATGGGCAATGAGTGCCCAGTGCCTAGGGCATTTGTGCTCCTCGTGGACACACCTTCAACACCATGAAGAAAACATGATTTCTGGGTATATGTTTGGAAGTTAGCACTCAGGGCTCTCAGGCCTTCAGACCTGGGCTGGGCCTTACACTCTCAGCTCCCCTGGGTCCTGGGCTTACAGATGGTGGACCGTGAGATTTCTCAGGCTCCATGATGGTGTGAGCCAAACCCCCACAATAAAGCTCTCTTGATGGATCCAGCAGTCTATCTACATAACGCCTACTGGTTCTGTTTGTCTGGAGAGCCCTGACTAACATCCACCTGAAGGCAGAGAAGCCCAGGTCAGCGACATCAACAGGACATTGAGCCGTGAGCCAGCCGTGCAGGCCCACACAGGAACCTGAGTCTCACAGAGCCCCCACAGGCTGGCACGCCCACGTGGGGCAGAGCTGGGCACCCCCATGGGCAGGCTGTGCCAGAGCCCAGGATCCCCAGGGCCCTCGCACGTTGGCCGGGTGTAATCGCATCTGGTCTCAGGGCTTTATCTCCCTCCAGCACCTTGCAGCCCCTCCCCGGCAGGCCTGGCACCCGCCTCCCTCCACTTAACCCGGCACAGGCACCCCTGACTGCTCAATAGCTAGAAATGAATTTACAGCGGGGAGAGGCAGCGGTTTGTGGGTCCTGGAGATGGGACATTTATCTTGTTTGACTGTTCTTGGAATGTCAACAATAAATGCCAAGATGAACAATGAATAAAAATATTCCCAGAAATAACGGGAGAGCAGCTCTCCCCAGACAGACACATGAATGTGGGGATGGGGTCTCGGGGATTGGGCCAGTGGGAGTTCTCAGCCCAAGCGCCCCAGTGGACAGACATGCCCCTTTTATGTCCAGACCACAGGGATCTCAAAGATGAGACAGGAGGCAACGGGGTGATGGCAAGGAGGGAGGGACCCAGGAAGCCACCAGCGGAGGCAGGAGGTGCTGGATGAACCGCAGCTCTCTCACACCGCAGCTCAGCATCCGGCCTCCCTGGCTGCCCTCCAGGGTCTCCAACAGGTTTAAGTGTCAGTTTCCCAGAGCAGTGGCCAACTGGGCCACACGCCCCCAATGGGCTGCCCTCCCTTCCTGGTGTCACCCCTGTTCTGGGTTGAATCGTGCCCCCAGGCAGTTCACATCACCAGAACCTGTGAATGTGAATTTATTTGGAAATAGGGTCTATGCAGGCGTCACTAAGATGAGGTAGCGCTGGATTCATGTGAGCCCTAATCCAATAGGATGGGTCTTCATATGGAAAAGAAACTTGGGGCCAGGTGCAGTGGCTCACGCCTGTAATCCCAACATTTTGTGAGGCTGAAGCAGGCAGATACCTGAGGTCAGGAGTTCAAGACCAGCCTGGCCAACATGGTAAAACCCAAACTCTACTAAAAAAATAAAATAAAATACAAAAAAATTAGCCAGGTTTGGTAGCATGCACCTGTAGTCCCAGCTACTCAGGAGGCTGAGGCAGGAGAATCACCTGAACCTCAAAGGCAGAGAGGTTCAGTGAGCCAAGATCACACCACTGCACTCCAGCCTGGGTGACAGAGCCAGACTCTGTTTCAAAAAAAAAGAACAAAAAACATGGATGCAGGCACAGAGGGACGACAGCTGTGAGACGATGAAAGCAGACTGGGGGATGCGGCCACAAGCCAAGGAATGCCTGGCGCCACTGGCAGCTGGAAGAGGCAGGAAGGAGCCTCCCTGGGAGCCTCGGAGAGAGGGGGCCCTGCCAGCACCTGGATCTCAGGCTTCAGCCTCCAGAGCGGTGAGACAGTCCACGTTTGCAGTTTAAGGTGCCAACTTTGTGGAATTTTGTTACGGCCACCTGAAGACTATATGCCCTGCATCCCTGGCCAGCTCCCAGAGGACCTGCACCCTTCTCCCTGTCTCAAAATCTTCAGTGGGGCCTCAAATTAAGACAAAACTTCAACAGCATCCCTCCTGCACCACGGTCAAGACAACCCTGGGAGACTCAGTGGCCTGGGCCGGGCCCCCTCGCAAGCTTTGGAGGGAAACTGGCGAGATTTAAGCCTCAGCCCCACCAACACTAACTGCAGGACACTGGCCAGTGCCAAGCTCATGGAGCCTGGGGTCCTGGGCCAGCCTGCTGTGGGTAGGAGGCCCACCTGGAAGGAAACTCGAGGCAATCCCATGGAATGACCCAGGAAAAGCAGCAACTGGCAGTTCCCTGTCCCCCCAGGCTTCTGTCATTCTACCTCCTATATGGTCTCCATCAGCCTCCATTCTCTGTCCCCTCCCAAGCTTCTCTGTCCCTCCTGGCCTCAGCCCAACTCTCACCCTACACTGGGAGGGTGATTGTATTAGTCCATTTTCATACTGCTCTGAAGAAATACTCAAGATTGGGTAATTTATAAAGAAAAAGAGGTTTAATGGACTCACAGTTCCACATAGCTGGGGAGGCCTCACAATTGTGACAGAAGGCGAAGGAGGAGAAAAGGCATATCTTACATGGTGGCAGGCAAGAGAGAATCTGCAGGGAACTTCCCTTTATACCACCATCAAATCTCATGAGACTTATTCACTATCGGGAGAACAGCCCAGGAAAAACCTGACCCCATGATTCAATTACCTCCCATGACATGTGGGGATTATGGAGCTACAATTCAAGATGAGACTGGGTGGGGACACAGCAAAACCATACCAGTGATTTTTCTCTAAATGCCTGTCAAATCAAGCCACATGCCTTCCCAGGGCCCCCCAGGGCTCCACTGCTCCAGTGCCCAAGTCCCCACATCAAAGACCTTCAGCAAGAGTCCAACCCTCCTTTCTAGTCTTTCCTTTAACAAGCCTTTAACACATGGACATGCCTCCAATGCCATGCACACTCTTTCAGTATTGTGCATAGGCCTCCAACAGATGGACACACTTTCAATGGCATGGACACACCTCCAATGCAATGGACATGCCTTCAACGGGATGAATACACCTCCAACGTGATGGACATGCCTCCAACGGTGTGGATACACCTCCAACACCATGGATACACCTCCAATGCCATGAACATACCTCCAACACCATGGACACACCTTCAACACCATGACACACCTCCAACACCATGGACACACCTCCAACACCATGACATACCTCCAACACCATGGACACACCTCCAACACCATGACACACCTCCAACACCATGGACACACCTCCAACACCACGACACACCTTCAACACCATGGACACACCTTCAACACCATGAACCACCTTTAACACCATGACACACCTCCAACACCATGACACACCTTCAACATCATGACACACTTTTAACACCGTGAACATGCCTTCAATGCCATGAGAATGCCTCCAACACCATGGACACGCCTCCAACACCATGGACATGCCTTCAACAACATGGACACACCTCCAACACCACAACACATCTTTAACACCATGACACAACTTCAACACCATGGACATGCCTCCAACACTATGACACACCTTCAACACCATGAACATGCCTTCAATGCCATGGGCATGCCTGCAGTGCCATGGACTTGCCTCCAGCACCATGGACACACCTCCAACACCACGGACATGCCTCCAACACCATGGACACACCTCCAACACCACGACACACGTCCAACACCATGGACACACCTCAGCTTCTGCCCAGACAGGAGTTTCTCTCCCCTCCTGGCCCCTCTGTGGTTCCATTTTCCTCCTCCATTTCTCTCAACAAAGCTCTACCTTCCCTCTCTGCCTCCCTTCCCTGGAACCTGGAGGTCTGAAGGTGGCCACTCCTCTGCCTCGTGCCTTCTGAGCAGGCAGGTGCACAGTTCCAAGTCCAGTGAGACCTGACCACACTGGAGACCAGGCAGTGAAAGCCACCACCCCTCCTCCAAGTGCAGTGTTCAGCCTCCATTACGTCCTCTGCCTGCTTCTCTTCTTGCGTGCAGGCGCTGTCTGTCTCTCTCTTTCTCTCTCTCTCTCTCTCTCTCTCTCTCTCTCTCTCTCTCTCTCAAGTTTAAAGGCAAAATAAAAGTAATCTTAGCCAGCAGGACTAAGATTTGGGCCTTCTCTGTAGAGATGTTGGTGGCCTGGTTCTCTCTGCAGACCTGCCCGACCCTGCATAATACTTGGTGCTCAGGGCCTGAGGAGCTGTGTGATGTAATCCCTTCCTGGCCAGCAGCCCTCAGGCCCCCTGTCCCTGTGCCTGAGCTCCCTCACCTCTCCCTGCTTCTATTCCAGGAGCCTCCCCTCTCTCACTCTTCCCCCAGCCTCACCACAGCCAGGTCAGGAGTGTCTAAATTACTTATGTGTGTTTAACCATTACAACAACCAATGAGTTTGGAGTCTAATATTTTTAATCCTTATTTTTCAGATGAGGAATCAGCCTCAGGGACATTACGAGATGCAGGGTTTTGCATCCAGGTTTCTCTGTCTCCAAAGTTTGTTCTCTTAACCACCTCACCATAGGGAGTCTGATGTCCCTCTCATAAGGATGAGCCAAGCAGTGGTGGTGATGAATCGAGTGTGTCAGTTCCTGTCGTGGTATAACCATCACGCCAAAAACTAAGCAGCTTCAAGCAGTGACATTCTGTGTTCACAATCCTGAGTTGGTCGTTTGAACAGGGCTCAGCTGGGATGGGTCCTCTGCTCCACAGGATGCTGTCTGGGCTCACACGAGCCTTTGCAGTTTGCTGGCCTCACCTGCACATCTGACAGGAGCAGTGGGGATGGCTTGGCCGTGTGTGTGCCTCATATGGTGCGACGGCCCCGCTGCCACTGCTAGAATCCAGTCCCTCACTGGCCCGCTCCATCTCACATGCCAAAGACCTCAGTGCTGATAGATCGGGGAAGAGCCTGGACCTGGAGCCAAAGTCCCAAAGCCTCAGAGCAAAAAGGACCTTGGCAAAGCCCGAGGCAGCCTGCCCCATGCTACACAGGACAAGCCCAGGCTGAGAACTCAGGGGTTTGCTCAATGCACAGAGAAGCCTTGGCTCTAAGCTGGCTAGCTCTAAGCCACTTCCTCAGGACACCTCCTCCAGGAAGCCCTTCCTGATCTATCTGTCAGTTCTCAGTGCCCATCTGTGAAGAGGTAACGGTACCTGAAGGGCCAACCAGTGCCTGTCCCCTGCGTGTTCGGCCTGACAGCCTAACCTACCCAGGTCCACCCTCGGCCTGTGGGCAGGGCCGTCTCCGCTGTCCAGTGCCACTGTCCACATCTGCAAAATGCATGTGCTACCCTCCGCTGCTGGACCCCTGGCTGCTATGAGGACTCTATAAAATGAGATGAGAGATACGAAAGCTTTTTGTACAGTGATGGTGAAGACAGTGAGGAAGAGTATGATGAAGAGAGCTCTGGAAGGTTAAGCCGAGTCCCCTTGATGCCTGGGGGATGCTCCCAGCTGGGCGGCTGTTGCTGAGTCGGCATCTACCCTGCTTTGCAGCGCCTGTGTGGGCAGCTTAGCCCTAGAGTGAATATCTGGAGCATATGGAAAGATATGTGCACTGTGTGTATGTCAGCATTCACTGAGCATTCACAATTGCTCACAGGTGGGTGCACACTCACACAAACTCATGCACACACACCATTCACTATTAGACTAAAATCAGCCTACACAGATCAAGACGGCACTGGGCAGCAGGAAGTTCCACTGTTCACACTTAGCACCGCTAGCATCAGGCCAGAGTTATGAGCAAGCATTTGGGACAGGAAGCTGAGGCCAGCTGCCCTTCCAAGCTGCCCAGAGCAAGAGATGGGAGGGCTGAGGGACCCTTGGTAAGTGCTCAGGCAGTGTTTGTTGAGTGACTGAATGACTGAGTCTCCTTGAGTCCCGGTGAGCTTCAGATAGCCCAGCCAGGGCCACACGCCCTCCCTATGGACAGTAGAGCCACCATGCCACACGGGTCAAGGCACCAGTGTCCCTTCTGCCCCTAAGGAACTGGCAGGTTCGGGGGTACAGTAGGGGAATTGAGGGGTGCCTGGAGAAGCAAGGCACAGCAGGAGGGGAGGGGGCTCCTGGGGACTGTGAAAGGTGCTTTCTGCTACTGGCCCTCCACCTGTTCTGAGTAATTGTGTGCAGGGTCGCCCTCGAGCAAGGAAAATGCAAGAAGCAATTCTGTGTCTCCTGTCAAAATGGGAAGAGGTTAAGTGAATGAGTAGTGGAAGATCCAACCTGGCAACCACTTAGGTTTGGTGCTTTTTCGGAAATCGGGAAGGGCGTCTCAGTTGCTGTTCCCACAGGAGAGTAGCAGGCATCTCGCACAGCCAAGAGCTGGGCTGAGACTCTCAAGGACACTGGAGGGAGGCCCAGGGACCAGAATGAGGCAAAGAGAGGCAGAGAAACTGCTCAGAGAGGGAGGGGGAAGGAGCCAGACTTGGGGCCTCATGAGCAGGAGGTGGAGCTGGCCGGGTCTGGAAGGGATGGGGCTGGCGCTGCGTCTCCTGGCATCCCAGCTCAGGACAGCTGAGGTGGGCATGGCAGGGCCAGACTGCAGGGAAACTGGTGCCTGCAGGAGGGACATGGGCCAGGGTAGGGCGGAAGGGGATGGGGCCGAGCATGGAGGTCGGGGGGTGGGGGGCAGGCATGGCTCCACCTGCAGTTGGGGGCATGAGGGGGTCGGGGGCTCTGCCACCTCTGCTGCACTCCCTTCATGTGGCATGTAGCCACTGAGGGAGCGGGACCGACTGTGCCTCCGTGCTAGGCCTGGGTGTGCCCAGCACATAAAGGAGCAACTCTGCAGGCAGCCCCTGCTCAGGATGGCCAGGGAACTAAGGTCCTCTAGAGGGGCGCCAGCCCAGCCCCCAGACAGACCCCAGCCCACCAGGCGGAAGCGCCCCGGCCCCCAGACAGACCCCAGCCCACCAGGCGGAAGCGCCCCGGCCCCCAGAGAGACCCCAGCCCACCAGGCAGAAGCGCCCCGGCTCCCAGACAGACCCCAGCCCACCAGGCAGAAGCGCCCCGGCCCCCAGACAGACCCCAGCCCACCAGGCGGAAGCGCCCCGGCTCCCAGACAGACCCCAGCCCACCAGGCGGAAGCACCCCGGCCCCCAGAGAGACCCCTGCCCACCAGGCAGAAGCGCCCCGGCCCCCAGAGAGACCCCAGCCCACCAGGCGGAAGCGCCCCGGCTCCCAGACAGACCCCAGCCCACCAGGCGGAAGCACCCCGGCCCCCAGAGAGACCCCTGCCCACCAGGCAGAAGCGCCCCGGCTCCCAGAGAGACCCCAGCCCACCAGGCAGAAGCGCCCCGGCCCCCAGAGAGACCCCAGCCCACCAGGCAGAAGCGCCCCGGCTCCCAGACAGACCCCAGCCCACCAGGCGGAAGCGCCCCGGCCCCCAGAGAGACCCCAGCCCACCAGGCGGAAGCGCCCCGGCCCCCAGACAGACCCCAGCCCACCAGGCGGAAGCGCCCCGGCCCCCAGAGAGACCCCAGCCCACCAGGCAGAAGCGCCCCAGCCCCCAGAGAGACCCCAGCCCACCAGGCAGAAGCGCCCCGGCCCCCAGAGAGACCCCAGCCCACCAGGCGGAAGCGCCCCGGCCCCCAGAGAGACCCCAGCCCACCAGGCGGAAGCGCCCCGGCCCCCAGAGAGACCCCAGCCCACCAGGCAGAAGCGCCCCGGCTCCCAGACAGACCCCAGCCCACCAGGCAGAAGCGCCCCGGCCCCCAGAGAGACCCCAGCCCACCAGGCGGAAGCGCCCCGGCCCCCAGACAGACCCCAGCCCACCAGGCGGAAGAGCCCCGGCTCCCAGACAGACCCCAGCCCACCAGGCGGAAGCGCCCCGGCTCCCAGACAGACCCCAGCCCACCAGGCAGAAGCGCCCCGGCTCCCAGACAGACCCCTGCCCACCAGGCAGAAGCGCCCCGGCTCCCAGACAGACCCCTGCCCACCAGGCAGAAGCGCCCCGGCTCCCAGACAGACCCCTGCCCACCAGGCAGAAGCGCCCCGGCTCCCAGACAGACCCCTGCCCACCAGGCGGAAGCACCCCTGGCCCCTGCTCCCTCTGCTGCATGTGCTTTTGCGGCACTAGCCTTGCTGAGGAGTCCTTAGCCTGGAATCTGCCTGACGGTGGCCATCCTCCTCCCTGCTCACCTGGTTTGTCTTCTGATGTCCACCCCGACCCACTGGATCACCGTGCTTGGCAGATACAGGCCCAGCTCTGGGCCCGTGGGGAGCTGACGGGCCTGACTGTGAAGGGTGGCTCAGGACATGGGTTCCAGCTGGGAGTGGCCCACCCAGCACTGAGCACATGCAGGAGAGACGACGTGGAGCCCTGGGGGCAGTGACGCCTGCCGGGGACTCACAGGGTACGCCTGTGTCAGCAGGTGGTAAGGGAAAGCATCAGAAGAAGGCTGGGTGCCTGGGGCAGGATGACCCATGTCATGGGGCTGCAGAGGACAGGCCTGGGCTGCCCGTGAGGCCTGAGGACTCCTTGGGGACAGCTGGGCTGGGCCAGTCCACTGAGTGACAGGAGGAACAGTGCCCTCCACTATGAGGCCTCCTGGGCCGAGCAGAGGGGTGGAGCCTCAAGCGGGTGGGCTGGCTCAGGAAGACACCCATTGCTCCTCAGTGGCAGCTGCGGGGTACACGGGTGCTGGGACCCTGACTGCTGGGCTGGGCTGAGCTGCCTGCGGAGACAAGAGGCCCGCCGCCCAGCGACCCCAGGCTCTACCTTCTGTCCTGGAGACCCTGGTTCTGAGCCACACACCGCAGCCAAGGCCCTGGCCAGTGGTTCTGAGCCACACACCACAGCCAAGGCCACTGTGGCAAGTGGTTCGGAGCCACACACCACAGCCAAGTCCACCGTGGCCAGTGGTTCTCAGCCACACACCACAGCCAAGGCCACTGTGGCAAGTGGTTCGGAGCCACACACCGCAGCCAAGGCCACCGTGGCCAGTGGTTCTGAGCCACACACCACAGCCAAGGCCACCGTGGCCAGTGGTTCTGAGCCACACACCGCAGCCAAGGCCAACGTGGCCAGTGGCGAACAGCCTAGGACATAGAGGTGGGGGCTTTCCAGGTTGAGGCACACCCAGCCAAGCAGTAGGCCAGGGGACAAGCCAGGAAGGCAGGACTCATCCCCAAGTCCCCAGGGGCCCAGTCCAGGGAGGAAACGGAGGTACAGTCGGTCCTGCTCCCTCGGGGGCCACATGCCATAAGAAGGAAGCGCAGCAGAAGTGGCAGGGCTCCTGCCCACCTCATGCCCCCAACCGCAGGTGCAGCCAGCCGGGAAGGAAGTGAAGGCAGTGGGCCTGGGCCCCATCACCTTGGCACCCCTTCCCTGAGCAGGGCTGGGTGGCCCCGCAGGACTCTTCCTGCTGGAGCCCAGGATCCAAACCTACTCCACTCAGAGTCTGGCTACCAGCCACAGACCTGGGCCCATAGTCCCGTTTCTAGATCTCTGCCCTGCAGCTCTGAGGAAGCCTCATGCTGGAGGGTAAGGGCTGCTGAGAGCATCCCTGAGGGGCCACCTCTGAGGACCCTCGAGGGCAGTGGCGGAAGAGGTCCTGTGAGACGCCAGCCCACCTGACCCACCAGCATCCATGAGGTGCTTGTGCCTGTGAGGACAGTGCTGGCGGGCACAGAACCACAGGAGCCCCAGGCACTCTGGAAGGCCACCTTGCCAGCCTGGGGCCCTGGGAGTCTGGGGGCGGGTGACGTGCTGCTCAGGAAGCAGAAGCACAGGCAGGTAAACTGAGCCTGAACCAGCTCCTGGGTCTGCATCCCCACCCCGGCCCTCCCTGAAGCCCTGTGGGGACTCAGCTCAGACCGCCCCTGCCACCCCACGAAGGGCAGACCTGGGTGGGGAGGAGGGGGAGGAGCGTGCTGCTGGCCGGACCTAGGGTGGATGGGGTGACAGCTGGCAGAGGGAGAGTGGGCGTTCAATTCTGACCCAGAACACGGCCCGCGGAGAACCAGTTCAGGACCGCAGACAGGGGCGAGGATAATTCTGAGGCTATTTTCCTCGTCCTTCCTCCCTCCCTCTCTGGGGCACGGAGGCTGAAGCTTCCACCATTAAGCATGCCCCTGGAGCCCCTAAATCCTGCCTGCGTGTTCTCTGCCAGCTTCCACCGCCGGCTAATGTCACTGCAAAGGCATCTGGCTGGCCCCAGGGAGCACTCACCAATTGCACTCAAATGTTAAGTAAGCCCCAGGCCCGCCTCCTTCCAAATGTCACTTTCTGGAAAGATGCAATGAGCCTCGGGCCCCTCCCAGGACACAGGCAGTCAGACCTCCTGACTGCCCTTCCCAGACCCAAACCCCACCCACCATGCAGAGGCAAAGCAGGGCTCCAGGGCATGGGGATCCTCCCTGCACCTAAAGAAAACCACAGTGGTGGGCACTACGCGTTTATCAAGCACCAACAGATGCAGTGCCTCCACCAGGCTCCTTCACTGGCAATCACATTCGATTCTCACACGACCTCAACAGAAGACGATTTTCCCGATTGTACAGCTAAGGAAACAGGCTTCAAGAAGCAGAGTCATTTGCCACAGACACTGTGACCAGGAGAGTTGTACTCCCACACATTCTGTCTGCTCCTCCACTCTCCCAATGGGCTATGAGAACAGATACCATGTCCCTTCTAGGCCAAAGTCCAGAAGAGCCAGTGGCTGGCTGCAGTTTCCCCTCCCCTTCCTGCATTGCCCAGCAATATACCAAAGGTGGGTCTTTCATCACCCTGGAGCCCTGAGTGACTCTGTGGAGCAGACCCCCCAGCCTCACTCGGTCACCCCTGCCACCCTACAGAAGTCTGCATGAGCAAGAAACAGCCACTTCCACTGCCACATTGCCAAAGTTGGGAGGTGTTGGAGAAACTGAATGCATGTGGCCACATGCAGCGCTGCTCCTGCCTTAGTACCGATCATCCACCAAGCGCTCCCCAGGGCAGAGGGCCAATCCTCTGAAAACGCAGATAACCTGGAGCCCAGCTCTTGGCATGTGGACAAGTAATCCTAATATAGGTGGAGCATCCCAAATCCAAAAATCCCAAATTCAAAATGTTCCTAAGTCCAAAACTTTTTGAACACCAACGTGACATTCAAAGGAATGCTCAGTGGAGCATTTTGTACTTCAGATTTCCAGATTTGGGATGTTCAGCCAGTAAGTATAATACAAATATTTCAAAATCCAAAGAAATACAAGACACTTCTGGTCCCAAGAATTTCAGATCAGAGATGCTCAACCATGATACGAACGGCAGATGACAAAGTCGCATTGGCATAGCTTGTACGTCCAGGCAGTGTGGCAGGGATTTGTTGCATTTTGACCCATTCAATTCTGGTGACAATGCTGGCAGTGACCTTCTGCAAGGACCCAAGACCCTCAGCCTTAGGAACAGGCCACGAGTGTGGCCTAGGCAGTGGCCCTCAGCCAGGGACGGTCAGGAAGTGGTGACTGAAACATCCACGTCCCCACCCTTGGGGTAGCGCATATCTGAGCTGTGGGACCCACATCCCAGATCCCAGCCCAGCTGAGCTTCAGGTGCCACCATGGTAACTGCCTTGATAACAGACCCCTCCTCCCGAACAGCTGCTTCCTGAGACATCTCACACACCCCAAAATAAGCCACGCACACTAGATTCCTGGCTTCAGAATCTGCTTCTAAGGGAATCCAACCAAACAGAACAACCCTCTGAAGCCTCCATTTTACAGAAGGGGGAAACAAGTCATGGAGTGCAGAGTGACTAGGGCCCCACAGCCAGGGGATGGGGATGCCAGGTCCGAGCCACCACCGTTTGACCCTGGCTTCAGGCTCTGCACCTCCACAAGGCGCAAGGCCCAGCCAATGGTCAGTATGCTTACCCATCCTCTTTCCAACCTCATGAGGCCCCACGTCCTCTCTTTCCAAGCCATCCATTGAGCCCCTCAGCCGTTCATGCATCTGTGCATTTATTAGACACACACTAAGCACCACCCCATGGAGACCCTGGGCAGTCATGATGCCACCATTCACCCTCAGCAACCCTGTGCAAGGCCAGCGTGTCCTGAGGGGTGCCCTGCATCCTGGTTTCGTGGAGACTGCACAGGTGTTTAGGGAGAGAGGGATGTGGGGTCCAAAACGTTTGTAAAAGTTTGGTATAGAAAATGTTGAACACATTTTCCACAGTGAGATACCATTTCACACCCACTAACATGGCTGGAACCAAAAAGATAGACAATGACTAAGTGTTGATGAGGAGCTGGAGAAATCGAACCCCTCCGACACTGCCAGCCGAAATGTGACATGGTGCCGTCACTTTGGAAGGCTGCTGGGTACATCCTCAAACAGTTAAGGATGGCACTGCCATGTGACCCAGCAATTCCACTCCCAGGCCTATCCCCAAGAGAAAGCAAAGCCTATGTCACACAAAACCTTGTACACAGATGTTCACAGCAGCTGTATTCCTAACAGCCAAAAAGTTCAAACAGCCCACATGCTCATCAACTGATGAAAAGACAAAATGCAGTCCATCCACACAACAGAACAATGTGCCGTGGTGAGGCGGAGCGCTGCACGGTCACAGACCACAGTGTGGGCGAGCCTTCAGAGCCCTAGGAAACGGAAAGGAACCAGACAAGAAAGCCACACATGGCCTGATTCCACTCATATGAAAATGCCCAGAACAGGCAAATC
This sequence comes from Homo sapiens, assembly GCF_000001405.40. Classification (NCBI taxonomy): domain Eukaryota; kingdom Metazoa; phylum Chordata; class Mammalia; order Primates; family Hominidae; genus Homo; species Homo sapiens. The sequence continues at coordinate 141,545,758 of NC_000008.11, read as the reverse complement.
CAAGGACAGAAAGTAAAACAGGGGTCGCCAGGGGCTGCCAGGGGGTATGGAAGGGGCAGGGGCTAAGAACACAGCGTTTCTCTTTGAAAGTACGAGAATGTGCCAAAATGGACTGTGGTGCTGGTGGCACGGCCCTGCGAATATGCTGCCAACCCATCGGTTGTACACTTTAAAGCTGTGAATTGTGTGGTATGTGAACTGTATCTCAATAAAACTGGTTGTTAGAAATGTTAAAGCCTTTTTCTTCAAAGTGCCCCGGTTTTCCTCTTGGTAGGCTTTCTGGGAGCCTTTCCTGGGTGGACTCTGGGGTCTGCAGATGTCCCTGGGCCCCGCTCATGATTTCACCTTGACAATTTTCTCAAGCGGTTTTCTACAAAACTGCTTCCGGAAGCTCTCAAACTGGCCTGGCTTGGAGCAGGACAGGTGACTGAGCTTCAACACCGACAACCCCTGGCTTGGAGCCGTTGTGTCTCCACAAATGGAAAGAGAGCAGCAGCCTGGCTGTGGGAGGCAGGGGACACAGCGGGCGCTTGTCACTGTATAAACAGGAAGCACAGCACTGATGCTGGCAGCCCTTATGTGGAAGGCAAAGGACCAGAGGGAAGAGGCCACACCACGGGTGATAGCCGTCTCTGCTCTGCGCGGTGCCACGTGGGGAATTTCCACCTGCATTTCCTTTGCTGGCGAGTATCAGCTCATCTTTCCCCACTGGACAGGTAAAATGAGCATGATTTCAAAAAGGGGAAAGAAAAAGAATGAGCTGGCTCCAACACGTTCAGGTTTCTTTTCCACAGCTTTGTGAAGCCAGGGCACCGCTGTTTCCACTTGGCCCTGGAAGCAGCGGGAGCCACCAGTGAGTGGGGCTGGGAATGCCGAGAGCTCTTGGGGTTGGGGGAGCCTGCTGGGTCGGGAGTGGGGGTCTAGCCCCCCGGAGCAAGGCCTGCTCCTGGGAAGGACCGCATCCCTCAGGGCCTGGGTAGGGAGGCAGGCGGACGAGCAGGTGGAAGAAGGGCCGAGTCAGGGAGGGGGCATTTCCTGGCTGATCCTCTTCATTTCTCTCCCTTTCATGACTGATTTCCGCCTCAATTGGGAGTAATTACTCTCTACTCAGCGTCATTTCTTTCCTCCATTCAAGGAGAGGAAGAAACACACCAGCATCTCTTTAGAGGGGAGGAAATTCTTTCAGACCCTACACAGCTGCTCTCTGCAGGGCGGGGAAGAAGACTTCTTCAAAGTGTCACTGTCTTTTGTCCCCTGAAAGAAGCCCCATCCTTTCTTGAGGGAGTGTGGAGGTTGGTGATCTTTACATTCCTGGGAGTCTTCAAAACCGCAGGCCTCTCTGATCTCCAAGTGGCATTTGATCTAAGACCCCCAGACTGGCAGATTGGGGAGCCGACAGCCAGCTTCTCCCCCTGTAGGAGATGAAGAGATGAGGGCAGAGATGGGCCACACTGAGCCCCTCCCACCTGACCACCTTGTCCCACCCTGAGGCCCCAGGTCAGAGGGCACAGCCTGCATCTCACAGGTGTGGAGACGGAGGCGGAGAGTTGTGCTCGGGGCTGGCAGTGCCACACTGGGGCTCTAGGGTGCCCTCTGATCCTGCAATCACAGAAAGGGGTCCCACTCCTTGGAGTCTGTCCAACAGTTCCCAGAAGCTTAAGTGTGCCGTGCACAGGGACGGACTGGGGACCATGGGTGGAATGAAATGCCCAAGGAGCTTCCAGCCCCAGAGGGAGGAAAGCAGAAATCACAGCCACACAGCTGGGCATAAGAGAGCAGCGTGCGGGAGACAGAGGGAGAGGCCTCTCTCAGGTCCCAGCCTCGGGAAGCTTCCTGGGGGTGGTGCCAGGAGGTGGGCTAGGGTCTCAAAGTGGGGACAGAGTGGAAGGACCCTGCAGCGGAAGGAATGGCAAAGGCCCAGGCATGGCAGGGGAAGGTTCAGAATGGGATGGGGGAAGAGGCTGATGGAAGCGGACACACAAGGTGGAACCAGGATCAGTGGCAGCCTGCGCCGGGGCTCAGCCCCATCTCTCCCCTCTTCCAGGAAGCCCTCCGTGAGTTTGGGGCTGAGCCTGGTGCCCTGCGCCCACCCACCCAGGGCATCCTGAGCTTTGTGTCTGCAGGGATTGAGGTTCTGTCTTCCCCGCTGGACAGAGGCCCCAGGGGGCAGTGAATTGGCCTCCCAGGCTGTCGTAGCAAATTCCCATGCACTGCGCAGCTTGAAACAATCAGAGGTTGTTTCGCTCCCTGTTGTGGAGGCCTGAAGTCCAAGATCAAAGTGTTGGCAGGGCTGGCACCTTCTGGAGGCTGTGAAGGGGGAGCTGCGCCAGGCCTCCCTCTCAGCTTTGGGGGTGGTCAGTTCCAGGCCTCCCCCCCAGCTTTTGGGATGGCCAGTGCCTGGTGTTCCTTGGCTGGGGGACGCATCGCTCTGACCTCTGCCCCCGTCATCATGCCGCCTTCTCCTGGTGCCTCCGTGTCACTGTCTTCAGGCGGCATCCTCCCCTCTCTCTGTGTCTAAATTCCCCTCTTCTCATAAGGACACCAGTCACGTTGGATTCGGACCCACCCTACTCCAGTATGGCCTCATCTGAACTTGATGACATCTGCAAAGACCGTCTTTCCAGATAAGTTCACATTCACAGGTACTGGGGTTAGGACTTCAACACGTATTTTGGGGAGGCCACAATTCAACCCGAAATAGAGAGCTTGTCTACATCGCTCGGGGGCAAGCACAAGACAGCCACATGGGGGGACCCCCACAGTACGTCTGCTGATTGAATAATGGCCCCACTCCACCACTCCCTCCTCAGGAGCATAGCTCTCAGCACCTTGGGCCAGCGTCACCCAGGCACCCAGCAGCCAACTTGAACGTCTGAGTTTTCATTTCATGGGAGCAGACAGAGAGTCAGGCTGACTGGGTCCCCACCCACAGCCTGAAGGAAAGAGACCTCCAGCAAGGGGCCAGGGCCTCCAGCCTCCACTTGTCTCGGGGGCTCCTCCCCTTGGAGGACGGGAAGGTGTGGACCCTCCAGGGAAGTGGCAGAAGCGTCCCCATTCTCAAACCTCCCTGAAAGACCTGCAGAACACAGAGCAGTTAGTGTGATTTATTAATCTGCCAGGAACTTTTCAAGATCTTAATTTGAAATTTAAAATCTGCTTAGCTGGGTAACAAAAACATCCGATGCCAGGAACGGTAAATAATTTCCCCACCCATTGGGCCTTCCATGTGCCAGCGACTGCTCTTCCTTTCTCTGAGCCGCTTGTGGCAATTTTCAACTTTTTCTCTCTGCGTTTGGAACAAGTGCCCAGTTCATCAAAGAAAGCACCAATGGTGGATTTTAGGGAAAGCCAAAGAGGGACTCCTGCCAGTGTGTGATTAGAATACAAGACGAAGGATCAAGGTAATTAATTTTTTTAACTGAATTTTTTTTTTTTTTACTTTCTCCATCAGCTCCTGCAAAGCTGTGTGAATTCTATCTGCTTATGTAAATAAAGCTTCCGGGTGATAACATTAATTAGCAGCATAAAACTTTTGCTCATCCAGCTGGAGATAGCAGGTAGTTGGGAGAGAGGATTAATTTCTATTTTAATTAGAAATTTACATTTTCGGCAGCTTGGCCTCCAGCAGTGAACAATGTCAGTGCCCAGTGACAGATTCCAGTTCCTCCCAAATGTGCTGGCTTCTGAAAGGGCACCGCAGACTTCTGCCCCCAGAGGGGCATCCCAGCCAGCATGGGGCTGGTTGATTAAAAATGAAGTGGTGGGATGAGAAGCGTCCTTCATGCAGTCGGCTGGTCCTGTGTGGGGCTGGTTCCTCCTGGGGCTGCCTGCCCACCTCCAGCCTCCAGCAGGTGGGAGTCCTCCTGGGTCCAGGCTGTCCTGGTGGGACAGGAGGGCAGAGGGGAAGCCCGGGAGGAAGAGGCTGCAGGAGTGGGGTCCCTGATACTGCCCCATCGCCAGGAAGGCCTTTGTCTTTCATGAGCTCCATGCAGGAAGAAGGCATGCAGCTGAGAGGCCAGGCCTGGCGTGTCCTCAGGGACTTTGTGTGGCAGCCACGGGTGCCTGCTCACGGACGCACCTGGCTGGCCCCACCCAGGCATAGTGAATCAGACCCCAGGCAATCCCAGTGACCTCTGGAGCCTGAGAGCCCTGGTGTAGAGAATGCAGGACCTGGCCTTGCTCCGCCTGCACACATGTGTGCTGTGCACATGTGAAGGAGAGCCACGGCTTCTGTACAATGTATGTGTCTGTGTAACACGTGTGCCCAGCATGTGAAAGGTCTGCGTGCTTCCTGGGCTGTGCATGTGGAGCACTGGCTATGACAGGAACACACAACGGACATGGAGTTTGCAAGTGTGTGTGTGTGCTGTGTGTGCATGTGGTGTGTGTGTGTGCATGTGGTGTGTGTGTGGTGTGAGTGTGGTGTGTGTGTGGTGTGAGTGTGGTGTGTGTGTGGTGTGAGTGTGGGGTGTGTGTGATGTGTGTAGGTTATGTCTGATTTATGTCCACGTGGTTTGTGTCTGTGTGGTGTGTGTGTCTGTGTGGTGTGTGTGTGTCTGTGTGGTGTGTGTGTGTCTGTGTGGTGTGTGTGTGGTGTGTGTGCATGTGTGGTGTGTGTGTAGTGTGTGTCTGTGTGGTGTGTGGTGTGTGTGTGTCTGTGTGGTGTGTGGTGTGTCTGTGTGGTGTGTGGTGTGTGTGTGTGTGTCTGTGTGGTGTGTGTGGTGTGTGTCTGTGTGGTGTGTGGTGTGTGTGTCTGTGTGATGTGTGGTGTGTGTGTCTATGTGGTGTGTGTGTCTGTGGTGTGTGTGTGGTGTGTGTGTGGTGTGTGTGTGGTGTGTGTGTCTGTGTGGTGTGGTGTGTGTGTGAAGCATGTGCGTGTGGACAGGGTTGTGTAGATTGGATCCTGCGGCAATGGAGAGAACTAAAGGAAATGACACTAAACCACAAGAGTCTCTGCCCGGCTGCTGGGAAGTGGAGCAGGCAGTTCCGCAAACCTGGAGGAGGAGGGGTTTATGAACTCAATCAAGTGCCCCAGAAATTTCTCTGTGCAAGTCCTGCCCCCCAGGACCTCAGAATGGGACCATATTGGGAGATAGGGTCTTTAAATAGGCAGTGAAGGTAAGCTGAAGTCACTGGGGTGGACCCTGATCCAGGATGTCTGGTGTCCTTATAAGAAGAGGCGATGGGGACACAGGCACACTCAGAAGGACGACCACATGAGGAAGCAGGGAGAAGGTGGCATCTGCAGGTCCCCCCAGGAGGGACACCTTGATCTGGGGTCCCACCTCCAGGACTGTGGGGACCCATCTGTGTTGTCTCGGCCACCCAGCCTGTGGTGCTTTGTACCACAGCCCCGGGAACTAACTCAGGTGCTCTCCCCAGCTTGCAAAGAAAAAGGAGACCCGGAGGAGACTCAGGGGCTGGGAGTGGAGGCCCCAGCCTCGTTCTCAGCCGACAAGGACCTGGGCGTCTCTGCTCCAGGCCACAGGGTGTTAGTGGGTAATGAGGCAGGGCCTGCTGGCCCAGATGAGGGCTGAGACTGGCAGGAAGCAGGGCCAGTCCCCGGGCAGGACTGGACACGGAGACACAGGGACAAACCAGGGTGCTTCCTGCTCCATCCTGACCTGGAGGGGCCTGTCCATGCTCCCTGTGGACACCAACAAAGACCCAGCTACCCTGTGAGCCAGGGCCACGGAGACAGTGAGAAGGTCCCCCAGGGAGCTCCTGACCCAGATGTCACCCTCAGTGAGACCAGTGAGCGAGAGAGCATGCCGGGGACGGGTCCTGGGGGCACCATGGATCTCGTGTGTGTGTGTGGAAGTGTGCACATGGACACATTTGTGTGTGCTGCCTGTGTGTGCATGTGTCTGAGTGGGTGTGGCTATGTGCGGACACGTGCCTGTGTGTGTGTGTGCATGTATTGCACTGTGTGTGCACATGTGTCTGAGAGTGTGTGTGTGTCTTCGCATTTGCATGTGCAAGAGTCCGTGTGTGCTGGTGTGCATAGTGTGCATGTGGGTGAGGGGGAACCAGGGTTCACAGCCCTCTCTGCACTTCACCGCAAGCTGGGTGACCTCAGGCAGTCATCACAGCCCTGACCCTCTCTCTCCTCATCCAAAGCAGGGGGTGGAGGCTGCCTGCCTAGAAAGGCTATCAGTGACCAAGATGATGAGTGGGGACCCCTTTTCTGTGCCTGGATCATGGGAGGAGGCCAGCGCATGTGAGGCTCCCCAGCTTCCCCGCTCAGGGCTCTCACACACAGTTTTCTCAGACACAGGAGGGTCCTGACCTCTTCTGCTGGGCACAGCCCGAGCCCAGCCTCCTCAGGGAAGCTGTCCCAACCCCCAACCATGCCAGCTCTCCCTGCTGACCCACACCTCCCCACCGCCGAGGCCCTTGCACAGGAAGCCCTCAATCCAGCCAAGATCAGTCATTCCTACAGCTCCCACACAACCATGTCTCTCCCTGTCCCGCCACCTTCAGCTCCCGCTGCCCCAGCCAAGGACTGTGTGAGGAAGCTTCTGGGGGAGAGGCCCCCTGGAGCACCACGTGGAGGGTGACTGAGAAGCTCCCTGCACCTGGGCCGGAGAAGCGGTGCTGTGGTTGATGAGCAATGCTTGCAGGGGCCTTGGGGTAGGGCACGGTGTACACACCAACCTGCAGCTCCCAAGTCCTCAGCTGGCCCTGCGCCCTTCATGACATAGCCGCACCAGCGGCCATTCAGTCACTGTTTGACTATCACCTGCTCTGCGCCAGGGGCCTTGGACGGGGGCATGGTTTGAAAACATCACACAGAACCCTTTCCTGGGAAACCGAGTCAGCGGGGAGACAGCCCAGGAACTGTCCCAGTGGGTAGCTAATCGGGTAGGGCAGGGCAGGAGAGGGACCCCACACACAGAAGTGTCAGCCAACCCTCGGCTGATGGTCAGGCGGTCGTTAATTGTCTCTCTAAAGTAATAATTGGCCACAGCCGGCGCCAGGGAAAGGCCATCTCCCAACAGATAGGAAACACCTGAAACGTGATCCGCTGCTTCCGGATAAGATCTCAGGAGCTGGGTCAAATGGTATTTCTAGTTCTAGATCCCTGAGGAATCGCCACACTGACTTCCACAATGTTTGAACTAGTTTACGGTCCCACCAACAGTGTAAAACTTAAAGTATAAAAAAAAAAAAAAAACTCAGGAGCTGGGCGACTGGGTTCAAGCATGCGCGTGCGGACAGCACATCCCAAGGGAAGCATCAGGGCAGAAGGGCTGCAAGACACTGGAAGTGTGAGGCTCTGCAGCCCCATTCAGATCCGCCACCCGTGACATACTCTGGTGCCATGTGACTCGGATTGCTGCCACTGCCACCAACAGAACCAGTGAGGGAAACACTCCCATGGGGGTGCGATGGAGGAGGCAGAGTGAGGGAAACCCTCCTGTGGGTTGCGATGGGGGAGGCAGAGAGTGAGGGAAACCCTCCTGTGGGGTGCGATGGGGGAGGCAGAGAGTGAGGGAAACGCCCCCATGGGGTGCGATGGAGGAGGCAGAGACTAAGGGAAACGCCCCCGTGGGGTGCGATGGAGGAGACAGAAGCAGTCAAGGAGCTCTGGGAAGTGCCCTGCTCCCTGGACTGGGGCTGAGATCCACCCAGCTCCTCCCTGCCACTCCCACACAGAGCCACCTGTACCTAAGCAGCAACTTTGGACATGACACCTCTCCCCGCCTGGCCTCAGTTTCCCCATCTGTGAGATGCCCCCGCCAGGCTCTGACCTGCTGGGCCTTCTTGGATCTGCCATGGTGAGGGCCGTGCTGGGCCCATCCACAACCCTACAATTGGGCAGCCTGCTGATCACAGTGTCTCCCACCCCATCCATCCGAGGACACTCTGAGCCTAAACTCAGTGACTCCTGTACCCCCTCTGCCTGACAGGCTTCCAAGACTTGACCTCCTATGTGGAAATCCTGTTTCCAAATGGCTTCTGGGGGCACCAAAAGCCAGGCTGGGAGATGCCCAGGAAGGGAGACAATCTGAAGCCACCTGAGCCCACAGGTCAGGACCATGACCCAGCCCAGGGGGAGGGCAGGGCTGATGGGGAGAGGACGCAGGAGGTTGGGTGGCCTTCGTCATGATGACAAAGACGGTGGAGGCCAGTTCCCTGTCTGCCCGACAGCCTCCTCTGCAGGGAAAAAGTGACCCTCTCATTCTCCCCTCAGCCCCACTCTGGATGAGGAGGCGGCAGAGCCGTGTCTCTCTATTGCCCAGAGAAGAGCCCCTTCTCCCACGGAAGCTGCTCTGCTCTCCACCCTGTACGCCAGCTCCCAACTGCTCTTCAACAGCCCAGGCGCGGGCACGAGGAGGACGCGTTTGACGGGAGCCCACATGTCACCCTCCCTCCCAGCCGGGCGATGCCTCTCCTACAGCTTCCCTCCAACTGACTGTCCTAATCAGGCTCCAGAGGGGAGGCTGATTGGAGCTGCGGTGGGTGGAAGCCGGGATAGACTGGAAGAAGGACTTCCCAGACTCCCAGGGAGACCCAGGAAGCAGGGGAGGGTGTGGGACCCACTACAGCACCCCCACCAACCCAGGAAGGTCTCCAGCCCTGCTCAGACCATCACAGATTCTCACCACTGAACACCCCAGCCCTGCACACCCCAGCCCTGCACCGCCCAGGCCAGCCCAGGTGGAGGCTGGATCCCGGCCCATGGTGCTCACAGGCCCCCGCCCCGGGTAGCTGGGAAGGGCGTGCGGGCTGCGTGGCCTCCCCTCCAAGCTGCCCAGGGACAGGGACGGCCAGAGGAGAGCAGCCCAGGGCCAGGATCCCGCCCAGGCGGGAGGCAGGTGGCTGCGCAGGACACCCCCATGGAGCTGTCCACCTCACCTGCCCTGTGGCTGGTCACACTGCACGGCCAATGTCCCTTCACTTGTCGGGCCCCCAGCTGGACCTGAGATCCTGGGGACAAAGCCTGACAAAGGTAACTCAACTCTGAGTCTCTGGACCCCAGAACTGGGCCCAGCCCTGAGTGGGTGCCCCGGAGCTGATGGATCCTGACAGTCATAACAGCCCACCTGTTCTCAGGCTCCAGATCCATGGCCCAGTTGGATTATCCCAACTACTCACTAAGGTGGGGTGACTACTCCTCCATCTCACAGCTGAGGACATGGACGGCACACAGAGAGATCCATTACAGGGGCCAGAAGCAGACCCAGCAGCCCGGCTCCGAGTCCATGCCACCATGCCAGTGAGGCAGAACGGGGGGTGGAGGGGGAGAGGCCTCGCCGGCCCCTCTCCAGGCAGCCTGCAGGAATGGGGGACTAGGCTAAGGGTGCCATTCCTGTGCGGCCAGCAGGGCTCGTGGCGAGGCGTCCACTCTCCGCTTGAGGATGCAGAGCTCCACAGGGCCCAGGTAAGACACCAGGGGTCCGCAGTGAGGGAAGTGAGATGAGAATTCACACCCAGCACAGTAACTGATGAATGAGCGAATGCATGAGGGGGTGAATCTGTCCCACCTGTGCCAAAGGCAGGGCCCCTCCCTTGGTGCCAGGCAGGCCAGCCCTGGCTCTACCCCTCCTCTGTGTGACCGGGCAGTCCTGAGGCCTCTCTCCCTGGGCGTCCTTATCTGGGGAGGGACAAGAGCACCTGCCTGGCAGGTCCTTTCAGAGCGACCCTGAGGACAGACAGGCAGCACCTGGCACCCAGGAGAGCCTCGGGCAGCAGCTTGGCCTGGCCCTCTCCACCCAGAGCCAACGACAGGGACCCCAGCGCACCCATGCCTCCAGCAGAGAGGCCCCCGCCCCTCCCCGCCCCTCCCCACCGCCCGCCGCCCCCACCCGAGGCAGCATATGTTCCCGGCAGGCGGATCCGTCACCAGGCTGCTATTTTTGTGCAGCATGTTCTGCTTCTGAGAGCAAATGTTTCTGCAGCTCCAGTATCCAGGGACCAGCCAGCCCTGTCCCATCCCAGCAGGGGAAGAGAGGCACTGGCCCCGAAGCTAGATTTCAGGCCCAAACACAGCCCGAAAGCCCAGGAGATGGAGGCCATGCTGAGACAGCAGCGAAGCTCCAAGGTCACTCTCCGAGTCAAGGGACGGGCTGGGCCGGGAACCCTGGACCCACACAGGCTGCCTTGGGCCCGTGTCCTGGGCTGGCTGGCCTCCACTCCACAGCCTCACAGACCCCCCCAAGTGTCCAGGCCTGAGTCGGGGAGCGGGAGGAGGAGGAGCCCCATCCCCCAGGAGTGTGGGGTCAGGCCAGCCACGGGGCTATGGAGAGCAGCCCCAGACTCCCCAGTTTGGCCAAAGTTGCAGGGAGTCCGGGGTCCATGGAGTTCTCCAGGCACAGGCTTGGGGGCAGTCACTGTCAAGCCCCTCACTCAGGAAAAGAGGGAGCGTTTCCCACCTACAGGCCGCCATGCGGCCTGCCTCAAGCCCTGACTGCCCCCTCCTCCCCAGTCCCTCTGGTCACCCACTCCTGCCTGGCACCCTGAAGAGACTCACTCCGAGTGCCCACTGCATGCCCATTGATGGGACAGAGATGACCTTCCCCCTCCCCCTCGTGCTGCCTATCCAGGCCCACCCAGAAGCTGTCTCCCCTCCTGGCTCTTCCTTCCTGCCCACCCAGCTCCGGTCCTCCCTCCATCCGTCCCATCCATCCCATCCGTCCAACTCAGTTTCCCCGGTCAGCAGCATTTGGCAACAAGGAAGCAGTTCCCATGACAACGGCCAGGAAGCCAGCTCCAGATAGGGGGTTGCCCTGAGAAACTGGCTCTGCCAAGGCCTGAGCTGCAGGCCAGGGTGGGGGTATAGCCACCTGGGTGGGAGGACCCTGTGGTGGGGTCTGAGGAGGACCAGTGGGAGGAGGGGTGCCAGGCAGCCCTAGAGGGTAAAACAGCCCAGCTGGAATCCTTCCTTGCTAGGTAACCCTGGACAGATCAGTTCCCCCAAACCTCAGTTTCCCCCTCTCAAAAACAGACACATTGGGACATATTTCATTAGGTTTGCAGGAAAATGATCATTCCCAGCAATAACTGGTGCCAGGTTTAGAACCTCTACAAATGCCAGGCACTTTACAAACACTCTTCGGTCTTCAGAGGACACCTGTGAAGAAGTTACAACCATCCCATGTTCCAGAGGAGAAGACAGCGTCCCAGGGAGAAGAATGCATTTCACTCTGTTGCCCATGCTGGAGTGCAGTAGCGTGATCTCAACTCACCACAACCTCTGCCTCCTGGGTTGAAGTGATTCTCATGCCTCAGTCTCCTGAGTAGCTGGGACTACAGGCGCCCAACCATACCCGGCTAATTTTTGGATGGATTTTTAGCACAGATGGGGTTTCACCACGTTGGCCAAGCTGGTCTCAAACTCCTGGCCTCAAGTGATCCTCCCGCCTTGGCCTCCCAAAGTGCTGGGATTACAGGCGTGAGCCACCACGCCCAGCCTCAAGGTCATGATTTAATAAAAAGTATTTTCTGTGCTTCATCAAAGACAGTCCTAGGTGAAACTGACTGTTTTGGGGCTTGGGAGTTTTGCAAGCGTGTGGCACGGCAGAACCCACGCCCGCCTTCAAGCAGCATTGGGACCACTGCGGAGATCGGTGCTTGCAGATCCGCAGCAATACTGGTCATTGCTTTTGCACCATCGGGGAAAACAGCAAGAGACACCAACATCTGAGTATTCTTGCTGAAACAATTTTGAACTTGCAGATGCCCTGAAAGTATCTTGGGAGCCCAAGCTCAGGTGCTTTGCTGGGCCCAGCCCACCCCAATCCAGCCCATCCCAATCCAGCCCACCCCATCCAGCCCACCCCAATCCAGTCCATCCAGCTGACAGCACGTCCTAATTTCTTGGCCATGTCAGGCACGTCAAAAACATTTCAACCCTGGCATGGTGGTGGGGTCTTTCCATGTCCTGCCCAGGGACCACCTCCATTGGCTGGCTCCTGGCTCCCTGCACAGCTCCATCCCAAGGCTGACTTGCCCAGTCTCCTGCGGAGCCACTCCTCTTGGGGTCCCCCTCTTGAAAAGACCCCTGCCCAAAGCTCCAGCCCTGGGATGCTGATAGCAGCCGTGCTGAGATTGAGGCTGGGGTAGAGGGGCCATCTAGAGCAGTCGCTCCCACTACCTGGCAACTTTTGCAAGTTTCTCGTGCCTTTGTCCATTCCTTCACTGAAAATTATGCAGTCTGAGGTCACCAAATGGTGGCCCTCAGTAGAAAGGAGGAGCTCCAAAACCCATACAGAGCGCCAGGCATGTGGCTAGCTGCCTTGGGGAGCTGACAATGGTGGTGTCGGTGCTACTATTCCTGTGGATACTGAGCAGAAGGAGAGGCAGCTGTCCCAGGGCACACACCGCCTGGCAGGAGACAGACACCAGCAGTCAGAGAGAAGCACGCAAGTGCTACGTCAGGGAGTCCCCTCAGGGTCCCGCGGGACACAGAGCCTACCCAGCCACTGGCCAGAGACACCATGGCCCCCAATGGTATCCAAGCTGGGACTTGAGAATCAGTAGGAATTCTCAAAGAAGAGAAAGAAGGCTGTTCCTGGTGGAGAAAACAGCAAGGGTGAATGCCTGGAGGAAGGAGGGGGCAGGGTACAGCAGGGTGCATTCCAACAACCCAAACCCATTCCAGGGGACAGTGGGAGCGGCAAGTAAGGGTCATAGATGGTGGTGCGGGGCGTCTCCATCAATGTGACCCCCACGCATCTTAGGATCTTCAGATTTCAGAATCTATTTGGTTGGGTTTGTTTTTGTTTTGTGCTCTTAGTTTTACAGATGGAGCCTTGCTCTGTTACCCATGCTAGAGTGCAGTGGCACAATCACAGCTCACTGCAGCCTTGAACTCCTGGGCTCAAGCCATGCTCCCACCTCAGCCTCCCAAGTAGCTGAGACCACAGGTGCACGCCACCACACCAAGATAATGTTTTAATTCTTTGTGAGACAAAGTCTAGGTATGTTCCCCAGGCTGGTCTTGAACTCCTGGCCTCAAGCCATCCTCCTGCCTTGGCCTCCCAAAGCTCTGGGATTACAGGCATGAGCCACTGCAGCCAGCACATCAGGGAATCTAACAGCCAACGTGCTAGGCAAATAGCTATGCAGGACACTCATTCACTCACACTCTCATTTCACAAACATGCATTCATCAACAGATGTCAACCACTCCAGTTGGAAGAAAAGATTCCCTGGAGGAAGAAGAGACCCATGAACATTCTGGGGGCGAAGGAAGGACCTAGTTCCAGGGGCCGAGTTTAGCAACACTAGCTTCTTCCTCTGAGCTTTGGGAGCTACTGAAGGTTCTTGGGCAAAGAAGGGTCCGGCGCGTCCTCTGTTCCTCAGTCAGGGTTCTCTAGAGGGACAGAACCAATAGGATAGATGTATATATAAAGGGGGGTTTAATAAGGAGAGTCAACTCACACAATCATAAGGTGAGGTCCCACAAGAGGCCGTCTGCAAGCTGAGGAGCAAGGAAGCCAGTCCAAGTTTCAAAGTCTCAGAAGTAGGGAAGCGAACAGTCCAGCCTTCAGTCTGTGGCTGAAGGTCCAAGAGTCCCAAGGCTGAAGAGCCTGGAGTGCGATGCTCGAGGGCAGGAAGCATCCAGCACGGGAGAAAGATGAAGGCCGGGAGACAGCAAGTCAGGTCCTTCCATGTTCTTCTGCCTGCCTTATTCTAGCCATGCTGGCAGCTGATTAGATGGTGCCCACGCTGAGGGTGGGTCTGCCTCTCCCAGTCCACTGGCTCAAATGTTAACCTCCTTTGGCGACACCCTCACAGACACACCCAGGAACAATACTTTGCATCCTTCGATCCAATCAAGTTGATACTCAGCATTAACCATCACGTGCAGGCTGGCATCTCTGGGATGTGACAGGCCAGTGCTTGTGAGGGTGGACAGGCACGGGACAGGCAGCCTGGGACTCAGGGGACCTGCCTTCCTGCCCCTGCTCTGAGGGGCTGTGCTGCCTCAGCAGGTCCCCGGCCTCCTCTGGCCCCCACCTCCTTTCTGGGAAGCAGCAGGTTTCACATGCGGATCGTGAGGTTCCCTCGCAGCTCTGACGCACTCTGACGCAGTAAGGGGGGAAGCGCAGGGACGTGACAGGGCTCCAGGCTCTCTGCAGTCCCCAGTCGAAAATCAGCATCACTTTTTGAAAAATGTAAGTAGAAGACTTCATAAGGAGTTAATCGCATTTATTGCTGCAGCTTATCTCCGGGCAAAAACTCACAAATATGACATTAAAATCTATAAGCAGCATGATGGTTTTATTAATTTAATATTTTCATGATTGCCACAAAATCAAAGTGGCACTGTACAACCATAAAGACGGCCAAGCCGGCCGGGCGCAGTGGCTGACGCCTGTAATCCCAGCACTCTGGGAGGCCGTGGCGGGCCGATCCCGAGGTTAGGAGACCGAGACCATCCTGGCCAACATGATGAAACCCCGTCTCTACTAAAAATGCAAAAATTAGCCGGGCGTGGTGGCGGTACCTGTAGTCCCAGCTCCTCTGGAGGCTGAGGCAGGAGAATCGTTTGAACCAGGGAGTCGGAGGTTGCAGTGAGCCGAGATCGCGCCACAGCACTCCAGCGTGGGCGACAGAGCGAGATTCTGTCTCAAAAAAAAAAAAAAAAAAAAAAAAGGCCACCCTGAGTGCCCCCAGCACTGCGCTGTCCCTGGCCAGCGGTGCTCCCTGTGAAGGGAGCGCGTGGCAGTCGCATGCCCCTCCCCCAGGCTCCCTGTGCCCCTCCCAGGCAGTTGGCCTGCTGGGGCGGGGCAGCCCCCAACCACGAGGCTCCGTGGAGCTGCCAATCACAGCAGCCTTTTGGCCCAACAGCAGCTGATTGGTCCAGGGTGTGAGCGCATGACCCAGTGTGGACCAAGCAGGGACCTTCCCTGGGAGTCTTTTGAACTGGATCTGAGAAGACGTTTCATCTTTTCCCAGTGGAGGGGCCCAGCTAAAGGAAATAGAATGAAGACAGTGTGCACAAGTGGGCAGAGGGGCTGAGGGGAAGAGTGAGCTGTCTGGGCCTGCGTCTTGGCTCTGTCCCTGGGCGCAGCTTTCACCCTCTCCCTGGAATGAGGGTGATGGGGCTGGAGCCTGGGCTGGGCTAGAGCGAAGGCAGGACGCATCCCCACCATCACCGTCTCTGTGAATGCAGCCACCTGTCCTCAAGGGGGGTGGGGTCACTCTCCGTGGGGCTTCCCCAGCACTCCCACATCCACTGGCCCTAAGGACCTGGGGCCCCTTCTGTTTGTCTGTTGCAGGCTTTCGAAGCCAATGACTCTGCAGGGCACCAGCCGTGGGACCCTGGGCAAGTCACTTCACCTCCCACAGCCCCCACTTTATCACTGTGAAAGGAAGAGACGGGTGGAGGGATCTGGTAGGAGGAGCTCCCAGCAGACACAGGACCATAGCACAAGCCCTCTCTCTCATTTCTGCAATGAGACCACAAGGTCCTCACTGGGAAAGAGGCAGGGAAGCTGTGGACAGAATGTGGAAAGGGGCATCTCCATGTCACACCTGGTGACTGGGAAGCCAAGGATCATGTCTCCGCCATCAGCAAAGGAGCCTAGCGCCGCGCCTCTGTCCCTGAGGTCCACACCATTAGTCCGGGCACACAAGGCCTTTCCTGCATGCTCAGACCCACCACATCTGCCTCCCCTTGGGGCCACCGGTGAAGGGAGCTGAGGTCTTCCGTACATGTCTAAGGGCTTAGTCTCTGAACATGATCAAGACTCAGTTCATGGCTGGGATCAGGGCTCAGATTATGACCAGGAAATGGGCTGGGTTTGCAACCAGTGTCAAGACTCAGTTAGTGCCCAGAATCAGGGTTCAGCCTATGCCTGAAGTCATGACTCAGTCTACGACCAGGGTCAGTGTTTAGTATGTGAATGAGATCAGGGCTCGGTGTGTGGCCAGGGTCAGGGCTCAAAGCTCCAAGTATGACCGGGGATAGGAGCTCAGTACATGACCAGGATTAGGCTCAATGTTCAACCAGGGTCAGGGCTCAGGCTGGGAGTGCAAAATAAGGGTTAGCAAGGTAGGAGCCATCCTGTACCCCCGCCAAGCTCCAGTACTGCGTGTGCCATCAGAGCAATGTCTGCAGAGGACAGATCCGGAGAAACTGCCTGTCGTTTCTGACAGCAAGACACACTTGTTTTGCCTGATTTTTTTCCCCTCCCCTACCCTCAGCCCAGCCAGGCAGCAGGGGAAGGTGTAATTAAAAATCAGGTTTGTTAACACGAACACGACGTACATAATATTTAAAACATCCAAGCGCCTTTAACTCAATACCAACGTGCATTTGCTCATTAAGCAGGAATTTTTTTTTATGGCAGCAACACTGCAAATAGCTCTTATTGAAATGCTCAAAACACCATCTGGTCCTTAGCTGAGCCTCCGAAGCATCGCGAAGGTGGCCTAACACGCCTGGAGACCTGGAGATTCCCAGCAGGACGGCAAGACTGACTTTCCCACCAGCTCCCCAAGCACCCTGGGGTCCCAGGTACACCTCAACTCAGCTCGCCTCACCTCAGTTCATGGCACCTCCATTTTGCAGATGAGGGTATGGAGGCTTGGAGGGAAGGAGCCACCTGCCTGGAATCACACGGCTAATAAGAGAAGAAGCCTGGGTGTGAACCTGAGTTTTTCTGACTCTGGGCCCAGGCTGTCTCCAGGGAGTGCCTAGAGGCAGGGAGGAGGACGCAGCAGGGCAGCCTCAGCATTTGGTGGACGGGAGCCAGGGTCAGGAAGGCGGTCATTGTCTTGCTGCAGGGTGTTCACCAAGAGACACCATCCCCAGGGCTAGGTGGGGTGGGGCAAGAGCCCACCCTTCAGGAGGCTTACAAGAGAGACAGGGAAAATGTTTTCAAACTGTTCCAGGAACACTTCAACAGTTCACCTGGGGCGCTCCAGCTGAGGCTGGGGAGGGGTCCTGAGTCCCCCCGGGCTGGGCGGGTGGCCTGCTGGGGTTCGGGGGCTTTTTGCCAAACCTGCTGGTTCTTGGGCTCCAGGCCTGCCAGGGCAGGGCCCTGCTGCCAGCTGAGCTGAGGGAGTTCCCACGCCCATGCAGCTCTGAGCCAGAGGAGAGGCAGAGTCAGCCCCACACAGGCCCGGGTTGGAAGCTTCCCTCAGTCTCCTCACCTTCCATGCCTCTTCCTCTGTGTTTCTCCCTGCTCTCCCCTGCTCCCTCCTCCCTCCTCTGCCCACTCCACACCATGGCAGACATCACCAATCCATCAGAGTGCATGCCTGACTGAGCCAAGAACTCACTTCAGGGTCTTTCTCAACACATCACCGGAGGAGGCCCACACCCAAGAACCAGCAGCAGCACACAGCATGAAACCTGCCTGTCATCCCCCAGTGACATGGGGCTGGAGAGGTCAGGATCCAGTTCATCCTGAGTTCTAGTTGACATCTCATGTCACCTTGGTGACCACAGAGCATTCTGCGTCTGGCCCTGTGCATCCAGGCCCATGAGACTCAACCCTGCTGGGAATAGATGAACAGAGTGGCAGTCACACAGAGTGATGGCAGGTGCTGAGACGAGCCCGGGGGATCCCCAGCCTGGAGTGTGGGGAGGATCTGGGGAGGCTTCCAGGAGGAGGTGTGCCAGCGTGAGGATGTGTGGTCAGGGACCATCTGAGCCACAGAGAGGGAGAGAGAAGGAAGAGTGGGGAGGTAAGCAGGCTCCTGGCGGGGGTGGGTAGGGGTGGGAGAACCGGAAGACTCCCCACTGTCTGGCTGCACAGATGGCAGGGCCATCTTGGGAGAGGCCCAGCGGGGGAAGCCAGTTCAGGGAGGATTGCAAGTCTCATTTTGCCTTTGGGCCATTTGTGGAGCTCAGAGGTGCATGGCCAGGAAACCACTGAAGTAGGAGCCAGAGGCTCTTGAAGGGGAGAAGGACCACAGCATTGGTCGTGAAGGGTGTGGTAGGAGTGGGCACTGGAAGCAGGGCTGGTGAGAATCGCAGTGAGACCAACCAGGAAGCAAGGCAACAAAGACAGGAGGGGCCTCAGAACACGGTGTCCTGCCTGCTGCTCCAATCCACCACGCAGCCACCGCTGTCCTTCCCAGGGGGTCCTTATGGACATAGATGAGACTTACAGTCAGAAACCCAAGCCATGTCCGAGCCGGCAGGTCCTCTGAACCCTCTCAGCCTCAGTTTCCCCCTCAGTAGAATATGCATAAAATGACAGAGCTCAAAGAGTTCCTGACACAGAGAGGGGGCAAGGCAGGCATGGGGCTTCCAGAATTACAAGAGCTTTCTATTACCCATGTACAGAAACCACAGCGAGCGCAGGCACCCAGAGACACACACACACGAGGCACTCACACACAGGTGTGCATGTGTACTGCCATCGACACATCTACACACACTAGCAAACGATGTGCACACCTGCATGCATGCACAGGTGCACACATCTACACATGTGCGAAGCATGCATGCACGTGCACCGGATACCAGCAAACATGTGCACAAGCACAGAGGGCCCAGAGCTCCGCACAGCCATTGTTCCCATGCCTCGTGTGTGGCCGCAGTCAGTATCAACAGACACAGACAGACGTGGTGTTTGATTATAAGAAAATAACAACCAGATATTCCAGGTAATAAACTGATTTATGACCTATTGCAATAAAAATGAAAATATAGAAGCAGTGTTAAACATGAACAACATGCAGAAACTCCTCTCTACCTTCCCCTCAATCTGTCCTTGGGTCCTGTGAGGGGAGCCCGGCCCAGAGCCCAAGGGATAATGTCCGTGGATAATGCCCACAGATAAAGCCTGTGGATAAAACTCAACCCCGTACCTCCTCCTACCCAGACTGCTCTCCCCACTGACCTCCTGAAAACCCTGGAGGCCGCCCACCCTGGAGATGCTGAGGACGGACAGGATCTGGCATGTGAGCTCAGCTCTGGGCCTGGGGACTTGGCACACATGGGGTGTCTTTCCCTCAGCCCCTTCCGGGCGGTAAGTGGCAGTTTTTAGAAAGTGTCAACTTATTCCCAGCTGTTGTTGCCAAAAAAAGGAAAAAAGAAAAAAACCCTCATGGTTTCAAGGAAACTCACAACAACTTCAGAGAAGCGCGTGAACATGACGGATGGACTCATCTCACAGAATACGCAGCAAAGGCCGGGGCCTCAAGTTTGTCACATGCATTTTGGAGCTGCTGGAAGTGGGCCGGGGCCGGCCAGGGACCTCTTCCGGGTCTGGCATTGTTCCTCCCCAGGCGACGCCGGGCTTCCAAAAAGGATCTGTCTTTTATGTCTCTTTATTCCCAGGAATAATGGCTCTTGACATAAACGACTCCCGCTAGCAATTATCTGTGATTAATGTTGAAGCTGGCTGCAGAAGTGGAGGAAGTTCTGTGGAGGGGGGTGGGCAACAATTGCATATTCATGGATTTGGAACCAACATGTTGAATGAGGGAGTGGGGAGCTCCCTGGGATGTTTTCCAAAGCCCTTGGCCTGGGACTGGGCACAGGGCATGAGGTAGCCAATGATCAAGGGCAGGGCTGGGTTCAGAGTGCTGAGGCCCACCCCAGGGTGGCCCCACAGTCATGGACACAGGCACCTTGGGCATCAGACCCAAGCCCTGATGACGGGGGGAGACCCGGTCAGCCCTGTGGTCTAAGCTGGGCTGGGCACACACACAGTACGCGTCTTCTTCCGTAATCCCCAGTGATCTTCTGACAGTGGTGCCCATCACCCCACTCCACAGATGAGACCAGAGCTCAGAGAAGTTGGGGGATCCAGCCAGGCCACAGGGCAGTCATTAGCAGCATGGACATTGGGACTAGAAACCTGCAGTGTCACTCTCCGCCTGCCATTGCTGTGTGCCTCAGTTTCCCCAACTGCGAAATGGGGGGATGACGGGATCCACCAGGTCTGGGGCTGGGGTGTTCTCATGCCTGCCCCTGACCTGCCATCACTCTGGAGCCAGCTGATCCACCCACCTCTCATGGGGCCCACATGAGGCCCAGAGGGTGCCTGAATGTCAGAATAGCCTGTAAGCCTCCATATGCCACATTCTCGGTGGCACAGGGCAGGGCCTGCTGGAAGCCTCCCCGCCCGGGCCTCCATCTGTCCCTGACATCCCTCCTGGGCTCAGAGAGAAGACAGGGTACCCCCGCTTCTGGATTGCATTTCAGGGCTAGGTAGCGTCCAGTAATGAAAGGGCTAGAGGGCACTCATCACTTCCCAGGAACAGCCCAGCCTTCGGGCCTGAAATGGGCCTCAGCAACTCCAGCCCCACCCCAGGGATGGGAACCCACCCAGGACCAAGAGTCAGCTGCCCCATTTTGCAAATGAGAAGCCTGAGGGCCTGCCATGATCAGGGGCTCCAAGCGCACCTCTCCAGGGGCGCTTCAAGTGCCATCAGCAGGCAGGTCCTCGCTCCTCCCCCGGCCTGTTTGCCCGCAGCGTTCGTGTACTGAGCCCACCGCCTGCCCCTGGGCACCTCGGACTCCCCAGACAGCCCCAGCAGCCCCATCTCAGTGCACAGAAACCTCACCCTTCCCGCCGCCCCGGCCCCAGCCTTGCCGTCCTGACCCTCTCTCTCTCCGAGTTTGTGTCTACCCTTCAGGAATCCCTACTGGCTCCCCCTTCCAGAGGACCCCCGAATCCACCCACTTCTCTACCGCCGCTGACACCGCCAGACCCACCCAGCAAGTGAGCTGGCAGGGCTCCTCACGACAGCCCTGAACGCCTCCTGCCTCTGCCCCCAAACCTATTTCCAGCCCATGGCGGTGAAACGATCCTTCCAGATCAGCATCTCAAACTTGCTTTCTTTATCACTGCCCCCTAACCTAAGGAACGTTTATAGGCTGTTTTTTTTTTTAATTTGCCCGCCCACCATGGAATTTTAGAACCACAGACAAATATGCGTCTGTTTATGTGCCGTGTAAGTATCTGGGCTTTCTACATAAACAGTGAGATTTCTTCATGCCCCAAGAACCAAACACTTCCCTTGGGGCTGAGACCACCCCCTTGGGAATGCTTGTTCTAATGCATGAATGAGATCATGGCATTTCTTGGCTCCAGACCCACCCAGAGGACAAGTCCGAGTTCCTTCCGTCAGGCCTGGGTCCCGGGAGCCGCCGCATCCTCCTATTCTGCCCTCGTGGGCTGGAGGCTCGGGCCTCCCTCTGGCCTCCAGATTCCTGCGCTGGTGTTCCCTCTGCCCGGGCTCCCCACCCGCAACTGTCTACCTCCACAGAGCCCTCCTTTCCCTGGGGCCTCTGCTCAGTGTGCCTTCTCAGGGAGGCCTCCCTGCCATCCAGCGGGAAAGGATGCCCCTCTCCTCCGCCCTCAGGCTTGCTTGATGCCCTCGAAGGCACTTTTCTCACTGAGATGGCACACACTCCCCCATACCCTGTGCTCCATCTTCGTTCGGGAAGGCAGGGGCTCCCACTGGGTCCCAGGCCAGAGACCCGTGTCTGAAATGCAATAGGTGACCACCTGCTGAGGGAGGAAGCTTCCTCCTGCAGGCAGAAGGACAGGAGGAAAGTGAGTCACCTTGACTCATCCTCCCTGCGCCCCCTGAAGCACGGTCACACCCCTGCCCCATCCCATTCGGGCCCCACAGCCTCCCATTTCACAGATGAGGAAACTGAGGCACAGAGGAAGAAAGCCACTCAGCCGAAGCCACACATCCACACCTGCAGACCCCAAAGGACACCTGGGCCTGCAACAGAGCTGATGACGGCACAGGAGGCAACCTGAGTGGTCACAGACGGCCCGTGCTCAGAAGGCCCCAGCTGGCTCTAGCGTGCTGCCCCTGCTGTGCCAAATCTTACTAATTTTCCCACGGTGGGCTTGCATTTCACTTCACACTGGGCCTGCACATTACACAGCCGGGCCTGCCTGCTGGATCCTGTGCTGGTCAGGAGAGGCTAGATGACACTGTAAGAAAGCCTTCCCAAACTCTCAGGGGCTGGCATCACGACGGCTCGCCTCTCACTCACACCGCAGGTCCCCCGCCTTGGGCCAGCCCAGGACTCGGGTGGTGAAGGAGCCACTGTCTTGAGCACACCCTGTGGTGGCAGACAGAAAGAGAGCTCAGAGGCTCTCACACTGGCCATAAATGCTTTGACCCAGAAGTGACAGACGTCATTGTGCCCACAACTCGTCGGCCAGCACTGGTCACCTGCTGACCTCACCCACTGCAGGAGCCAGGAGGAGCAGCGCCCCCTGCGAAGTGCCAGAGGCCAGCAGAGAAAGCGCATGATGGACTCCACGGGCCATCACACCGAGCCCGCGGCCCCGACCTTGGCGACGAGGTCTTCATCTAGGCAGCTGCCGCCCGGGTCCCAGCCCTCGTTGTCATTCCAGCCCCACACGCCTTTGCCTAGGCCAAACATCTAAAGGGGAGGGACATAGAGTAGGTCCTCACAGCAACTCAATCAATTCTCCATCGGAAATTCTCACACAATCAATTTAAGTAGCTGGTCGACATCATAACACAGTAATTAGGAACAACTTTCAACTCTGGGCTTCCTTTGAAGATAGTAATTGCAATTAATTAAACATCCTCGCTGCTCCTCAGAGTCCGTTCCCAGGAAACTGGAGCAGGGGCAAGGAGAGGGGCGTACCTGACCCCATCCCCAGCGGCCCCAGAATCAAAGGAGGAACCCGTCTCCTTTGAATATCGAAGGGTATGAAGTCTCCGGGGACAGCTGGGGAGGTGGAAAGAACCTGGCCTCCCGATTCCAGCCAACACCCCGGATTCCTGCCCTCCCTCTGGGGCTCCGCCTGCACCCAGAATGAGCAGGGCCCCAGGAGGCCCCAGCCCCTCTGCTCAGCAAGCTTATCTCCCAGATCACATTGGCCTATTCAGAAAATACTGAGCACCTCCTGCGTGCCTATCCTGGTTCTCGGAGCAGCGCCTTACGGGGAATGGAACAGGTCAAACAGCATGCCCTTGCTGTGCCCTTGGCAACTCCAGCTCCCTATCGAGGCTGGTGTGTTCTGGGCTGAGCCGAAGAGATGGCTCCAGGGAGGATAAGAGGCACCCTGCAAGGCAACTGTGTTCTCTGGACAGAGGAGGGGTGGCCAGACAAGGGAACAAGTAATAGCCACATTTACAGAACACTGCATGGGCAGGTCCCCGGCTGGTTGCACCAGCTCATCGAGGCTGTACACCAGACATGCTTCTGACTCCCGTTTTACAGGTGAGGACATGGTACCCTAGAGAGGTCAAGAGGCTTGTCCAAGGCCACACAGCTGCAAAGAGGGGGAACATGTCTGCTTCTGATTCCAGAACCCTCTGAGCACAAGGGCCAGCTGGTGCTGGGGAAAAGCTGATGGCCCCCCTTAGCCCTGGGGAAGGTGTCTGTGCCAGCCTGCATATAGGGCAGGGAGTGCGGCCCATCATGGAGAAACAGCTGCCCTCTCTCTGTTGGGCTCTCACCGTGCCAGGCTGGGATCGGGGGCATGACCAACAGTCTCTCTCATGATCCCCTCAGCAGCTCCCCAGAGGTCCTGTTGCTGTGTTCCCCCTCACAGCTGAGGACTAAGGCACGAAAATCAGCAGTGGCGGCTGAGGGCTGCCCGGTCAGTGGGTGGAGGACCCAGCACGCAAGCCAAGTTCTGTCACCTCCCAGAGCCCGTGCTGTAGCCCCTGCCCACCCCAGTGGCACCAGGGCCCAACGACACAGTGGCTGGCTCCCAAGGAAATAGCCACGGTATTTCCACATAGGCCACCGGGTTTTGTTCAGAAAAGATGGCAGAGTCTCCTGGCAGGTCAGTGGGAAGAAGCTCGGGGGTGAATTGCTGCCAACCAGAGCTGGAATCCGTGACTTTACAAAAAAGGTATTTCCCCCCACTTTCCAAAAATAATTGAAGCATCATTCTTACAATTATAATCCAGGCATTGTAAAAAAAAAAAAAAAAAAAAAAAAAAAAAAAAAAGCCAGGCAGCTGGAGGGGACCACAAATCCAGAGCAGACGGGCAAGCTGCCCCAAAATGGCAAGCCTGGGAAGGTCAGAACAATGGGGCACAAATGTGCTTTGAGCATCCCAGCAGCCATAGCAAAAAGGGCAATATGAGGGCTACCTGGCTCTCTCTGTGTGATGGAGGGAAGCAGGGAAACTGAGTCCTAGGAGGAATTGCCCAGGCTGTTGT
This sequence comes from Homo sapiens, assembly GCF_000001405.40. Taxonomy (NCBI): domain Eukaryota; kingdom Metazoa; phylum Chordata; class Mammalia; order Primates; family Hominidae; genus Homo; species Homo sapiens. The sequence continues at coordinate 141,521,662 of NC_000008.11, read as the reverse complement.
TCAAGGGGCAATGCGGGCAGTCTGTTGTCTTGACACCCTCCCAGCCCTCCATCTGCCAGCTCCTGGAGGCAGGAAGCATCTTCCCTCCGTGAATGCCCAGCCTCAGCATCAGGCACAGCACAGAACAGATGCTGAGAAAACAGATTATCGACTCTGCTTTACACAAAAGACAGAGACTCCAGCCTGGGGTCGTTTCTGACCATGCTTTTCTGTGGGAGCAGCCGGTCTAACTGGAAGGAAGTCATGAGATTTAGCAGAAGTCAGCCCTGGAGCAAATCCCAGGGTTCATACCACTTGGCGGTGCTGGACATGGAGGTCAGCTCCCCCACTGTGGGCCACACAGTGTTCTGGACCTTATTGTCACAATCCAGCCAATGTCACCCTACCCCCTTGCCACAGATTCAGGCAATACAGGCCTAAGCCAATCAATGCATGCTACTCCCTCGGCCGCAGGGATAGTTCAGGATTGGGCACATGACCCAACCAGACCCATGGGTCATGTGAGGAGACTCCCAGGGCTTTGCAGGACATACAGCTGCTCATCTGAGACAGCTCATGGAAGCCAGTGGCCTCTGGCCTTCTCAGTGGCCAGGCAGACTGTGTAGTCAGGAGCTGCATCTACCATGTTACCACTACTGAGGAAACTAGTCTGAGGGTAGAACTGGCATCACAGAAGATTGGGCCTCCATAACAACACTGAGCCCCTGGATCAAACCTTCCCTGAAGCTCATCTTATTTCTGAATGTTCCAATTACATGAACCATTTAGTCCCTTTTGTGGTTTAAGCCAGTCAGAGCTTCAAATAACATACTGCTCCATTTGCTCCAGCTTGAAAGAGCCCTGGTTCCCATTCTTTGACCCTTGAAGCTCTGTTTCATTCCCCAGCCTTTGCCCACACGGCCCCCTTGGCCTGAAGTGTCCTCCCCAATGTCCATATAACTGGCTGCTCCTCATCCTTCCATCCTCAGCTTCAACGCCGCCTTCTCCAGGGTGACTCGCCTCTCTGACCACCCTATTTGAAGTACAGTCAGTCTCTTCATGTCCTTCACAGTACTCACTGCATTTCTTCACCGTGTTTGTTTCCTATTTGATTACTTGCCTTGGGTCTGGGTTCCCTAGACCAAGCTTCCCATGCTAGCAGTGGTGAAGGACCAAGGTTTTTGTTTCCAATCTGACACAGCCCCACACTGCTGTAAACTACTTTAAAAATAAATTTCTAGAAAAATGTAGTTTTAAAAAGCACAAAGTATAAACCCCACATTTATCTTGTTACACTCTCCAGTCATAAAATTACTCATCGAATTGTTATAAACATTTCTCAGTGGTCACTGTTAGTTGCTGTTTTCAGGGGAGCTGGATGCATACCCCACAGGTAAGCCAAACTGCCAGTGATGACAAGGAGGTAGTAGTGCTTGGTGCCACTCTCCCTGGGTGGGACAGCTCCGGGGCACGCACCACACTGTCTCCCAGGGGTCCCCCATAGGACTGACCTCCAGTGCCCACAGGGGTAACTTGCTCCCATTGCACCCTTCCTGGCTTCTTTCCCTGCCTGTCCTGCGTCCTCACTCCCTGCCTGTGTTTCCAAGGACCACGTCTCAAACAAACCACTCGCACCAAAATCCATGTTCAGGGACTGCTTCTGGGGACCCCAATTCATACGCAATATAGGATATATAGTACCTAATGTCATTACTGCTGCTGCCCCGTCAGGATTCAAACGCATGGTTATTATTGCAATGTAACTGTGCATCTGTAGAACTGAAGAAACAAGGCCCCAGGTGGGAGAAGCCTGGAGCAGGGGCTGGCGTCTCAGCTGGGGCCGGTGGCAGCAGAGGAGGGGGAGGCTGGAGATGCCTCTTCCCAGCCCAGGGTTTCCTCCTTCTCCAGAGATGACTGTTCCCATCCACAACTGCTTCTTCAGCAAAACCAGGGCTTGGAAAAACCTTTTCTCCCCATGACTGGCATGTGATAAATAACTCCTGGATTCGGGAAAAAAAGAAAAGAAAAAAAAAAAAACACCCGGATTCCACCTGCACTTGATGTGGTCTCCCCTGCACGCCTGGGTTGCAAGCTCCCAGCGTGAGACCATGGCACCTCTCCTGAAGGCCACTTGGCCTCCCTGCTTGGTGTTCTGTGGGGAGGAGGAGGAGGAGATATCGGGGTCATGCCGTCGTCCCGCCCTGCCACCAGCGGGCCCACAGCAGAGCCAGGCCTCTGGCAGGGGTTTGTCACCTGCAGAGGGAGGTGGTCCAGGGCAGAGGCCAGGTCATTGCTGGCCATGCTGGGCTCAACAGACTCTCTCAGCCCCACACGGGGGAAGCAGGAGGCAGCCCCTCCCCAAGGACCAGGAAGGGGGAGGCAGCAAGTGAGGGGCAGGTGCCTTGTGGTGCCCCCTCCTTCGCGTCTCTCTGCCCCACGCATGCTCTCCACTCCTTTCCTTTCTCTTCCTCTGTTCTGCTGCGTCGCCCCTTCTCCCGGCCCCCTCCCCATCCTGCTGCCCCCTCTATCATGGGAAACGGGAAAGCTGCCAGACTTGGTGTCTGCATGTGGCAAACTAAATCCCAGCTGTTCCCTGGAGGCATGGGGCCTTGGTATGCTGGTCTGTGGGATGGGGACGCTAGTCCCCACCGCAGAGCTGTGGGGAGGGTCCCAGGGCGTGGGCACTGAGGGTGGAGGCCCGGCCCCCCCACCCACCGTACCCGGGTCCTCCTCCCTCTGAAGAGGGCCTGCCTCCGTCACCGTTTCTACTGCGAATATGTTCACTGCACCTTCGGACCCATGCGGCTTCCCAGGCCCACCGCTGCCCGGCCTGGCCCGGTGTCCCAGTTGGGTTCCTGGTCCACCGTCCCACCGTCCCACCGCCCCCCTTCCCCGCCGGGCCCAGCCGCCCAGGCCTGTCGGAGTGTGTGCAGAAAAGCGCCGGGCGCGGGAGAGCTGGGGAAACTCTTTATTTATTCTGTTCGCTCTCGGGGCAGCGGCGGGGCCTGGGCCAGCCTGGGGGTGCCGTCGCTGGAAGCGCTGGCCTCGGGCTCCGGGAAGGCGGCGGCGGGGCCGGGCAGCAGCAGGACGAGGCCGGGCCCGGGCCCCGCGCGCGGGCGCAGCTCAGGGCCAGCCGCTCCAGGCGCCGCTTGCGCATCGCTGCCTGGGCCGTGGCGTGCAGGGGCCGCAGCAGCGCTGGGGGCGAAGCTCCGGGGCCGCGCAGCAGGAAGTCGAAGTCTGCGCGGTCGCGGGGGTCGTAGAAGAGCGGCCCGCAGGCGGGGTCGGACCCCGGCGGCCAGGCGAACGGGAAGGGCAGCGTGAAGTTCTCGGTGAGCACGCGGATGGCGAAGTCGTCCTGCTTGCCCAGCGCGCGGTAGGCGCGCCCGATGCCGCGGAAATGCGCCTCCCAGAGCTGCGCGTCCCCGCCGTAGATGTCCGGGAAGGCGGGCTCCGGGGGCGCCGCGGGACCTGCGGGCGGAGGGGACAGTGAACGCCCGGCAGGGCGGGGAGGGCCGGGAGCGGCCCGCGCAGGCGGGAGACCAGGAGGCCGGGCGCGAAGAGAGGTGGCCAGTCTGGAAGGAGCCGCCGAATGAGCTCGAAAGGCAGAGCTGGGGATGGCCAGGGCCACCTGGTGATGAGGCGAGGCCGGGCCCTGCATTTCTGAGGGAACAGCAACAGCAAACCAGGAAGAGAGGGAGGTCCTGGGTGTACGGAAGGGGATGCTCACTAAGTACTCTTTGGGCAGAGCCTTCCCGATGGCGAGGAGGCTGCAGACTTTGGCCAGCGTGACCACGTGGGGACTGAGCGAGCTTAGGATGTTGAGGTTCTCCCTGAAGACAGTGGCCAGCTTGGGGCAGGAGGTGAAGCAGTCACTCTCAGTTGAAAGTTGATCCGGCCGCTGTGCAGAGAATGGACTTTGGGGGCCCAGCTTCAAGGTCAGATCCAGGGGAGGACAAGATGAACATGAGGATGGGAAAACGCCACCTGGGGAGAGGCTGCAGGGCCAGATCGCCAGGCCTTGTAGACAGAGACAGGGAGGAGCCTGTGGGAACAGCCTGGCTCGCAGCCTGGACACAGCTGACCCTGGAATCCAGAGGGAGGTGCGGCCCCAGGAGGGAGCGGAGGTGGAAGAGGAGTTTGGTTTTGGTTCAGTCATGCCACCCTTCAGCCTATCCGTGGTCCCCAGAAGGCACCCACGTTGCTGGCCCATGGTCCACACCCTGCCCAAATCTAGGTCCTCCATTCAGGAGAGACCCCTACATTCCTTCTTTCTTTCTTTCATTCAGCAAATGTGCTTAGCTGTAGGGATACTGAAGTGAGCAAAGCAGCCATGGGACCTCACTTGGGCACACAGTCCAGGAAAGAATGTAGTCAGGTGGACACAGGAGCCAGACCAGGCAGCTGTCTGGGGATGGCCACACTGGGAGGCTAGGAAGTGGGAATGGATGAATATGACCATGAATTGTCAGATCCTTCTCCCAACACCCTTGGGAGGGGTAACAATATTCAGTCTGTTTTACTGGTGAGGATACAGACCCAGAGAAGTCATACACAGATGCCAAGCTGAAGCCCTGGGCTGGGCAATCACTTTCCACTATGCCACGCCCCCGGCTCAAGGGCCTTTTGATTAACAGTCTCTTCCCTCTGCACAAATATTCACTGAGCACCTACTGTGTGGCAGGCAGGCTCTGTTTGAGCCATTGACTACAGCCATGAGGAGCACAGACGTGGGGGTCCTTCCACCTGTCAGGGCCTGGGCTAGTCTTTCACCTTCCATGAGCCTCTGAAAATGGAGCCAACCAACCCTGTTCTGCTGCAGTTGCAGATGAGATGACATTGACCAGCCTGTTTGATCAATGGGAAGTACTTTCCTAAATCAGCACCGTGGACAGCGCCATGCTGGGGATAAGAGTGGAGCCCAGAGGCTGGAGAAGATCCGCTCACACAAGAGCCTGGACTGCTCTGCTTGTAGAGGGGTCGAGGCTGGAGATAGACACTGGGGAGATGATGTTTAAGCCACAAAACTAGATGAATCACTGAGGGAGTTGGGTTAGAAAGGGCAGAAGCGCAAGCAGAGAGCTTCGGGTCCTCCCTCCTGACCAGGTCAAGGAGATGAGGAGCCAGTGAGGGCACCAAGAGGGAGCGGGCAGTGATGGGAGCGTGGGAAGTGTGGCAGCAGGGACCTGAGCCGTGTGCTGCCGGCGCATCACATCAAATGAGTCCAAGTGACCTCGGACTTACCAGCGCAGAGGTCATTGATGACTTTTGCTAGAGCTGCTTTAGTGAAGCACTGGAAATTAAAACCCGGTGAGAGTGGGTTCAAGAGCAAAGGAGAGGGGAGAACGTGGAGGCAGCAAAGACAAATGACCTTCCTGAGGTTCGGCTCTGAATGTGGAGCAGAGAAGTAGGGCAGGAGACGGAAGGGAAGTGGGGTCAAGAGACAGGATAAATCGCAGCATGCTTTCATGCCAGTGGGAACGACCTGGGAAAGAGCGGTATCATGATGCAGGAGAAAGAGGGTGAAGAGTTGCTGGAGTGACAGCGTGAGTTGGGGGATGGAATGGGAGAAGCTGAATGCTGCCTTTGGCTGGGAGGAGGGATGGGGCATTCACAGGAGCAGGCCGGGGTGGACAGCGCCCAATGCCACAAGTACAGTGGGTGGGCACCAGCAAAGTCCTCTTCCAATGCCTTCAGCTTCTCAGGGAAGGAGGGTGCAAGGCCAGCAGCACAGTGTGAGGAGAGAGACGATGGGGGCTTAGAGGGAGAGAAGGTGCGAGGTGGTTGCTAGGTGAGGAGAGGCTGGGCAGACCAGGGAGGGCAGCGGAGCCGGCCTCCTTGCTGCTGAAGCCAAGTGCAGGCATTAGCAAGGTGGAGTTCACTCAGCTGCAGCCCACTGCAAGGGCACAGGCAAGGGTAGCAGGGAGTTGGAGCTGCCAGACTAGTACAAGAAAACAGGAGAGGGGCCAGCGAGGGGGCAGAGGCCATGGCAAAGATGTGAGGAGGGGTGGAGGAGGCCAGACAGGTGGAAGACACTGTGGGCTTCCACCTCACTAAAGGAGTGCTGGGGCTGGCCCTCGAGGGCAGGAGCTGGGGCAAGAATCCCCAGAGTGCGGTGGGGACAAGGGGACTGCAGTTTGGGTACAGTTTGTCGGGTGGGTGGCTGGGTGAGAGGACAAAATCCTTACAGGAGTCCGAGGGGCTGAGAGAAATCACCAATAGGATGACAGGAGAGCTAGGGAGAGGGCAGGGCAGGGGCCAGGGTCTTTAGGAGTGAAGGCATTGACCATGAGCAGGGTGCACGGATGGGTGGGCAGATGAGTGGGTGGAGGAGTGGGTGGATGGGTGGATGGATGGATGGATGGATGGATGGATGGATGGATGGATGGATGGATGGATGGATGGATGGATGGATGGATGGATGGATGGATGGATGCATGGATGGTTGGGTGGATGGATGGATGGGTGGGTGGGTGAATGGGTGGGTGGATGGGTGGATAGATGGGTGAGTGAATGGATGGCTGGCTGCCCCTCCCACTGCCTCTGAGATCCAGAGCTGAGTTTTAGAAGAGGCAAGGGCAGGAGAATGATCCGGAAGGGGCCCTAAAGAGTGAGAAGGACCCTGCACACCTCCAGGTCCATAGATCCAAAGGCTTCAGGAAGAGAGCCAACCCCTTCCCTGGGGACTTCAGAGCATCAGAGCATTGGGGAGCGTAGGGAGGAGAAGGACCTTTACAGGGAGGCTTTGATGCCCGCATGCCCCCATCCTGGCCCAGCCCCACTGCCACTCTCCTTCATGACCTTGGCAGAGCATCTTCTTCTGGAAGATGGGTCAGAGGGCCGCTTCCTGCTCCCACATTCTCAGAGCCCCAGGTGCCCCGTCCCCCTTCCCGTCCATTCCCCTCCCTCACCAAGTGTCTCGCCTGGAGTGGCTACAGAAGGAGGGGGCAGACCTGCTGGGCTGGGGGTCCCAGGACAAGAGGAGGCCATGCCAGCAGCCCGGGAGACAGGCTTCTGTTTACTAGGCTGCCCAGGAGACGGGGAGGGGCCTCCCAGGGGAGGACAGAACCTTGCGTTTAAAGGGCCTCCACTCAGGAGTGGGCTGGGGCTGTGGGGGAGGCTGAGTGGGGACCTGTGGGCTCAGTGGCCTCTTGCGCACTAAACTCTCTGTGGGCATCACTGCAGCCCCTCACCCAGCACCCTGCCCCTCGCCTGGACCCTGCAGGGCCACCCTCTGGGCCAGCCTCCCATCCTTAACCCTTCCCATTGCACCCAGCAACCCTCCGAGATCAATCCCCAGTCACATCTGCTCACCTGCCCTGCTCAGAGACCATGAGAACCTGGCACCCAGAGACCGCCAGCCTGTCCCCACCAGCACTCTTCCTCCTGACTCACCTCGGGTCAGCCTGGTGTCCACAGCCGCAGCCTGTGAGTGCTCTCAGGGCAGCCGAGGCCTTGATCCAGCCTCAGCTGGCCTGTCCCTCCAGACCACGGGGCTCCCACAGGCATTCCCGAAGTCTTCAGAGCCCAGGTCAGCAGTCCCCATCTTCAGCAACTCCAGTAGTCCCTATGAAGCAGGTCAGACCTTGCCTCAGCCACAAAGAGCTCATGGGGATATCAGTTCCCCCAAAGTGGGATCAAGTGCTGGTAGGGGTGGGGACATGAGACAGAGAAGGGAACAAAGCCTGGGAAGACGCATCCCAGCACAGTTTTACCGGAGATGGCCTCAGAGCTACCCCGCCTGCCCAAACAGCCGTGGGCTGCTGTATCCCCAGCAGGTGTGGCTTGTAAGGAGCCTGGCAGCCAGAGATGGCCTCAGGGAAAGAAAGGTAAGTGCTCCCAGGGGCCTGAGCTGGGGCCTGGCTCTTCACAAGGAGAACCCCAGCCACAGACTGGGATGTGATTGAGCAGTCAATGCCCCTGGTGTTTGAGTGTCACTCATGCCAGGCTCTCTGTTACCACAGCCTCTAATACAGCAGGGCTGTGACGCAGGACAGGACGGGGCTTGACTGGGGAGCAGGGGCCCCTCCCCTCTCCTGGTCTCTGTATTTTTGCACCTCCACATCTCTGTGCAGTTGCCTTGAGAGGGTGCCCTTCCCACTCTCCTCTGCAATGCAAACTCATGCTCCCCCTTCAGGTTCTGGCTCATATCACCTCCTTCAGGAAGCCCACCTGGCCTGCTCTGTACCTGAGAGCCTCCCAGGCCTGGCTGGCACCCCATCAGAAGTCATCTGTTTGGATATGGTCCCTCCATTGCCTTCCATGGGCTCCCATGTGTCCTGGTGATGACCTCAGGCTGCACATGGTCCCATGTCCAGGGCCCTGCCCCTCGGGGCCACACCCTCTGAGCAGCCCAGGCTCCAGCTCCCTCCGCTGAGATTCCTAGGTCAGTGCCAGCCTCAGACTTAGGAAGGTGGGCATGCGGGAGGCAGGGAAGGCCAGGGTTGTCATGGCAAAACCCTGTACCCATTCTGTCTTCCCACCCCCCTGAGAACCCCTCAGGACAGGCCTGGGCCATATCCTCTGGGCCAGACTTAAAGAAAGGCCTGCTCAGCCCCAGCAGGTGAGCTGGAACCCTTCTCCCCAGACAAGCCACACTCCATGCCCTCCCCCACCTCCAGCAAGGCTGGGGTGCAGCCCAGGAGACCCAGCAGAGGCTGAAGCCCAGCCCTCCAGGCACCTGTAGGCAGGAGCACACCCAGCTCTCGGACCTCAGAATCAGCCGTGGTGAGTGTGGTCCTGTATTCACATGGCCAGCATGTGTTTTCCACCTTCCTGTGCTCCGGCCAGGTGGCCCCCCGACACCAATTCTCAAGGCAGGCGCAGGTCAACTTCAGCTCAGCCTGGTGGGCTCCGGCCGAATGATGGTCCTGAATGGCAGCTCAGCTATCAATATCATTGTGTGACTACAAGAGGAAGAAACAGTTCATCCTGACATGCTCATTCTGCAGACCGCCACTGAGCACCTCCTGGGGACCAAGCCTCAGCTGGCTAGTGGCCTCTAAACCAAGCTGTATCAGTCAGGGAGACATCTAAGCTGTTGCAACAAAGCACCCCCAAATACAGTGGCTAAAACAAGACAGAACATTTGTCTCCCTCCTGCAACAGTCCAGCCACTGCAGGCTTCGAGGGCAGCTCTGCTCCATGGGGATACTCAGGAGCCCAGGCTCTTTGGCCTGTGGCTCTGCCCTCACCCAGGGGTGGGTGTCCTCATCTGCGAGGCCGAGGTGCAGCGGCACGTACCACATCCCAGCCCGGGAGGGGCAAAGGCAGTCGTGGGCTGGCAGCTTCCTATGGAGAACACAAGGAGACACTGCCCACTCCACTTCTCAAATTCCAGGGCACTGCCCACTCTACTTCTCAAATTCCAGGGCACTGCCCACTCCACTTCTCAAATTCCAGGGCACTGCCCACTCCACTTCTCAAATTCCAGGGCACTGCCCACTCCACTTCTCAAATTCCAGGGCTGAGGATTTGGTCTTGTGGTCCCCCTTGGCTGCAAGAGAGGCTGGGACATGCCATCCACTCCTGGGTGGCCATGTGCCCAGCATCTGGAGGGACAACTTCATTTGGCAGCAAGAATGAAGCCCACCCAGTGCGTCTCAGTGTGGGCTCCCCTGCAGCTGAGAGTGCGCTTCCTGGAGCTGCTGTAACTAATTAACACCATCCTGGGTTAAAGTTGCATCCCTGGGCCAAAATCAAGCCAACAGGGCTACACTCGCCCCAGAGGTTCTGGCAGGAGCCTTCCTCACCTCTGCCAAAGCTGGTGGCCGCCTCCCTCCAACCTCTGCCTCCGGGGCCACACGGCCTCCTTTCTTTCTGTAGTCAAACCTGCCTCTGCCTCCCTCTTGTAAGGCCAGACATGATTGCACTGGGGGCCACCTGGATAATAATGTCCCTAAAGATTCTTAATTTCATCCAGCTACAAAGCCCTTTTTTGCCATAAAAACTAATAAGTCCAGGTGCCAGGCATGAGAGCATTGACATTTTTGGGGCATTTCTTCTGCCTACCACGCAGACCCCAAGGCAGCAACTCAGGGCAGGCATGTTCTTAGGATGTGATCCCAGGAAACACTGTGGGGTGGGGGAGGAAGAGAGACTCAGAAGGTGGGAAGCCGGATTGGCGTTGTCAAGCACTCAGCATCCTGGAAGCCACCGGGGCTTGATCCCACTGGGTCACCCCATCGGAGGGGTAGGGCTGAGCCGTCTGTCCCCGCCCCCAAATCACGGGTCAAGGGCTGCTCCCAGGAAAGCTGGATTCCCTGGTAGCTTCAGCAGTGGCCAGAGATCCCCCCAGAGAGAAACACAGGTGATGGCAGGTGAAGAATGGGAATGACGAGAGCCTAAGTGCGGGGTGAGGGAGCAAGAGCATCTGTGCCCAGCCCACCCTCCGGTGCCTCTCTACTGTAAGCGGGAGGGCAATAGAGAGAAACCCAGAAGGAAATGCCACTGTGAAAGGGAAATTTGCAGGGAGCTCTGACAATGTCGAGGTCGGGGGGACACTCTGTGTCCATTCTGTGATCTGAGATGGCCTTTCAGGGAATGATGCTGAAGCAGGGGGTAGGCGGGCCTTAGGAGCAGCGTGTGCAAAGGCCCTGTGGCAGGAAAAGCCCCAGCCCCTGAGGACCATGAAACATCAGCCCAGGAGGCCTGTGGCTGGTGAGCAGTGAGCCGAGAGGAGGCCGAGGGCACCGGCAAGACAGAGGAGACGCAGGGGACTTGTAGGAGCCAGCCCCCTTCTCCTGCCTGGGGCCACAGCCTGACATACATTCCTCCACCATCAGCATCACCCCCTCCCCCCAGCAGCCCCCCTGCTACACACTGGCCTTTGCTGCCTCCTCCAGCAGGTCAGGAAGGCCCCACCTTCCTGAGGGACAGAGAAGGGGGCCCGGCAGAAGAAGCCTCTAGGTGGAGGCATGCAGACCCAGGCCCCGGGGGGTGGCTGCCGACGGAGGAGGGAGAGCAGGCACAGAGGAGGGAGAGCAGGCTCGGCTGGCCTCCCCAGAAAGGCCCTGGGGGGTGGCTGCTGATGGAGGAGGGAGAGCAGGCTTGGCTGGCCTCCCCAGAAAGGCCCCTCCCAGCGCTCCCCCCGCCAGGAGTTATTTTTAAAATCTCATTTTCAGAAAGCGGAGGAGAAAACCTCTTTCTTTTGCCTTTTCTCCACTCTTTTTTCTGTGAAAGCGTAGGAGGGGGTGTGGAGGAGGAGGGGAGCCCTGGAAGGAGAGGAAGAACCCCTGGGCAGTGTCCCAGCTTGGGGACCCGGGCCTGGGGCTGACCGGGGCTGCCCCACCCTGTGGACCCCAGAGCCGCCAGTGGGACCCTCCCTAGGCAATCTTGGCATAGGAAATCAACCATCTGCAGGATGGGGACCACCCAGGGCCAGGAGGTGGGCACTCTCTCTGCCCCCCTGGAGGGGCCTCAGTCCATCCCTGCTGTGCATCTGAGGGCAGCGAGGCTCAGAGAGGACAGGGACTCCCTCAGCCGGGAGCACAGAGCCCCAGCAAGAGCCCAGAGCCCCGCCAGGCCGCAGCTGCTAGGGGAGGGCCAACCTGGAGGCCCTGCAGCCCCCCTTGGGGATCCCAGTGCTGCCACTAGAGGCTGGGTCGGGTGTGCTCAGTGGTGGTTGTTTGTGGTGGGTGTTTTTGTTTTTCTGTGATAAGAACACTTAACGTGAGATCTACGCACTTAACAAACATTTAAGTGTGCAGTGCAGTTCCGTTAACTATGGGCGCAATGTGGCACGGCGGACTCCTGCAACTCATCCTCACTGAAACTTCATCCCCATTCAGCAGCAATGCCTCCTTTCCCCTTTCCCCCGACCCGCCCTGGGAACCACTATTTTACTCTCTGCTTCTGACTTTGACTATTTTAGATTCCATGTAGAAGCAGAATCAAGCAGCATTGGCCTTTCTGGGTCTGGCTTTATTGCACTTGGCATAAAATCCTCCAGGTTTATTCACGTTGTCATATATGGCAGGTTTCCTTCTTTTTAAAGGTTAATATTCCATCATGTGTCTATACCACATTTTCTTTCTTCATTCATCTGACCACAGACACTTCGGGCGTTTCCGTATCTTGGCTATCCTCAACAAAGCCACAGCGATCATGGGAGTACAGCTCTATCTTCAAGATCCTGGTGCCATTTCCTTTGGCTGTAACCCAGTAGAGGGATTGCTGGATCAGATGGCAGATCTATCTTTAGTTTTCCGAGGAACCTCCATGCTGTTTCCTATACTGGTTGCACCATTTTACATTCCCACCAACAGGGTACAAGGGCTCCCTTTCTCCACACCCCGGCCAACACTTGCCATCTTGTCTTTTTGATGCCAGCCATCCTAACAGGTGCAAGTCGGTCTCACTGTGGCTTTGATTTGCATGTCCTGGTGATAAGTGATGTCGGGTGCCTTTTTATATACCGGCTGATTATTTGTCTTCTTTGGATAAATGTCGATTCAAATCCATTGCCCACTTTTTAATTGGCTGATTTGGTTTTCTGCTATTGAGTGACAGCAGTTCCTTATATATCTTGGATGTTAACCCCTTATCAGAGAGAGGGTTTGCAAATATTCCCTCCCATTCCGTAGGCTGCCTTTTCATTTTGTTGTTTCCTTTGCTGTGCAGAAGCTTTTGAGTTTGGTGTAGTCCCACTTGTCTATTTTTGCTTTTTCGCCTGTGCTTTTGGCTTCATATCCAAAAAATCATTGCCAAGACCCATGTCAAACAGCATTTCCCCTGTTTCCCTCTAGGAGTTTTACAGCTTCAGGTCTTATGTTTACGTCTTCTGTGGGGGTGTCCACTGGTCAAACAGGGCCACTGTCTCCTGGGAAGGGAAATTCACAGAGTCAGGCCTTGGGGCAGCAGCCAGGGGAGCTGGAGGTGGGACCCAGCTGGACAAGGGGCATGGGTGTCCACCTGGCCCCTCCTGTCACCTCCAGTCAAACCACAGCCCCCACCATCCCGCCGCCCAGTCAAGCCCAGCAAGGTTGAACAAACCGCCTCGAGAATAAATGCTATGGGAGCCCAAAGAAATCAGGGTGGCTTCCCCGAGGAGGTGGCCTGGGCGGGGGTCTCCAAGGACAAATAGGAAAGGGCAAAAATGAGTTTCTCTAGGAAAGTGGGGGGCAGGGCGCATTCCAGGAGGAAGGCACTGCACAAAGCCTCAAACCTGGCTGCAGCCTAGGAACCCCGGGGAGTTGGGCAGGGACACAGAGAAGGAGCCTGGGAGGCCAGGGGGCTGCCCGGCCCTTGAGTCTGGCCCCTTCCTCATTGCAGGCGAACAGCAGGAGGGGGAACGGCCTAGGCAAAGTCTAGGTGGTGGGACCCACGTGGCGCCCTCCGGCTTCACTGCCCCCAGTGGGTAGTGCCCGCAGCCCCAGGCCTAAGGCGGTGGGATGCCAGGCACCCCTACCCATGACGCCCTTTCTGCGGGTCCCTGGCTGGAGGGAGGGTGCGGCGGGGAGGGCGCGTGGGCTGGGTGGCACGTGCGCCTCTCACAGGCCCCCCGTCCAGGCCGCGGCCCTCCTGCCGCGCGAGTCCTGCCTGGGCCCGCAGCGCCATCTGCCGGCCGCGCGGGGGCCGGGTCGCGGAGCAGGCGGCGGGGAGGGAGGGGGTGCCACTGCTCCAGGGGCCTCGTCCTCACCCTAGACTCGGGTCTGGGGACCTGAGTTTGAGGCTCATCTCCACCACTGATTGCTGTGCGACCAGCCGCTGGCTCCTGGCCCTCTCTGAGCTCCACCCCAATCCCAGGGCGGTGAGCAGGGCCAGGCCCACAGCGGCCGCTCTGACCCTCGGTCCTGCTCCAGTCTTACAGACGGGGAGGAGTGCACAGCGAGGCACGGCGAGGTTCCCGGGCACGCGGTCAGCAGAGAGGGGGCTGGATTTGATTCGGGGCAGCCTGCCCAGCCCCACAGGCTGAGCTCCCAGGCTCTCCCCGCTCCTGGTTCCTTCGGCTGGAGAGGATCCCAGAAGCGGCAAGCACCCGCACCCAGAGGGGAGCCCACCACATGGCAGGTGCTCACTCTCACGCCCAGAGGGGAGCCCAGCACCTCGCAGGTGCTCACTCTCACGCCCAGAGGGGAGCCCAGCACATCGCAGGTGCTCACTCTCACGCCCAGAGGGGAGCCCAGCGCATCGCACGTGCTCACACTCAGACCCAGAGGGGAAGTCACAGCTCCAGCCCCGGGACCTGCCACCCACACAGGGACCTGGACTTAGCAAACAAATGGCCCAAGCCGGATCATCCACGGGTCTCCCAGGAGACAACTGAGGCCCAGAGAAGGAAGGGGCAGGCCCGGGACCCCTTGAGGACCCACGTCTGAGCACGCACCCACAAACACAGGCACACACGCACACCTGCTGTCCCCACAACACAGACAGACCCTAGAAAGGATGCTGTGGACACTGGAACCATTGTGACCTCAGGGGTGAGGTCAGGCCTGCCAGGGCGGGGGAGGGCCAGTGCCGTAGACAGGGCCGGCCCACAGGCGTGAGGCCAGAGTTAGTGGTGAGCTCCTGTGGGTCTGCACTGCACCCCAACCATGGACAGGCAGTGTTCTGAAAGGCCATACAGCTGCACCCCGACGGGTAGAGTGTCGTCAGCCGTGTCCCAAAACTCCAGGTCAGCTCAACCCCAGCAGGGACCCCCTGACCCCCCCCCACCGGTACTCAGCCTCCTCATCTGTCAGGGGAGCCTCCCTGCAGGCCATCCAGGGGCCCCTGTGCTGAGGAAGGAGGGTCCTGCCCCCAGGAGCAGCCTGCAGGGGTTGGAGTGGGGATCAGGTTGGAGGAGAGGAGGTCAGGAGGGCGGAAGCTTAAACTGGAGTGAGGGCCTTGCCCACATAGCCTGCACCTGTGTGAGGGCCAGAGGGACCATGGCCTGTGTTGCCAACAGTGCCTGCAGGCTGTGTGAACGGGTCAGTGAATGGATGGACAGACCGTTCACCTGCTTCTCTGGGCCTCGGCTTCTATTCAGCAGAATTGAGATGATACCACAGCCAGAGTTTCTGCAGAGATTTAAGGGACATGAATAAAGGAAGGTTCCTCCACAGCCTTCCAGGGTCCCCAGGGAACCCCAGTGTCCCAGGAACCTGGAAAGACACAAAGGGCATCTCTACCTTCCTGTGTCTGATACGCAGGTCAGAGCTGTCTGGCCCCCAGCCCAGAGCCCTGCCCGCCCCCTCTATGGGGACTCAGAGCAGGTTCTGCTGTCCAGACACTCGTCCACCCGGGCTGGGGCCCACAGCCAAGCCATGGGTTCAGAGCAGGATTCCCTGTTGCAATCCACGCTGCCTACGGTGGCTGTTCCAGGAATGTCTTGGTACCTGCCTGTGAACTCAGGTATTTCCGGCTCTCGCAGTCCACGTTTGAATGTTGTCAGGCCTCCCTTCTCTGCCATAGCTTCTGTTGCTGCTAAGCCAAGAGTACTCCTCTGCAGATGTTTGCTAATAGTGTGTTCACATCGTTTTTCTATTTTTAAAAATGCATTTAACTCTGGAAGCCACAGGGGCTGTGATGTGGGTTTGGAGGGGCAAGGTACAGGCCTCGCTGGTGCCTGCGGCCCATGCTGTTACCACTGCTGTGCCTGGGGGAAGCCGGGCTCTAGCTCCAACGGGATCCTCACTCCCACTCCCAGAGTGGGCCCCAGCCAGGTTTGTCTGGAAGGTCACCCTTTCCAGGATCAGGGAACTGGCTAGTTTTCTGAGAGGCCACAGGAAGGAGGCGGCTTCCAGAAGGGGTAAACTGTGTCTTGACCTCTCAAGGTCAAGAGAGCAGGGTCTGAGGGCCTCCCCAGAGCTGCCCTGGCCCTGAGATGCCAGGAGATGTCAGAACACGTGATATCTAGGACGGAGGCTCTAGAGCTCTTCAGACAGCAAAGCTCAGATGTGCAGAAATGCAGCTTCTCAGGCAACTCCAACCCTCTGCTGCAGTTATGGGATGGAGAAGCCTGGTGGGTATCCTCCTACAGCCCTGGCAAAGGGACAGAAAGAAAGGAGGAGAAGGAGACATGCTCTGGGCAGAGGGGCCAGGGAAGCAGAGCCTCACAGGGTCCACCAGAAGGCATTTGGGAAGCTGGATCTGGTGTGATGATTACAGGGGACAGACTGGATCCTGGAGAGGTGGGAGGGCTGTCACAATGCCATGTCCAAGGTCAGGACAGGGCCGGTGGTGGCTCTGGATACATCACCTGCTATGAAGCTCTCCATTCATTCTGCCAGTATTTGCTGAGCACCTGCTACGTGGACCAGGTGTTCTAGGTGTCGGGGATACTGCTGGGAACAAAAGAGATAAAGACCCTGCCCTCATGCCTTACATTCCAGGTAGGGAGACCTGCCAGTGAGACCAGAAGCAGGAAAGTAAAGGATATGATGTTACAGGGCAAAAAGTGACACGGAAAAAAGAGAGGGTGGGGAGGGGGAAGTGTGGGGTGAGGATTTAAATCAGTTCTTCAAGAAGGTGACAACTGAGCAAAGACTAAAATCAGGTGAGGGACTGAGCCAGGCAGCCATCTGAAGGAACGGCATTCCCCAGACGGAAGGAGTGGCCACACAAAGGTCCAGAAGTAGATGTGCACCCGGTGGTGGGAGCACCCCACCACTGGAGTGGAATAAGCAAGGGAGAGCAGAAGGAAATAAGGGCAGAGAGACCATTTTTGTTCTTATGTGTCTTTTTTCTTTTCGATTACAGTATGATTTACAGATGACAAAATTCACTATTTTTAGTGTATAGCTTTCAAATTTTGACAAATGTATATAGTCATGGACTCACCATCACAAACAAAATATGGCGGTGGGTACAGGATGCCCAGACAACTCCATCTCCCAGACACTCCCTCCCATCCCTTTGTAGTGAACTCTCTCCAACTCCCAGTCCCAGGGAACCACTGACCTGCTCTCTGTCTGTAGTTTCACCTTTTTCAGAATGTCATAAAAATGAAATGACACCAAATGTAGCTTTTGGAATCTGGTTTCCCTCCTGGAGCATCCATGTTTTTGTGTTTATCAGTGATTCACCTCTTTTGTTGCTGAGTAGCATTACTGTGAGTGTGACATGGTTTGTTTATACATTCCCAGGGTGAGGGACATTTGGATTATTTCCATGTGGAGATAGCATAAATAAAGTCAGTATAAATGTTTGTGTATATATTTTAGTCAGTAGTCATTTCACTTGAGTGAATGCCTAGGAGCGGGTAGCTGAGCCATTTGGTAAGTGTACATTAGACTTTATTAGCAAATACCAGGCTATCTTCCAAGAGGGCTGTGCCACTGTGCATTCCCACCAGCAATGTATGGAAGCTCAGAGCTATTCTGCAACCTCACCAGCACTTGGTATTTCCAGTGTCTCTGATTTTAGCTATTTCAGTAGATGTGTAGTGATAGCCCACTGTGGTGTTAGTTGGTTTCCCTCGTGAGAAATGTTGAGTGCTTTTCAGGTGCTTCTTTGCCATCTGTCTGCCTCCTCTGATGCCTTGTCCCAGTCTCCTGCCTGTGTTTCCTTAGGCCGCTTGCGCTTTGCTTTGTTTTGTTTTGAGAGTTCTTTCTATATTCTGGAGATAGTCCTTTATCAGATATGTGATTTGCAAATACTGCCTCCAAGTCTGCAGCTTATCATTTTTTAATGCATATCCCTTAATCTAAATAAAAGAGAGGGGGACCAGGTGCAGTGGCTCATGCCTGTAATCCCAGCACTTTGGCAGGTGGAAGCAGGAGGATCATTTGAGCCCAGGAGTTCAAGACCAGCCTGAGCAATATAGAGACAACCTGCCTCTATAATAAAAAAAAAAAAAATAGGCAGACATGGTGGCATGCATCTGTAGTCCTAGCTACTTGGGAGGCTGAGGCAGGATGATCTCTTGAGCCCAGGAGTTTGAGGCTACAGTGAGTGAGCTATGATTGTGCCACTGCACTCCAGCCTAGGCAACAGATCAAGTCTCTCTCTAGAAAACAAAAATAAAATAAAGACAGAGGGGATCTCTAAAAGAAAATGATATTTATTCAGGAATGGGCATTGCAATAGTAATACGTGTGCCATAGTAAACCACATGCCTATTCAAGGCTGGGGCAAGGGTAAGTTTTTAAAGGCAAAATTAAAATGATTGATTATATAAGTTGTTCTGAAATAATAATTCTTGGCTACAAGGGTCAATAACAAGGCTGGGGTGAGTCCTAGGTTGGAAAGACAGTTTTCTGGGTAGATGACCTCACAGAAGTATTTGTGTGTGTGTGTGTAAGGTTGCAATTGGCCTTTGTGCAAGGTTGTGGGTTTTGCAGAGTCTTTTGTGATCGTTCTTGCAGTCAGGCATTTGTGCATGAGAACCATTCCTTTAAGGCTTCCTCCAGCCCCATTTATCAGAGTTTTAACACAGTGACTCCATTTTGATTCCAACATGTTTCACGTATCTTTCAAAAAGCAGAAGTTTTTAATTTTTATGAAATCAAATTTATCATTTCTTCTTTTATATAGTGCTTTTGGTGTCACATCTAAGAAATCTTTGTCTAACCCAAGATCATAAAGATTTCCTCCTATATTTTCTTCTGAAAGTTTTAGAAGTTTAGGTCTTACTTTTGGGTCTATGATCTTTTTGAGTAAATTTTTCATATGGTGTGAGGTATGGATTAGGGGTTATTTTTTGCATGTGTCTGTTCAATTATTGCAGCAACATCTGTTAATGCTTTTTTAATAGAGTTGCTCTTGCACACTTATCAAAAATCAGTTGAAGCCAGGCACAGTGGCATGCATCTATAGTCCCAACTACTCAAGAGGCTGAGGCAGGAGAATTGCTTTAGCCCAGAAGTTTGAGACTGCAGTGAGCTATGACCACACCACTGTACTCCAGCCTGAGCAACAGAGTGAGACCCTATCTCTAAACAAAACAAAACAAAAATAATCAATTGACCTTATATGTGTGGGCCTTTTTCCGGAATCCATGTTCTGTTACACATATTTATATTTATGTGCTTTTATCAATATTACATTGCCTTGATTACTATAGCTTGACAATAAGTCTTGACATTGGTAATGGTCCTCCAATTTTGTTCTTCTACAAAATCTTTTTGACTATCCTAGTTTCTTTACCTTTCCATATAAATTTTAGAAACAGCTTGTTGGTTACTACCAAAAAAAATTCTTGCTGGGGTTTTTATTGAAATTGCATTGAATATTTAGAAAAAGTTAGAGAAAATTAATATCTGAACAATATTGAGTCTTCCAATCCATGAACATGGTGTATCTATCTATTTTCTTGATTTATTTCATCAATATTTTGTAGTTTACAGTATACAGACCTTGCAATTATTGGTTAGGTTTATGCCTAAATAACTCATGATTTTTGGTGCTAGTGTACATGGTACCTTTTTTATTTCAATTCCCAATTGTTCATTGCCAGTATGTATAAATATGAATAATTTTTGTTTATTGACCTTACAATTTGCAAATTTGCTGAACTTATTTTTTAGTTCTAGTAGGCTTTTCTGTAGATTTGGAATTTCCCACTTGTATAATAATGCCTTCTACAAATAAAAATAGTTTGTTTCTTCTTTCCCAGGCTGTATGACTTTTATTCCTTTTTGTTGACTTCTTACATTGATTAAGTCCATAGTCTAATGTTGAATGAGAGAGGTAAGAGCAGACTTCTTGCCTCATTCCCAGTCATGTGGAAAAATATTCAGCCTTCCACCATAAAGTGTGATGTTAGCTGTAGGATTTTTATAGATACTCTTTATCAGGTTGAGGAATTTTTCTTAATTCCTATGTTTATTTTTGAATAGATGTTGGGTTTTACCAAATGTTTCTCTGCATCTATTGAGATCATTGTATTTTCTTTCCTTAGTCAATCTAGTGAATTACATTGACTGATTTTTCAAATATTCAATTAGCCTGGTATTCCCAGGATAAGCCCCGCTAGGAGATGATGGATAAGCATTTCTGTATACTTTAAATTGTTTTATTAAGAAAGTTTGTGTCTGTTCATGGAAGATATTAGGCTGTAGTTTTCTTTATTTCCAATATCTTTATCTGGTTTTGGTGTCAGGTTTTGCCTCATGGAAGGGTTGGGAAGTGTTCCCTCCTCTTCAATTTTCTGGAAGAGTTTGTAGTATTGGTATTATTTCTTCCTTAAACACTTGATAGAATTCAAGAATGAAGCCAACTCAGCCTAAAATTTTCTTTATGGGAAAGTTTTCAACTACACATTCGATTTTCATAATTTGGGTTATTCTTGTTATTTCATTCTTGAGTAAGCTTTGGTATTTTATGACTCTAAGAAATGTGTCTATTCCATCTATGTCACCAAATTTATTGGCATAAAGTTATTCAGACTATCCCTTCATTATTCTTTTAATGTCTGTAGAACCTGTAATGATGTACCCACTCTTACTGATGTTAATAATCTGTGTTTTTACTTTTTTGCCCTAATAAATCCTGCTAGTGGTTTATTAATGTTTTCATCTTTTCAAAAAACCTACTGGTTTCATTGATTTTTTCTATTTTTTGTTATTTTCTATTTCATTGATTTTTGCTCTTTTTTTCTTGAGTTTAATTTGCTGGTTTTTTCCTAATTTATTCAGTTATAATCTGATTTCAGACCTTCATTCTTTTCTAATACAGGTGTTTTAATGCTGCACCCCAGGGATTTTTATATGCTGTGTTTTCATTTTTCTTTTGTTCAAGATGCCTTTTACTTTCATTACCTTTTATTTCTTCTTTACCGATGGATTATTTAAAATTATGTTATTTAGTTTCCTTATACTTAGGTATTTTCCATCTATCTTTCTGTTATTGATTTCCAATTTAATTCCATGTGGTCAGAGATCATGCTTTGTTGGATCTGAATCCTTTCCAATTTGCTAAGACTTTTTATGGCACAGAATATAGTCTGCCTTGGTAAATGTACCATGTGTATTTGAAAATAAAGTTTATTCTTTTGTGGTTAGAGTTCTATAAATGTCAATTCAGTTATGTTGGTTAATAATTGTTTGAGCCTTTTATATTCTTACTGATTACCTGTCGACTTATTTTATCAATTATCAATAGATGGATGTTGACATTTTCAACTAAGATTGTTGACTTGTCTATTTTTCCTTCTAGCTCTAACTTCTTTGCTTTATGTGTTTTGAAGTTCTGTGACTAGATGCATGAATATTTAAGATTCTTATATCTCCTTGATTAATGGACCGATTCTCTTTATCCCTGTTATATTATTTACTCTAAAATATACTTTGTCTGATATTAACATAACCACACAGTTTTTTTAATATTTGTGTTAGCATGATATATCGTTTTCCATCCTTTTACTTTTGATTGATTGGTAGCTACTATATTTCAAGTGGATTTTGTATAGGCAGTGTACACTTGGCTCTTGCTTTTTTATTCAATTTGACAATCTCTGCTATTTGATTGTGGTGATTTAATCATTTATATTTAATATGACTTTTGATATGATTTGGTTTTAGTCTACCATCTTGCAATTTGTTTTCTCTTTGTCTCATCTGTTTTTATGCATTTTTTTGTCTCCTTCTGCCTTTATTTGCATTGAGTATTTTTTATGACTCCACCTTATCTCCTTTGTGGACTTGTTAGCCACACATATTTTGTCTTATGTTGTTTTAGTCATTGCTTTTGGGTTTCTTTTTTTTTTTTTTTTTTTTTTTTTTTTTTTTTTTTTTTTTTTTGAGACAGAGTCTCGGCTGTCTGCAGGCTCTGCCCCCTGGGTTTCACGCCATTCTCCTGCCTCAGCCTCCCGAGTAGCTGGGACTACAGGCACCCGCCACCTCGCCCGGCTAATTTTTTGTATTTTTAGTAGAGACAGGGTTTCACCATGTTAGCCAAGATGGTCTCGATCTCCTGACCTCGTGATCCACCCGCCTCGGCCTCCCAAAGTGCTGGGATCACAGGCGTGAGCCACCGCGCCCGGCCTGCTTTTGGGTTTCTAGTATACATGTTAGCTTATCTCGGTCTACCTTCAAGTGAAATTATAGCTTCGAGTAAAATTAAGAGTATAAGCACCTTCCAATATTTTGTTTTCATTTCCCCCTCCTGGCTTTTGTGCTATTATTGTTATATATTTTACTTCTATATTTGTTATAAACCCACAATGCATTATTATTCTTACTTTAAATTTTAAAAATAAACAAATTCTATTTACCTAAATTTTTCCCATTTGTGGTGCTTGTTATTCTTTTGTGTAGTTTCCTATTTCCATCTGTTGTCATTTTCCTTCTGTCTGGAAGACTATCTCAAACGTTTTTTGTAGTGCAGGACTCCTGGTGATAACTTCTTCTGGTTTTTGTGTACATGAAAAGTGTTTCTATATCACCTTCCGTTTTTAAAGATATTTTCTCTAGGTATGGAATTCCAGCTTGGCAGGTTGTTGTTTCATTTTGTTTTTTTCTTTCAGGGCGCTAAATTGTTGCTCACTGTCTCTCAGCTTGTACCGTTTTCAACAAGAACTGTGCTCTGATTTTTCGTTCCTTTCATGTGTCTTTTTTCTATGGCTGGTTTTAAGATTTGCTCCTATCATTGGCTTTGGGCAATATTATTTCAATGTGTCTTCATGTAGTTTTCTTTGTATTTCTTTTGCTTGGAATTCGTTGTTTCCTGGATCTGTGGATTTATCATTTTCATCAAATTTGTAAAATGTATTTGAGGTATTTCCTCAGATATGTTTTCTTTCCCCTTCCTTCTGTGGGGATGCAAATTCCACATACAAAATGCCATGTGATGCTGTCCCACAGCTCACTAACGCTCTGTTTTATTTTTTCCAGTCTTTTTTCTCTGTATGTTTCATTTTTGGATAGTTTCTGTTGCTGTGTCTCCAGGTTCACTCATCTTCGCTTCTACATTGTTTAATCTGCTGCTAAACTAGTGTATTCATAGTATGAAATGTATTCTTCATCATTTTATATTTCCCATGTCTTTCCTTACCATGCTTATGTTTTGCTCTACCATGTTGAACATGAGAAATATATCATTGACAGTAATGGCAAAAGTCGCAATTACTTTTGCACCAACCTTATAGTTATAATTGTTTTAATGTCCTTGTCTACTAATTATATCATTTCTGTGTTGGTTTCAATTAATTGATTTTTCTCCTAATTGTAGATCATATTTTTTTGCTTCTTTCCATGCCTAGCAAATTTTGATTGGATGCTAGACATTGTGAATTTTGCCTTGTTGGGTACTGGATATTCCTGTACTTTTTAAATATTCTTCAGATTTGTTCTTGAACACAATTAAATTACTTGAAAAGTTTGGTTCCTTTGAGGCTTTGATTTTAAAGCTTTAGTAGGAAGAGCCAAAGCATTGTTGTTTAGGGCAGATTTTTTTCCCCCATTACTGAGGTCATACCATTAGCACTCTACCTAATGCGCTGTGAATTACCAGGTTTTCCATTCTTGCTGATGAGAAAAGGAACTCTTCCTAGCTCTGTGTGAGTTCCAAAGATTGTTCCCTCTACTCTTTTTGGAGCTTTGTGGTTCTTTTCCCAAACGTACTGAGCTCAGATGAAGACGGGGAATGCAGGGGATCCCCTGCAAAGCCCCAGAACTCTCTCTCCTCCTTTTGCAGCTGTCTCCTGTGACTCTTCCCAGCAAACTCCAGCCACTTTGGCTCCCCAAGACTTTCACGTCCACTTCCTCCACTCAGAGAGACTACTGGGCTTTATCAGGCTTCCTCACCCTGCGCCGCAAACTGGAAACTTCCCAGGCAGCTGGCTGTGGCCATGCTGGGCTCACCGTGCTGGTTTTCCATTTTCAGAGATCTTTGTCCTGTGCTGCTGTTGTCTGATGTCTGATAATCATGGTTTTGTATATTTTTCCAATTTTTGAGTTGTTTAAGGCAGGAGGGTGAAGCTGGTCCTTGTTACACCCTCGTGGATGGAAGCATCTGTGTCTTATGTCATCTTCAGGACTTTGGGTTTTACTCTGAGTGAAATGGGAGGCATATGGGTAGATTTTGAGTGGCATGATCTGACATGCATCCCTCCCATGGTGGGACAAATGAATGGGTAAAATATTGAGAGATGAACTGTCTTCTAATGTACCACAGAATTCACTGATTTGATTTGCTGACTTTATCTCATTCATTGATGCATCCCAGGAGCCTAGAACATGTCCCACCCATAGTAGGCACCTGGGAAGTGGGTACCAAGAGTGAACAAATGAATAAGGTCAGGAAGTGGGTGGAGCAGGAGCCTGTTCCTGCCCCAGGGGCTCACTGGCAGAACTCGTGATGGGGGACAAGGCTTGGGCAGCATCCCCAAAAGGAAGGACCCAGTCTCTTTTGGCCCTTTGTGGCCACTAACACAGCCTGAGGTAGTGCTTTCCCCATATTTGCAAGAGAAGAGGAAGGAGAGGAGGAAAAGGCAGAGGCCAGCTTGGAGGAAGGAGAGGAGGAGAAGGCAGAGGCCAGCTTGGAGGAAGGAGAGGAGGAGAAGGCAGAGACCAGCTTGGAGGAAGGAGAGGAGGAGAAGGCAGAGGCCACCTTGGAGGAAGGAGAGGAGGAGAAGGCAGAGGCCAGCTTGGAGGAAGGAGAGGAGGAGAAGGCAGAGGCCAGCTTGGAGGAAGGAGAGGAGGAGAAGGCAGAGACCAGCTTGGAGGAAGGAGAGGAGGAGAAGGCAGAGGCCAGCTTGGAGGAAGGAGAGGAGGAGAAGGCAGAGGCCAGCTTGGAGGAAGGAGAGGAGGAGGAGGCAGAGGCCACCTTGGAGGAAGGAGAGGAGGCCTTCCTTGGAGGCCCCTGCATCCTCCCTTGCTCTGCTCTCACTGCTCCTGCAGCTCCCCCACTCCCCTCGGAGACTCCACCAGATGTCTGGGTGACCAAGGCAGTCTCACATGTGATCGGAATGAGATTGGCTCTCTCAAATCAAGAGCCTGAGCTAGGGATACCATACCCTGAGCCCTGCCATGTCCCACCAGCCATGTCTGTCTCAAACCCAACCTCAGAACCTGACACTTGCACGGAGGCCAGGCCGCACCAGGCCTACAGGTGATGCTGCCTACTCAACAGTGTCCTTGAGGCCTCGAGACCCCTGCCCTCCTCCCAGGGCCCAGCCAGTCCATTGAATGGAAGGACAAACACATGGAAGGATGCAGCTGAGCCCGATGGAAGTCAATGCTGCGCTCAGCACCCCCTGTACTAACGCAGAAATATACACGCACTCAGATGCCAACACCCAGGGCCCCTCCTCCATTTCAGAATCTCCCCCCCTGTCTCCACATCCATGAAGGACTCATCTTGCATGAAGGTACACCAGGACTCTGCCCGCAGGGACAGATGGTCACACCCCACCACCATCCTGCTTCACAAGTCGCAGAGCAGCCAGGCCACACTGATGCTACAGGAGCACAGGATGTTCATGGGGGAAGCCTACAGTGCAGGTGACTGCCAGCCCTGGGCTCAGACAGGCAGGGGCGGGTCGGCCCAGATGGGGTCAGGCTCCAGCAGATCCCACCATGTCCCTCCACCAAAAGCAGTCCTGAGGGTGATGGCCAGAGGGAGTCTCCACTCCAGGACCTTGAGGGTATCAAGTGGTGTGGACATAGTGAAGCTTTCAGCAAAGAACCCTGCACACCCGGCTTGGCCTCTTCATGCCTCCTGAGGCACCATCCAAAGCCCAAATGATGCCCCAGCTCACCCTACACCCCGCCCTCCGCTATCCTCCCTTTCCCTTTCACACCTCGGAACCGCAGTCCAGGCCTGGCCCCTCCCTTATTCAAACACCATTGAATGCTGGATGACTGGATGGATGGTGAAAGGATAAAAGAATGGATGGGGGGATGGAGGGATGAATTCATGAGTGGGTGGGTGAATAAATTTATGAATAGATGGATGTTGGGCAGATGGGCAGGTAGATGAATGGAAAGATAGATGAGCAGGTGGATTAGTAGATGGAAGGATGGACAGATGGAACATGTGGGTGGATGGACAGATGGCTGGATGGACAGGTGGATGAGTGGATGATGGGCGGATGGGAATATGAATGGTGAGTGAGGACGTGCTCATGCACCTGCACTCCTGCTCCTTACCTATGTTGAACTCCAGAAGGTCCATCTGGACAGTCAGGAGGTCCTGGACTTCTCATACATCCATTCCCCAGTTCTCATTTTCAGAGCACTCCTTCCATCCCCAGACCCATCCTCCTGCCTGCCGAGCCTTGCTGCCACAATGTGAGCTACCCACAGCCTGCTTACACATGCCTTCTTGCCAACCTTAGCCACCGGCTTCAAGATGCTGCAGGACATGAACAGTGCTGACCCCTTCCACTTGAAGTACATCATCAAGAAGATCAAGAACATGGCTCATGGCTCCCCCAAGCTGGTGATGGAAACCATCCACGACTACTTCATAGACAACCCAGAGGTGGGGACAGCTTGGGCCACTGGGGCAGGCACAGGGGGCAGAGGGGGAGGGTGGGACCCCAAGGTGGGCTCAAACCCTAGATCCTGCCTAGAACAGCTACATGGCTTGGGGCAAGTCTCCATTTCCTCATATGTCAAATGGGCCAAGTGGGGAGGGAGAAAAGTGGACCCGCATGCATTGACCACCCTCAGAATGCGCTCATGAGGTGGCGATCCTGACCCTCACAGGTGGGGAAACGAAGGCGTAGGGAGGCCAAGGGATTTGCCTGGAGTCATAGAACCATGAAGTGGCAGAGAGAAATGGCTCCTCTCACACCCCTCCCCATCCACGCCCCCACCCACATCTCCCACACGATCTGACCTGATCTGTCCCCAAGCCACCATTGCTCTGCCATCCACAGATCTCCAGCAGGCACAAGTTCCGGCTGTTCCAGACCCTGGAGATGGTCATCGGGGCCAGTGACGTCCTGGAGGAGACCTGGGAGAAAACTTTCACACGGCTCGCTCTGGAGAACATGACCAAGGCCACGGTGGGCCTCCCCTCCCACAGCAAGTGGGCCAACCCCCCACGGGTTCTGGGAATGCCAGCAGCTGCCCCAGGGACCCAAGTGATGCTGGGCATGCCCAGCCTTGTGGGTTACCAAGCAATTTCCATCCAGTGACTCACGTTCTTACCCCCAGCCCCTTCAGCGGGACAATCATACTTTTCCATCTCACGTTCCCATTCCAGGAAGGTGAGGCTCAAGAGAGCATTGCTTGTCTAAAGCCAAGGGGCTCGTAAGTTGGGGGGCCCTCTCCCCAAAGGAGGTCTCTCCCTGAAGCAGGCTATGGTTCCCCTCTGCACCGCCTTCCTCACCACTGCATGGCAGCTGCCTGCAGCCCAGCCTCTGGAAGGCCTGCTGTGAGTCTAACCCAGTCTGCAGGCTGTAACTCTGCCCTTGCCCTTGGCCACCTTCTGGGTTCCTGCTTGATGGAGACTTGGGGGTCTGGACCTGAACTGTCCCACCCACCCCACCCCACCCCACCTGCAGCTTGCAGTCCAAGAGCCAGCCCTAGCCGCCAACAATCTCCACTCCAAGAGTGGAGACTTGGGAGCAGGTGGCTTAGACTGACTAGGCCAGGGCAGCCCCAGGGGACACCTCAATACGCACACACACTAGGGTGCCCCACAAAGCAGGAGTAGACACCATTTACCCTCCGTGTGGTGCCGAGTCTTAATTCATGATTGTGCAGGAGGCAAAGGCCACTGAAAGGTCTTTAATACTCAAAGCTCTCCCCAAAGCAAGAGGCACAGCACACCCCACGGGGCCACACAGGCCTGTCCCAGGCGGGGGTCAGAAAGCAGACAGAGGGACCATCTGAACATGCCTTCAGGGCCATGGTGGTGGGAAGTAATGAAGTAGAGACATCTCCTAGGAGCTACGGGGACACAGGCAGGTTGAGGGCATTGTAATGGGACTTCCATACTCCCCAAAAGATGTAAGCAGCTCCAGCTGCTCACCTGGCCCTATGATTCAACAAACTCAAGGAGAGGTTATTTGGAATAACAGACATCAAACAGCCAGCACAGGGCCTACAAGCATGGTCAACACATCCTCCACACAGGGGTTTGTGGCCCCATTTACGGATGCGGAGGCTGGAGCCCAGAGCCTTAGGGACTGGCCTGCAATCACAGCCCAGCTGGTGGGTGGCAGGTGGGACATGCCCCTGTGCTCCCCCAGAGAAGTGAATGAGGCCACCCTGGGTGTGAGAGACAGCAAAATGGGAAGCAAGGGCCCTGTCTACCTATTTCTTTTTTCCACCTCATTTCTTTTTCTTTTGGAATCTTATGCATGTGTTTGTCACACTCACCACTGCGAAGTCTTTCAGGCGTCTCTGCAGTTTACAGATTGATGATCCTAGGGAGATGGGGTTGGGGAGCAGTTTCCCCGGGGAGGCAAGGGCTTCGGGACACTCTCAGGGGTGTGGTCTGGCTTCAGCCTCCCTGAGGGTGGACAAGACCCTCCTGGGGCTTCATGAGGAGGGGCCCCTGCATGGAGTCTGGCATGAATGAGGCCAGGACTGGTCTACATTTTCTGCTTCTGAACACACTGCAGCCCCGCTCCAGCCCCCAGAGTAAGTCGACACTTCTGTGGGTCCTACCCGCCCCCTGGGACACAGACAGACACTTCTGTGGGTCCTACCCACCTCCTGGGACACAGAGGGACACTTCTGTGGGTCCTACCCGCCCCCTGGGACACAGACGGACACTTCTGTGGGTCCTACCCGCCTCCTGGGACACAGAGGGACACTTCTGTGGGTCCTACCCGCCCCCTGGGACACAGACGGACACTTCTGTGGGTCCTACCCGCCCCCTGGGACACAGACGGACACTTCTGTGGGTCCTACCCGCCCCCTGGGACACAGACGGACACTTCTGTGGGTCCTACCCGCCCCCTGGGACACAGACGGACACTTCTGTGGGTCCTACCCGCCCCCTGGGACACAGACGGACACTTCTGTGGGTCCTACCCGCCCCCTGGGACACAGACGGACACTTCTGTGGGTCCTACCCGCCCCCTGGGACACAGACGGACACTTCTGTGGGTCCTACCCGCCCCCTGGGACACAGACGGACACTTCTGTGGGTCCTACCCGCCCCCTGGGACACAGACGGACACTTCTGTGGGTCCTACCCGCCCCCTGGGACACAGACGGACACTTCTGTGGGTCCTACCCGCCCCCTGGGACACAGACGGACACTTCTGTGGGTCCTACCCGCCCCCTGGGACACAGAGGGACACTTCTGTGGGTCCTACCCGCCCCCTGGGACACAGACGGACACTTCTGTGGGTCCTACCCGCCCCCTGGGACACAGACGGACACTTCTGTGGGTCCTACCCGCCCCCTGGGACACAGACGGACACTTCTGTGGGTCCTACCCGCCCCCTGGGACACAGACGGACACTTCTGTGGGTCCTACCCGCTGCCTGGGACACAGAGGGACACTTCTGTGGGTCCTACCCGCCCCCTGGGACACAGACGGACACTTCTGTGGGTCCTACCCGCCTCCTGGGACACAGACGGACACTTCTGTGGGTCCTACCCACCCCCTGGGACACAGACGGGCATCAGGCACTCTGTTACCTAGGTCAGGACCAGCCGAGTTCAGACAATCTTCCAGCCCAGCATAGAGCTTGGAGTCAGTGAGGACCGGCCTGGGCCTGCACTCCTGTTGCCCTGCTCCGGTGGGGGACTGTGTTTCCTACACCCTAAGTCTCCCCTTTCCAGATTTACTTTCTTAAACTGGAGACAGACTTCAGCTTCCTGGAGGTGCTTCTTGGGGTAGGGCTTAAGGGAAGTAAGGTTTTGAGCCTGTGCATTTCCAGAAATCTCTGGATTTGATTTCACACTGGACTGTGGGTTGGCAACCGCTGTCCATTGTCCTCTGGCCCTCGTGGCTGTTGAGGATCCAGAGCCATCCTGAACCGTAATCCTTCACACGCGACCTGATGTCTGCTGGGGAGCTCGGGCTTGTGGAGTCTTTGTCCTGCCCATTCCGCAGGAGTGGAAGTCACTCTGGGGGCAGCATTAGCCACCGCGCTTTGTGGTCACGTATCCCTTCCATCTGGCTACCTGAACCCTTGGTTCCACCGTAGAGTGACCAGGTGAGCCCACTGCTGCCACCCTCACCCAGCTACGTCAGCATCTCTCCATCTTCCCTTCTACGCTCTGAGGAGTCCCAGGGAGACGCTCACCCAGGGGCCCTGCATAAAGGTCAGGGTCCCATCCCATGGCAGTCATGCCAGGACTGGCCTGGGAAGTGAGTATTCCCGGAGTTTACGGGCCTGGCAACCCCTGGGTAGAGACACTCATCTGCCCCCTCCAGAGACTGAGCCCCCAGAGTCTTGCTGGGGTGGGAGAGGGCCAGCTCCCTTCACGTGTGCAGAGTGTGGGAGGTACATCTACGGACTCAACTACTTCTAAAACCACGTCACCTTTAGTTTCAGCCCCTCCACTGCCCCTCCAGTTCTAGAGGCTGGGAGACAAGAGACCCCCCCAACTTCAAATACTGGGGGACAGTGCCGTGTGGGTGAGCTGGCCGCTCGGCCTCTGCTCCGCTAGCCTACACGTGGTCTTCAGGCCCCTCGCCTACCTGCTTCCCACTTCCACAGTGCGGTTGCTATTGTCCTTTTTAAAAAATCTCCTAAATGTAGTGTCAGCTGAGGTAGGTTTTTTGAAAGAGCAAAATCAGATTCAATCACCATCTTCACAAGAAGCCCCCATAACCATACTTTCCATAAGTTATAAATGATATATCTATTTCATGCGATGATTCAAGCTGCATGGCACGGCTCAGACACCCCCACTTTCAGACGCCCCCAAGTGCAGACAGGCCTCCTGTTCACCTGCCTCAGAGCCACAGAAGCTGCCTTATGGCTCCCATGAAGACTGAGAAAAGAGTAGAAATCAAAATTGCAGCAAGATCTAAAGGGATACCCACACGCTTGTTAAGAAAGGTCCCAGGTGTGACCACACAGAGCCAGGCTCCGGGACCCATGTGGTTCCTTCCTGCTGAAGATGCCCCTCCACTGGACAGTGGGGGCTTGGCCAGGGTCAGGGAGGCCAGGGACCCAGTCAGCGGGGCTCTGCCCTTGAGCAGCTGACGCCCTGGCTCTCTTGGACAGGAATATAGCCTCTGCTTCTGAATTCATGGTGAAAGATGTGACATTGTCCTGAGCCGCCAGGAGCTCAGGAGGAGAGGTGATGTGGGCTGGAGGTTTCAGGATGAGTGCCCTGAACCCAGGCCTTGGAGCAGGCTCTAAGTGGGAGTGGAGGTGAAGGCAGGCACACAGCGTGAGCAAGGGCTCAGAGGTAGGGAGGAAGAGGAGGAGGTGTTCCGGCAATGGACGCAGACCAGGAAGGCCTCAGGCTCCCTCAGCCTCAGTTTTCTACCAAAAGAAACATGGGCCGTGGCCGCTGTCCTGGCCCTCAAACCAGCCCTGGCATGTGAAGACGCGAGGTCTCGTAACAAGCCGCTCTTACTCTACCTCCCGCCCTGCCTGCTCCCACCCCACCCCAGGAGCTGGAAGACATATACCAGGACGCGGCCAGCAACATGCTGGTGGCCATCTGCAGGCACTCGTGGCGGGTGGTGGCGCAGCATCTGGAGACGGAGCTCCTGACGGGCGTCTTCCCACACAGAAGCCTCCTCTACGTGATGGGCGTCCTGTCCTCCAGCGGTATGTCGGGCGCCAGTTTGCGGACAGGGTGGGGTGGGTCATGGAGAGTGATCCAAGAGGTGGCTCTGAGAGTCCACATGGGCAGGGTACAGGGGCTGCACGTCACTTGTGCACCATGAGGTAGCTTCATGCCCGGCAGCAACAGGCTGCTGCCCCGAGGACCCCCATTGCCCACCACCCCTCAGAGGGCCCAGGCCATGCTCAGGATCTCCCTGGAAAGAGCGACACCAGGCCCAGCCGTGTCAGCCCCTCTGATGGCTCACCCACTCCTACTGTCAGTATTGCAACAGCTGGACCTGGACGGAGCCAGGATGACAGAGGAGGTCCCAGGAGGTGGCCCAGGACAGGTGTGAGGCTGGCACATGGCCGGGCAACTCCACTGCCAGCTGCTGCATCTGTCTCCTCCCTTGGTCACACAAGGCAGGTGGGCATTCCTCCCCTGGAAGGTGAAGAGATGGAGCTCAGAGAGGCAGCATGGCCGACCAGGGCCACTCCCAGCCTGTCACAGCCGGCAGTGTCTGGGCCCTGCATCCACATAGCCGCGGCCTCCAAGCTGCGGGAAGTGCCGGCCTGGACAGTGGGGCCTCTGAGGACCCCAGAAGAAGGACATTCAGAGAGTTGCTGACACAAAATAGCGAACACTTACTGAGCACCTACCCATGCCAGGCCCCCAGCCACACAGAGGCGAGGGGCAGCCTTCATTCATTCACTCATTCATTCACAGCATATGCTGTTGCGCTTCCCACTGGGAGATGCAGGGCTGCCTTGAGGGCAGCTGGGGTTGCCCAGAGAGGAAAGGGACCAGTTGTCCTGGGGCCATCAAGGAGGGCTTCCTGGAGGAGGCAGCCAGTATAGGCCACATCTAGAGGGATGCGTAGGAGGGTGAGGAGGGACACTCCTTCTGCCAAGGGCCTTGAGGAAGAGTTGGTCGGCAGCCACAGTGAGGGGTGGGGTTGGGGTGTGGCAGGCCCTGTGACCTGCAGGGAGGCCCAGGCCCAGCAGGGGTGTTTGGACGCTAAGACCTGAGGGGAAGCAGGACCTGCTCGGCTTGGCCTTGCACCTCCCACCCCAGGATTAGCAGGCTGCATGGAGGTCCCTCTGCACCTGGGGGTACTGCTGAGGCTGCCAGATCCCTCCCCAAATCAGCCTTTCCCTCTGGGGTAGGTTCCAAAGTTCCGGAAAAGCTCTCCACTCTCACAATGCCTCCCTCCCAAAGGCTTATTTTCCCACTCTTGAGAGGCCATGCTTGGCAGCGCCCCTCCATTCACCATGAGTGAGCCCGAGGCCCAGAGAGGGAGCCCAGCCCGCCTGAGGCCACACAGTAAGAGCAGCTGGGCCGCAAGCCCACCCCAGCTCTCTGAACCCAGAGCCAAGCCCGGCTCACATCCCTCCAGCTCCCGCGCCCCACAGAGGTAGGGCAGGCAGAGGCCAGCAGCATCAGCCCGGGCCAGCGCTAAAGGCCGGAAGAGACGGGTGTTAGACAGGGCCCTGTGACCCATCCCTCCTCCCACAGAGGAGCTCTTCAGCCAGGAAGACAAGGCCTGCTGGGAAGAGCAACTGATCCAGGTAGGGAAGGAGCCCAGCTCCCAGCCACCAGACCTTCTGTGGGGGCAACAGGGGAGAGGCAGCAGGATGGGTGCCTGGGAGGAGGGGTAGGGGGAAGGAGGGAGGAGGAAGGGAAGGCAGAGAGAGAGAAAAGGGGAGGGGAGGGAGAAGAGAGGGTAGTGGGGAGACAGGGAGGATGAGAGGAAGGAGGGAATGTCAGGGAGGAAGGAGGGAGGAATGAGAGGGAGGGGGGAAAGGAGGAGGAGGAGGCAAGAAGAGGGGATTGAGGGGGAGGGAGGAAGATGGGGGAACAAGAGGGAGCAGGGAGGGAAGGAGGGAGGGAAGGAGGGAGGGAAGGAGGGAGGGAGGCCCCTACTCTGCAGATGAGCACACAAGTCTGGAAAAGGGAGGGGACTGCAGTCACAGGGCCAGTCACTGCAGCACTGGGATTGGGAAGGGGACCACAGTCACAGGGCCCGTCACTGCAGCACTGGGATTGGGAAGGGGACCGCAGTCACAGGGCCCGTCACTGCAGCACTGGGATTGGGGAGGGGACCACAGTCACAGGGCCCGTCACTGTAGCACTGGGATTGGGAAGGGGACTGCAGCACTGGGATTGGGAAGGGGACTGCAGCACTGGGATTCGGGAGGGGACCACAGTCACAGGGCCTGTCACTGAGGCGGTGGGATTCAAACCTCGGTCTCCACATGCCTGGCACAGAGCACATACGCAACGCACTCAGCCAGAGCTGTCACCCTGGAAGGCAGGAAGCAGGTTGGGGTGAACAGAGGGAGCCCCAGCCAAGAAACAGAGTCCGTGCAGGCCCATCCCTGAACACACACCCGAGTGAGTGAGGGGCTGACATGGCTGAGGGAAGGGACACGAGACCCCCGCCCCCTGGATCCAAGCCCATATTCAACCAATCACCACTCTGTGACCTGGGGGACCCACTTCACCTCTCGGTCCCTTAGTTTCCTCATCTGTCAAATGGGAATCCAAGCACTTCACTCAAATGGTGGGTATGACGAGTATACGAGGTAATCCGTGGAAAGCATCGGGCACCGTGCCAGTGACGCAGGAAACCCTCGCTAATGTCATTATTGTCCTATGGGAAGAGCTGTAGTGGTAGTGACAGGAGCAGCAGCGGTGGCGGCAGGAGAATACTTGGAATGGAATGGTATCCAGTAGAAATAGCACCAGCAGCAACACAAGCAATTGATAGAACAAGAAGACAAAAAGTTACGGAGGATAGAGAAAACTTGAACAATACATTAACCAAATTCGTCTAATAAAGTGCAAACAAAATATTCGCCAGGGGGTTTGGGGGGAAATGGAGATGGTTAATGGGTACAAAAAATAGGAAGGATGAATAAGATCAAGGTGACTATAGTCCATTAGTCAATTGTAGATTTTAAAATAACTGAAAGAGGCTGGGTGTGGTGGCTCACCCCTGTAATCCCAGCACTTTAGGAGGCCAAGACGAGCCCATCACTTGAGGTCAGGAGTTCGAGACCAGCCTGGCCAATATGGCGAAATCCCATCTCTACTAAAAATACAAAATTAGCCCAGCATCATGGCACATGCCTGTAATCCCAGCTACTCGGGAGGCTGATATGGGAGAATCACTTGAAACCAGGAAGCAGAGGTTGCAGTGAGCCAAGACCACGCCACTGCACTCCAGCCTGAGCAATAGAGCAAGACTCCATCTCAAAATAAAATAAAATAACTAAAAGAGGGCCGGGCACAGTGGCTCATGCCTGTAATGCCAGCACTTTGGGAGACTGAGGCCGGTGGATCTCCTGAGGTCAGGAGTTCAAGGCCAGCCTGCCCAACATGACGAAACCCCGTCTCTACTAAAAAGTACAAAAATTAGCTGGGCATGGTGGCATGCACCTGTAGTCCCAGCTACTCGAGAAGCTGAGGCAGAGAACTGCTTGAACCCTGGAGATGGAGGTTGCAATGAGCCGAGATCGTGCCATTGCACTCCAGCCTGGGCAAAAGAGTGAGACGCCGTCTTAAAAAATAATAATAAAATAAAGTAAAAGAGTATAAGTGGATTGTTTGTAACACAAAGGATAAACGCTTGAAGTGACGGATACCTTATTTACCCTAATGTGATTATTGCACATTGTACACCTGTAGCAAAATATCCCATATACCCCATAAATTTATATACGTACTATATACCCACAAAAATTAAAAATATTAAATTTTTTTTTTAATTCACCAAGATAGACCATATGCTGGGCCATATATCAAGTTTCAACAAATTTAAAACAGCTGATATCAAACAGAGTACATTCTCTGATCAAAATACAAATTAGAGTCCAAAATAAAATACATCTGGAGAAACTTCAAATCCTTGGAAATTAAACAACACATTTCTAAATAACCCATCAGTCAAAGAAGAAATCACAAGGAAAATTAGAAAATATTTTGAACTGAATGATAATGAAACGCAACATATGAAAATCAGTGGGATGCGATAAAAAGCAATATTTAGAAGGAAATTTATATTTTAATGCCTACATTAGGAAAGAAGAAAGGTATAAAGTCAATTATCTAAGCCTCTATTTTAAGAAACTAGCCAAAAAATGAGCAGATAATAAACTCAGAGTAAGTAGAAGGAAGGAATAACAAAAACTAGAGCAGAAATCAAAGAAACAAAAAGAGATAAACAGAGAATGACTAGAACCAAAAGATCAATACATTGAGCCAGATGCCATGGCTTATGCCTGTAATGCCAGCTACTCTGGAGGCTGAGGCAGATGGACTGCTTGAGGCCAGGAGTTCAAGACCAACCTGAGCAACGTAGTAAGAACCTGTCTCTAAAAAAATTTATATTAGGGTTGAATATGAGATTTAAGAAAAAAAAAACACTTCTAAAACCTAGCCAGGCATAGTAGCTTATACCTGTAGTCCAGCTACTCATGAGGCTAAAGGCAGAAGGATCACTTCAGCCCAGGAGTTCAAGGCTGCAGTGAGCTGGGATCAAACCACTGCACTACAGCCTGGACAATAGAGCAAGACCAATCTCTATTTAAAAAATGATAAATAAATAAGTAAATTGATAAACCCCCTCACTAGACTGATCAAAAAGAGAGAAAACACAAAATACCAATTTCAGAAAGGAATAAGGAACACTACACATCCCTCAGACATTAAAAATTATAATGAAATATTCAATAAATTAGATAATTTAGATTGAATAGACAAATTCTCTAAAAAACACGTTACCAAACTGACATAAGAAACAAAAAATAAATAGTCCTATATCTATTAAATAAATTGAAATCATAATTTAAAACATTCTCACTAAGAAAACTTCAAGCCCAGACACTTCACTGTGAATTCTATCAAAAAGTTAAAAAAGAAATAGTACTAATTCTATACAAATGTTTTCAAGAAAATAGAGGAGGAAGGAATAACTTCCTAAATCATTTTATGAGGGCTACACAACCCAAAGACATTACAAAAAGAGAAAGAAAACTAAAGACCAATATATTTTATGAAAATAGACTCAAAAATAGTTGTTGTTGTTTTTTTTTGAGACAGAGTATCGCTCTGTTGCTGGAGGCACATGCCAGGCTGCAGTGGCACAATATCGGCTCACTGCAACCTCTGCCTCCCGGGTTCAAGTGATTCTCCTGCCTCAGCCTCCCAAGTAGCTGGGACTACAGGCACATGCCACCACCCCCAGCTAATTTTTGTATTTTTTTCTTTTAAAGTGGAGACAGGGTTTCACCATGTTGGCCAGGATGGTCTCAATCTCTTGACCTCATGATCTGCCTGCCTCAGCCTCCCAAAGTGCTGGGATTACAGGCATGAGCCACCGCCTGCCTGAAAATAGACTCAAAAATCTTAACAATATATTAACAAATTGAATAAAAGGATAATACACCATGATCAAGGAGGGCTTATCCCAGGGACACAAGGTCAATTTAACATTTGAAAAGCAATAAGTGCAATTCAACACATTAACAGAATAAAGTAAAAAAAGTTTGGTCATATTTATAAAAAATCATGTGGAAAAAGCATCTGACAGAATTCAATACCTGTCCATGATAAAAGCTCTCAACAAACTAGGAGTAGAAGGAAACTGCCTCAATGTGACAATGGACATCTAAAGCTACAGTTAACACAATTAATGATCCAAGACCAAACACTTTCCCACTAAGATCAGGAATAAAGCAAAGGTGTCCTTTCTCTCTACTTCCACTCAACATTACACTGAAGTTGCTAGCCAATGCAATAAGGTAAGAAAAAGGAGAAGGGAAAAAAGACAGAGATTGCAATTCAAAAAGTAAAACTATCTCTTTTGTAGACATGTGACTATATACATAGAAAATCTTACAGAATCATATTTAAAATACTAGAACTAATAATTACTAATAGTTGGATGTAGCAAGATCTCAGGATACAAGATCAATATATAAAAATCAATTGAACTTCTATATACTGGTAACAAATAATTAGAAAATAAAATTTTTCTTAAAAAATGACATTTTCAGCAGCATTAAAGATATAAAAGACTCAAAGATAAATGCAACAAAATATATGCAATATTGTTTCAAAGCATTGCAAAGAGAAATTAAAACAACCCTTAAAAAGTGGAGACATACAATGTTTGTGGACAAAATGATTTAATAATGGTAAGATGTCAATTCTCCCAAAATTTATTTGTAGATTGAATGCAATGCCAATCAATCTCAGAAAACTATATTGTAGGATTAAATATAAGCTATAGAATAAATTTTTATAAAGAAATTTTAAAGAACCTAGAATAGCCAAAACAATTATGAAAAAGA
This sequence comes from Homo sapiens, assembly GCF_000001405.40. Taxonomy (NCBI): domain Eukaryota; kingdom Metazoa; phylum Chordata; class Mammalia; order Primates; family Hominidae; genus Homo; species Homo sapiens. The sequence goes on along the minus strand of NC_000008.11, from coordinate 141,483,762 downwards.
AAAAAGTTGCAAGAAATTGGCTACTTGATTTCAAGACTTACTATAGGGCTACAGCAAACAAGACATGAAGCATTGGCATAGGTTAAACAGATAAATCAATTGAACAGAATAGAAAATCCAATATCAAACCATACGTAAACAGTCGATTGATTTTTTTAAAGAAAAATATATCAAAGCAGTTCAATGGGGAAAGTCTTATAAACTATTTCATATATGTAAGAAAAAAAGTGAACTTTAGTGCCTAGTTCAAACCATTCGCAAATATTAATTAGAGATGGAGCCAAAGGCTAAAATGTAAAAGGTAAAACTCAAAAGTGTCTAGAAGAAAACATGGGAGAAAATCTTGCCAGCCTTAGGGTAGCTAGATATTTCTTAGGGCTCAGAAAGTAATCATCATAAAGATTTAAAAAATGATGTTAGATTTCATCAAAATTAAAACGTTTCATCAACTGATAATGCTAAGAAAATGAAAAGGCAAGCCACAGACATGGAGAAAATACTCACAAACTGGAAAAGAGCCTATATCCAGAATAAATAAAGAACTTGTATAACTCAGTAAGCAAAAGACAAAGAGGTCAATTTCTTAAATGAGCAAAAAATCCACAACGCACCTCAGGAAGGAAGACATCTCAATGACCAATAAGCAAGTGAAAAAACGATGAGCGTCGTTAGTCCTCAGGGAAGGCTCAGTTAAAACCACAAGGAGCCGCCTCCGTGTCTCTGCCAAGGGCACACAGGTGAAACAAGGACCACAACAGACATTGGCAAGGACGCGGAGCCAGCAGAACGTTGAGGGCAGGACGGGAAAATGGCGCAACCTCTTTGGAAAACTGACATTTTCTTCTGAAGTTAACATATGACTCAGCAATCCCACTTTTCGGTATTGTACTCAAGAGATGTGAAAACATCCATACACAAAATTACTTCTACAAAAATGGTCATAGCAGCCTTATTCATTCTAGCCTCAAACTGGAAACAACCCAGACGGGCAGGATGCCGCACATCCCCCTGAAAAGATCTAAAGTCAATCATCTAAGTGTCCGTCTCAGGAAACTAGAGAAGGATCAAGTTGAACCTGAACCAGGCAAAGGAAATGAAATAATAAAAGTTAAAATAGAAAAAGAGGAGTGAACTTGCGGCACATGCAACGACATGGATGAATCTCAAAAACATGCTGAGAGAAAAAGTTCCAGACACAGAAGATCACAGACTGCCTGCTTCCAATTACATGCAATTCTAGAAAAGGCCAAACTCATCGGCAGGGAAATCAGAACAGTTTTGTAGTGAGGGAGCTTAACCAGGAAGGGGCATGAGAGAGCTTTTTGGGGTGGTGGCAAATGTTCTATATCCTGAGAGGATGTAAATTACATGGGCTGGATTCATGAGCTCTACAGTAAAGATCTGTGCACTTCATTGTGAGTTAAAATATCTCAATTTTTTAAATACTTAAAACTTTAAAAATTAAAAATTTGGGGAAGAGATGTGCTTCAAAATTCAGAATATTTTAGATTTTTTAAAAAGTAATATGATATACACACTGTATATTCCAAGAACATCCTTAGGAGGGTCTGGGCAGATGTAGAATGAAATAGATTGGCGTCCCTGCTACAGAAGCAAATAGTCACACCAGGTCCCACAAATCGCATCACGTCAGTGCAGCTCAGTGTCTGCTATCCAATCAGAAGCAAATAGTCACACCAGGTCCCACAAATCGCATCACGTCAGTGCAGCTCAGAGTCTGCTATCCAATGAGGTTGCTACAAAGCTATGGGGGAAAAATGTTTAATTTTCTGAGCTTGGGAATTTGAATTTTAGACAAGGAACTGTGGCATTGTTATATGCAGCAGTGAACAAAGACAGTAAAGGTCTGGGGGAGGGGACCTTCTGGGGGACCTCAGGGCTTCCTGGGGGGCTGGGGTTTCATGGACATTCTGCCATCACCTGTTTTGTGGGTGAGACAGCCCCCCAGGTCCCGCTGTACCCCAGTGTTTTACAAATGGCCAGGAGGAGGTCTATCCTGGGCAGACAAGCTCTTCCAGATTCTACCATAAGTGGGGGGGGGATTTCCATTCCAGGGACCAAGGGATCAATTCCAAGGAGGATGCAAATGGTCCCACCTGTGTCTTCTGCCCCACAAGATGTCCCCTCATGCTCATGGCATCACAAATTTAGTATTCCTTTAGGATAAACTTCTAGAAATGGGGTTGCTTAGGGAAATTCTGTATATTTTCAACTTTGATATTGACATTGCCTTTTAATTGAGATTGAAAAAACCTTCCAAAAATGCAGATCCAATCACCCTCCCACCAAAGGACACTTCCTTGCTGATAGTCAGTGTTTGACTGTTTGCCAATCTTAGTCAAAACATTACATTAGTTTTCATTCCTTAAGTATTAGCAAGGTTGAGTTTACAGTGTCTTCATCATGTATGTATCCCTTCATCATTTTACAGTGTCTTGTTTGTCATCTTCTTATCGATTTATAAAGTGCGGGTTGTTGATCTCTGATGTTAACCCTTGGCAATAGGCAGCAACAAAGATAAAACAAAACTTTGCTTCATCTTTCCACTTAATTTATAGTAATTTTGCTGAACCAGCTTTTTTAAATGTTTATCTTCACATTTAGCAATCTTTGCTTTTAAGGTTTTTGGGTTTGGGATCATAATTTTGGAGGTTATCACCCACCCCCAAAGAATCTTGGGATCAAAAACTTTGGAAATATTGAATCACAGAATCTGGGAACACTTGAAATTGAGAAATATTGCAGTCATCGTTATAAAATCACGTGATGTTAGGAACAGAACTTTCAGGACCTTATATTTTGAAGGGACAGTTCATTCATTCATTTGATTTCTCATTTATTGATTTATAAAATTAATGGCCTATCTGCTGTGTGCCGGGTACCATGCAGGGTGCTGGAGATCCAGCTGTGAATAACCAGACGAGGCCCTGCCCTCCTGGCACCCACCGCAGAGGAGCCACCTTCAGCTGACACTCACTAATCATCTGCTATGTTGGAGACTCCTGGGTGGTGCCCAGGACACAGTCAGGACTCCAGTCTCCAGCCTCCTGGTTTCCCAGCCTCACCTTGAACCCCTCTGCAGAAAGAATCTTCGGGAATGAGTTCCCTGTCCCTGAGAACCATAGAACAAAGAAGAGAGCTGGGCGCTGGGGACTCAAAAGAAGGGAGGGACAAGGGGGTGATGGAATCAGGGTTCAGGGTGGCCAGGGTGGGCTGGGGCAGCTAGAATCTCAGGCCCTGCTCTCAGGTAGAGGGACAGACGGCTCCAGCCCCCCATGCCCCTCTGCTGACAGATGGCCATCAAGTCAGTCCCGTTCCTGAGCACGGATGTGTGGTCCAAGGAGCTGCTGTGGACACTCACCACGCCCAGCTGGACCCAACAGGAGCAGTCCCCTGAGAAGGTGAGCCCCACCCTGCCTCCAGGAGCAGCCCCTGCCTGCCCCCTACACAGCCCCAGGGGCTCTGTCCATAGGACACCCAGGGTCCTAGAAAGAAGTTGGTGGACTTGAGGCAGGGGTGGGGCCTGGACAGCAGGACTTGAGCTGCACTCGCTGCAGCCGCAGGCAGAGGCTTGGACAGACCACAGCCGGGTGTTGCGGTGGCTGCAGGGGCCGAGGGAGGCCAAGCCAGTGTGGTCAGGGGCAGCTGCTCAGAGGAGGTGGCAGGCCACCTTGGGGGGGGTCAAGCACAGGATAAGATGCTGCCCTTCCCACAGGCCTTCCTGTTTACCTACTATGGGCTAATCCTTCAAGCTGAAAAAAATGGTGCCACGGTCAGGAGACACCTGCAAGCCCTCCTGGAAACATCCCACCAGTGGCCCAAGCAGAGGGAGGTGAGGACCCAGGCCCCACCCTGTCCCCGCCACCACCTGACCGTGACCACAGGCTGAGCCTGATGGCTGGTCTCACACCATGCCCTAATCCTGACCACAGCCTGAGCCTTCTCCTTCTTCTCACCCCAACCCCTGACCCTGGTCACAAACTAAGTTCTGACCTTGGTCTACAGTTGAACCTTGACGCTGATCACAGGCTAACCCCTGACCCCAGTTACAGCCGTGATCTCAGCCGCAGCGTAGCCCTCCTCCTCCTTCTTAAACACATCTCCTCGTTGCCACTCCGGCACAGCCTGCTCATAGCCGGCAGTGAGGGATAATGGGCCTCCAGGGATTCACCTCTGCCCCCCACGCCCCTCACTCCCCCCACCAGACCCCATAAGCCGGGTGTCCCCTGGCATGGGCTCGGTCACAGGTCCTGACAGAGTGGGGTGGTTGCTGGCTGCCCTGGGGCCCTGGATGAGCCCCAACCCCCTCTGGGGGTCCTGTTCCTCCTCAGTTTTCCCTCCTGCCAGGGGAGGAGCCGGGTCCGGTCCTGGACTTTGGGGTCCCCTGATGAGTGACCCTGATACCCGACCCACAGGGCATGGCTCTGACCTTGGGGCTGGCGGCCACACGCCACCTGGATGACGTCTGGGCCGTCCTGGACCAGTTTGGCAGGAGCAGGCCCATCAGATGGAGTCTCCCCAGCTCCTCCCCAAAGGTACTGGCTCAGGGGTCCTCAGAGACCAGCAGGGGTCTAGGACAGCAAGACCCCCACCATCTGTGAAGGTCAGCCTCTGGGGACTCCTAGGACACTACCCCGTTCACCCACCCCATTCAGGTGGGTGTGGGAGGGGCCCCCACAAGGAGGGGAAGGCAAGGGGCCTGGACCCCAGCCAGCTCCAGCAGAGACGAGCGCCCCACACACACCCCACCCTAACACCCCACCCAAACCATGGCCCTAACAAGGCCCCAGCCATCCCCCAAAGAGCCAGTCCTAGTCCCCTTGTTTTCCGACTGAGGAGATGGAGGCTCACTGCCCCTCAGGACAGACACCTGCCCCCAGGGCCCTGCTAGAGCCAGGCAACCACCTCCACAGCTCCCCAGAGGAGGGTAGGGCGGGGTGCTGACACTCCTCACCTGCCTGCCACCCCTGGGCCAGAACTCGGAGGACCTGCGCTGGAAATGGGCCAGCAGCACCATCCTCCTGGCATACGGCCAGGTGGCAGCCAAAGCCCGGGCCCACATCCTCCCGTGGGTGGACAACATCGTGTCCAGGATGGTCTTCTACTTCCACTACAGCTCTTGGGTAGGCCTCTGGCTGCCCCTGCAACATCCCAACACCTGCCCCTCCCCACCAAGACCGAGTCCCGGACCCCAGCCCAGAGCCGCCCCACCGGCCTCTCAGAGCAGAGAATTCCAGGACCTCCCAGGGCCTTGGAGCCCACCCCCATGCCCCACCCCACCCTGGAATCATGAGGAACCAGGCCCAGCTTTCTGGTGGCCCAAGATTTCGTCCGTCCATCCCACCGAAAGTTCGCTGGGCTTCATGATGCCTCTACCCTCACTTCTCCTCTTAAAGCAAACCCTGGGTTTCACTTTGCGGGTGGGGGACATGGGTACGGAGAGGCCAGGCTGACGTCCATCGTGTTATGATGACAAGCCCCTGACTCCACACCTCACACCAGTGGCCTCCAGCCCAGGTCACTGTGAGGGGCCCCGCAGGGCTGCCCCCACCCCAAAGTAGCCACATCGCTGCCCCGGGTCGCTGCTGCTGTGGCCCTGGGGCATGGGGTTGCCACATCTCAAGAGACTTACAGGCACTGTCCCAGTGTTTAAACGTTGTAAATTACAGTTTTAAAACCATGCAGCCCCACCCCTTAAGAAGCCCCCCAGGTGCGGCCTCGGTGGGTGGTCTCTGCTGTCCCCTTTCAGCCATGACCCTGCTGCCCCTTGGATCACAGCCTCACGCTCTTGCTCCCACTGCACACTCCCGCGCCCTGGGCCCTGACCCTGTCCCCCGTTGCAGGACGAGACCCTGAAGCAGAGCTTCCTCACAGCCACCCTGATGCTGATGGGTGCGGTGAGCCGGAGTGAGGGCGCCCACAGCTACGAGTTCTTCCAGACCTCTGAGCTCCTCCAGTGTCTGATGGTGTGTTCCAGGCCCTGGGTGAGGCGGGCAGCCTCCCTCAGTTTACTCCCTGCGGAAGGAGTGGGGTGGGTTTCTAGGGCATGTCCTAACCTGACTCCAGTGGCTTTGCTCTGGTGCTCTGCCCTCCTGGTGGGGCAGCTCACAGAGGCCTCTCTGGGCGGGTGAAGGGCCAGAGCGTAATCCTGCGGTTCTCGGGGATGCTGGGCACTGAGGTCTTCCCAGGGTGGGGAGACCTGGCGTCGGAAGGGGGACAGGCCAGGCCTGAGCGGCTTGGTGCCACCTGGGACTTGCAGGTTTTGATGGAGAAGGAGCCCCAGGACACTCTGTGCACGCGGAGTCGCCAGCAGGCCATGCACATCGCGTCCAGCCTCTGGTAGGCCCCCCGCCTCACACAGGGCTTCCTCAGTGCCACGCAGCAGCCTCTCCACTTGGGTTTGGAGCTGGCAGGCAGCAAGGTGGAGAGGTCAGAAATGGAGCACCATTCTGTGTGCCAGGCACCATTCTGGGGTCTGAGGACCCAGCTGTGGGACAGCAGGGAACATTCCTGTTCTCCAAGAGCTGACCCTTGGGGGATGGGGACAGACCATGAACAAACCACACATCTCAGTGACAGCTGACACTGCTGCCTGAAGGCAGATGGAGCTGGGGGAGCGAGGTGGAGGGGAGGTAAGATCTTCATGGGTTGAGGGCTACAGGAGACCCTGCAAGGAGAATTGATTAACTGAATATTGGTGGACTGGGCACCCACCACTGGCCCCAAGCTCTTCTAGGCTCCAGGATACAGCCTGAGGCTGGGTTAGTCGGCCCTAAAAGGGGACTTTTGGGCAAAGACCTGAAAGGGTGAGAGAGTAGCCCTGCAGTTTCCAGCTGAAGGGACAGCGGGTGCAAAGGCCCCGAGGCTGGCGTGCAGCAGGGTTGCTGGAGGACCCGCAGAGGGCCAGGGTGGCAGGACTGGAATGCCTGAGGGCCCCGGGAGCCACGGGGAAGGTCGTCCAGGCTACTGCAGGGCACTGGCTCTTGCCTGAGCGAGGTGGGGCCTTGGGGGAGTCACACTTGAGAAGGAATGTCTGGATCCAGTGTGGGGAGTAGATGGAGCTTCCAAGAAAAAATGGGGGACCAGTCAGGACTCCCTAGAACAATCCAGGAGAAAAGTAACAAGTGTTCTGATTAAGAGTAAGAAGTCCTTAAATGTCGAATAAATTGTGATGGTAGAGCTGTCAGGAGCTGCTGGAGGGCTGGACGCAGCTTTCGAGGGAGGGAAAAGAATGGAGAAGGTGCTGAGGCTTCGCCCAAGCAACAAGGAGGACGGCACTGCAGTCCACTGTGATGGGGCGGGCTGCAGGTGCAGCTACCCTGGGGGAATGCATCAAGATGGAGATGCTCCTTAGACAGCATCAGGGTGGCATTTAAAGCCAGGGACTGAGAGGAGAGATGGACCAGGACATCACCTGGCCAGGATGCCCCAGCTCAAGGCCCTGCAGAGGCAGGTGGGCCAGGGAGGCAGATGTGTGCACAAGAGTCTCTGTGAACAGCAGAAGGCCTGAAGTCTGCAGGGATGAAGGCAGACGCCACTCAGGGACCTCCCCAGGCCCCAGCCCCATGCTAATGGCCCTCTGTCTTCCCAACAGCAAGCTGAGGCCTCCCATAGACTTGGAAAGGAAGTCTCAGCTCCTGTCCACCTGCTTCCGCAGCGTGTTTGCCCTGCCACTGCTGGATGCCCTGGAGAAGCACACCTGCCTCTTTCTGGAGCCTCCCAACATCCAGCTGTGGCCCGTGGCTCGGGAGCGGGCAGGCTGGACGCACCAGGGCTGGGGACCCAGGGCAGTTCTTCACTGCTCTGAGCACCTACAGGTTTGCTGTGTGCTATATGCTGCAGTGTGTTTGCCCACCTGTAAAATGGGGGTGATACTAACAGGGCCAATGGTACTTAACACTTGGCGACTGAACTGAGACACTGGGTGAGCAGTGGCGTGGAGGAGCACCCTGTAAACAGTGGCGCGTGTGGCCTCCCTCCCTCCCTGCCAGTCCTGAGAGCCAGCGGGAAGAGGCTGGCAAGCCGGTGCTGCCCAGCCCTGCAGGCCTTGGCCGCCATGCTATGTGGCAGGGTCAGGTCTGAGTTTTCGCTGAGCTCCCCAGCAGCCCAAGGGAAGCGGAGAGGAGGGGAGATGAGTTCCCCAACCTTGTAGGGATCCCTGCAACACCTGGAGTGAGTCACCTTCCCTGCAGGGTGGGCTCAGTCTCACCACACAGCTACTCAGAGGTGGTGCCGTGCCCAGGCCGTGCCCAGCCCACCCTGCCACCCCAGGAGGCTGGGGGAAGGAACTCCAGGATTGCTCTCAGCACTTGGCCAGTGCCCACCCCTTCCTGGGTTCTGTTCAGTAAAAGCCACCCCTGCAGAGAGATGCCTGCCATTGCTCATGGCCACCACTGGGTACATGAGTGGCTCCTGGGCACAGTCACCGTGCCTGGCTTCGGGTGTGTCTGCGGTCCTCGGCCTGTGGCCAGAGCCAGTGTTAACTGAGCCCCTGCTAGGTGCCAGGCCCTAGATCAGTTATCTCACCTTCCCAGCAGCGGCCCCAGGGTAAAGAAATGCTCAGAGAAATGAGGCTGTCTGGTGGGAGAGGCAGGGTTTGAACCCCGACCCTACCCCCCAAGGGTGAGTCCAGGCTGGAACTAGACAGACAGACACTTAGGGTGAGGTGGTGAGAGAACGAAGGTGTCCCGGGACCAGGGCAACACAGCCCTCCAGAAGGGTGGCCCCTGGCCACACCCCAATCCCACCACAGTTCAGAATGACCCCGTTACCTGATGACACGGTGACACTGAGGCTGGCTCACCCAGGGAGTGCCACCTGGTGTCTGGGGGTCCGGCGCTGGGAGCTGGGAGCACTGAGCTGGGGTTCCTGTTGACTCCAATCCCCTGCCTGCCTCCATTCTGGCAGGTGGGGCTGACTTCATGCCATTCTCAGGTGAGGAAAGTAAGCTCAGAGAGTCAAAGTAAGTCTCCCCAGGGCACCTACTGAGTGACCAGAGCCCCAGGGCTCTGCTCCTGGTGGGCCCTTGAAGGGAGGGTAGCTGGGGGCATTTCTCTGGTCCTCTCCTTCCCTGAACGTGCCCAGTAAGCAAAGCAGTGAAGATTAGGAGCATGGCATGTAAGACCCAGAACTCAGCCCACTGCATCATTGGCAGGGCCTGGGCAAAATGAAGATGCCAGCCCCTGCTTCAAACCTAAGAACCTCCAGAGCATTCACCCAGCGCAGGGCCCTTTTCAGCCCGGGACCCTGGGACCACTCAGGGCACCCTCCTGTGAAGCTAGCCCTGCTAGGAATGAACTCGTCCGGGCCACTGAGATACCTGTGCCCTTGGGTGATCACCAGAGGCCTCCCCACCCAGTCCCCACATCTGCCAAATGGGGGCCATGGCGGCCCCCTCGCAGGCATGGTGGCAAGCCCCAGTGGTGAGCAGCCCGGCACATGCAGGAAGTAGGCGCTCCTCAAGCCCTGCGTCCACTGGGCGTGGCACTGCCTGACCACCCTTGTCTCTACACAGAGCCTGTACAGCAGGACCATGGAGGCGCTGGACTTCATGCTGCAAAGCCTCATCATGCAGAACCCCACCGCCGACGAGCTGCATTTCCTGCTGTCGGTGAGGCTGCAGGGAGGCCAGTCGGCTGGGGCCGAGGGGTCCTCAGCCTATGGCCAGACTCCAAAGGAGGGCATCTCAGAGGAGACAAGGCGGGACCTGGGGGCTTCGAGTGGTCCAGGAACCAGGAGGGGTGAGGGCCACCCGCACTTAGGGATCACAGTGGTTTGGGGCACTGGGGAGGGAGAGACAGCAGGTGGCCTGGTAGAAAGAGGGCTGATAGGCCAGGCACAGTGGCCCACGCCTGTAATCTCAACACTTTGGGAGGCCAAGGCGGGTGGACCACTTGAGGTCAGGAGTTCGAGACCAGCCTGGCTAACATGGTAAAACCCCATCTCTACTAAAAATAAAAAAAAAAAAAAAAAAATTAGTCAGGCATGGTGGTGGGCACCTATAATCCCAGCTACTCAGGAGGCTGAGGCAAGAGAATCGCTTGAACCCGGGGGATGGAGGTTGCAGTGAGCTGAGATCTCACCACTTCACTGCAGCCCGGGCAAAAGAGAGAAACTCTGTCTCAAAAAAAAAAGAAAGAAAGAGGGCTGATGAGGGTCCCGCCCTCCCCTCCTAGAGAACTTCCCCTGCAGTGTCCCCTGAAGGGTCTCCCAAACCCGCTGCCCCCACTCCCCCCCGCCCTTCCTCACCTTGTCAGGAGAGAGACCAGAGCAGGCAATGACAGTCCCGGGGCAGGCGGAAGCCCAGGGAGGGGAGGCTGGCTCTGGCTCAGAGGTCAAGCCCAGCGGGACTTCTCGCAGCCCCGGCTGAGGACTAAGGCAGCCACAGGCAGAGAAGGGAAGGGAGGGGCCCAGCAGGCAGACGGCACGCAGGGCAAAGGTGAGCAGTGCAGAGGAGCCCAGCGCGTCTTGGGGAAGTCACAGATGTGTTTCTGGGACACCACTGGGTCACAGAATCTCCAAATACCATGTACCCTCATCCTACTTCAGAGCCACTAATTATATATCTAATCATATATCAGATTTGGCTTAAAAACTATTTGACGTACCAGTCTCCAGATGGCTTTGTAAGTGCAGCAGGCAGAGCCTGGCCGAGGATGGATGGGGCCTTGGGGCGGGGGGGGGCGGGGGGGGGGGGTCAAAGCCGGTGGGCGGGGCCTGGGCCGAGTGGGCGGGGCCTGGGCCGAGGGCCCCTTAGAATCCTCTCCCTGACCCTGCCCGCCCCACAGCACCTGTACATCTGGCTGGCGTCGGAGAAGGCGCATGAGCGGCAGCGGGCTGTGCACAGCTGCATGATCCTCCTCAAATTCCTGAACCACAATGGCTACTTGGACGTGAGTACGCGGTTCGCCGGTCCCACGTCCCGCACCCGCTCTGCCGGCTGGGCCTCCTGCCCTGGATCGCAAGGGCCCAGCCAGAGCCGCCCTCCTCCCAGATCCTCCCAGGGTTCATAGGGTTCAAGGCCCCCTGGACACCCGCCTCCAGGACAGAGTGGATCCCTGAATACCCGACAGCACAGCCGGGCTCCATATTGACTGGCGGCCCAGGCAATCTCCTTGCAACTGAGGGAACAGGCAGGGAGGGGCAGGACCTGCCCGAGGCCTCACAGCTGGGATCTGAAGGCAGGTCACCCTGAACCCTGACCCCTGACCCTGGAGCTAAGCACCTGTCTATGCACCTGAGGCCTTGTACAGGTGTTTCTCCTCAACGAGCCCCAGCTTTTCACCTGTAAAGTGAATGGAAATGACCCCTCCCTAGAGCGATATGGTGGAGCTCAGATGGGGCGGAGGCCGTGAGAAGGCTGGTAAACTGTACGGCCCTGCGCCTGATTAGGGGTTCCTTGCTGCATGGAGTGGCCACCCCACCACCCTTCCGCCAGTGCAGCCCCTATCATGACATGGCTCACAGCCCTCATCTGTCGCTACTGCCCTTGAGTTGCATCAGCACATTGTCAGAGAGTGCGCTTCCGCGAGTATGAGCCCAAACCCGCATTAACTCCCTAGGCATACTCAGGGGGATGGGGAAATAAGTTCCTTGCCCTAATGCCTGGTGGCTGCCTGATCTAATGAGGGCAGGAGGCAGAAGTGCTGGAAGGAGGGGGGACTGTTCTGCCAAGGGAAAGACCCTGCACCCCTAGGAGGAGGAGGACAATTAAAGTGGCTTCAATTTACTCAAAATCCATTTCAACATCAGAGGACCGGACCAGGGTAAGGCAAGCAAGATACTCACCTTGCGCACAAAATTTACCGCAAAACAAAAAACTCTGTAATCAAGATGATTCATGTTTTCATGTAATGTTTTTAAAACTCAATTTGGCAAGCTATGGCCCATGGGCTGACCACCTGCTTTTGTAAATAAAGTTTTATTAAACCAGGACCAGGATGAGGGTAGGACAGGTGAGGTGACATGCAAAACCAGGGTCAGATCCTGACTTTACTTACAGTTTTGAGATTTTGCTCACCACAGAGTTTTTTGCACTTATTCTGATTTTTCTAAATAGTGCATTAAAATATTACTTTTCTTTTTTTTTTTTTTCTTTTTTTTGAGACGGAGTCTCGCTCTGTCGCCCAGGCTGGAGTGCAGTGGCGTGATTTCGGCTCACTGCAACCTCTGCCTCCCGGGTTCATGCCATTCTCCTGCCTCAGCCTCCCGAGTAGCTGGGACTACAGGCACCCGCTACCACACCCAGCTAATTTTTGGTATTTTTAGTAGAGCCAGGGTTTCACCGTGTTAGCCAGGATGGTCTCGATCTCCTGACCTCGTGATCTGCCCGCCTTGGCCTCCCAAAGTGCTGGGATTACAGGCGTGAGCCACCGCGCCCGGCCACCTAAAATATTACTTTTCTTGATTACTGAATGTTTTGCCCAGCCCCCAGTCCCAGCCCTGCCACACCTTTGGAGGGTCACCTCTGATGTAGGCCGTGCTGGGTGAGTGTGTGGCAGGGCTCTGCAGGGAGGTTCTGCCATCAGTGATTCCCGTAATCTTAACACAGCCAAAAGAGGACTTCAAAAGGATTGGGCAATTGGTGGGCATACTGGGGATGCTGTGCCAGGACCCAGACAGGGCCACCCAGCGCTGCAGCCTGGAAGGGGCAAGCCATCTCTACCAGCTCTTGATGTGCCACAAAAGTGAGTTCTGTGAGTTCTGAGCACCAACTTCCACCCCAGCTACAACCTCTGGCAGACCCACACCCGCACCCCTGACCTCAACCTTGCCCCAAATTTACCCCCAGACCCAACCTGGATCTGAGCCATAACCCTGTAATGGCCTCACCCTGACCCCCACCACTCTGATCCCAGTCCCCAAATTGGGCACAGGCCTGACCCTGATTACAAATGACCCTACCCTAACCCTGCCCTGTCCCAAACTAGACCCCAAGACCACCTTCGCCCTGCCCTCACCCACCCTGCCCCTGGCCAGCAGGAGAAGCTTTGCAGGCAGAATCACAGGCCCCCAAGGAGCTCTCCCAGGCCCATTCGGACGGAGCCCCACTCTGGAACAGCAGAGACCAGAAGGCCACTCCCCTGGGCCCCCAGGAGATGGCAAAGAACCACATCTTCCAGCTCTGCAGCTTCCAAGTCATCAAGGTCAAAGTCCTTAGAGTGGAGGGCAGGGCAGGGGCGTGACCAGAGCACACGACATATCTGGGGAGTGGGGAGTGGTGGGTAAATGCGCTCGCTCACTCTCTCTCATGTTGTTGAAGTGGAGCCAGGAAGGTTTGGGGAGCCAGCACACATTAGATGCCTACTTATTACCTATGCCAGGGGCTTCACAGACATTACCACATCCCTTCCTCAAGTTTTATAAACTGAATTGAACCAAATGATGAAGAAATGATGGCACAGGGCTGGTCAGTGCCCCACTGGAATTTGATCCGGCCCCAGCTACTCCAGAACCCGTGCTCTCAGCAACTGTTGCAAGCCATTGGTGTGCTGAGGCCAGTTAGAAGTTTAGTGTGGAAAACCTAAAGCCCTAGGGCCAACTCACTGTTTGTGTCCAGAAGGAAGAATACCTTACTTGGCTGCAGTTTACCCTGCAGAACCTGCCCTGAAGGCAGAGGCAGGGCCGGGAAGGAAGAGTTTCACTGAAGGGACAGCTGCTTCACCCCATGTGGTCCCTGCACACAGACCATGGGTGTCCAGCTCTGGCTCTCCCCAGACAGATGGGAGCAGTAGGATGGTGCGGATGGGAGGGTCTGCTAATCACAGAACCATCATAGAACCACAGGGCTGAGAAGGTTCCAGCTGGAAAACAGATACTTTGGGCCTAGGTTCTGGTCCCAAGTTTGCCCCTAACTCCTCATGTAGTCTTGGATACATGACATCTTTATCACCACCCCCACTGTCATCATCACCACCAGCATTATCACCACGATCATGATCACTGTCACTGTCACCACTACCACCATTATCACCACCATCACCATCACAGCCACCACCACCAGCATCACTATCACCATCATCACTACCACCACCATCACTACAAGCATCATCACCACCACTACCACCGCCACCACCACCAGCATCATCATCACCACCATCACCACCATCTCCATCACCACCAACATCATCACCACCATCATGATCACTGTCACCACCAACATTATCACCACCATCATCACCACCATCGCTATCATCACCACCACCACCATTAGTACCATCACCGCCCCCACAGTCATCACCACCAGCAACATCACCACCATCATGGTCACTGTCACCACCACCAACATTATCACCACCACCACCACCATTGCTATCACCATAAGCATCATCAACATCACTATCATCACCACCACCACCATTAGTACCATCACCACCCCCACAGTCATCACCACCAACATCATCACCACCATCATGATCACTGTAATCATCAACACCACCATCATGGTCACTGTCACCACCACCAACATTATCACCACCATCACCACCACCATCACTATCACCATAAGCATCATCACCATCACCATCATGATCACTATCACTGTCACCACCACCATCACCATAACCACCATTGCCACGACCACCACATCACCATGACTACAACCACCATCACCATCTGCATTACTATGACCCTGCACCACCATCATTATCACCACCACCACCACTTCTACCATCACTGCCACCTTTATCTCACATTTATTCCTGCCCTTGATTGAAGGGAGATGGCTCCAAAGTCTTTACCAATCCTGAGATTGTAGTATTCTGAGAATCTAACCACCATTCCAAGTTGAATTTCTTCACAAACATTCTAAATGCTAGCTTTAAGCAAAAGTTTAACATTCTAGCCAATGATTTTATTCCTCTAACAAATATTCTAGCCAGATGTGTAACATAATATTCTTTTAAAAAGTTCTTACCACAAATCTTCCACTAAAATTATTTTAACATTCTAACCATTGTGCTAATACTCTAACATTCTCACAAACACTGTATCAAAATTTTAGAATTAAAAGATTCTAATAAATATTCTAACATCCATTATTTAACACTTAATTTGATATTCTAATATACTTAGAAATGTCCTAACAGATTGCAGGCACTCCAACAAATATCCTAACATGCAAAGAAGCATTTTGCCATCCTGACATCCTTGCAAATGCCCTAATTTTCTGTCAGGCTGCTCTCCTATCCCTCCTTTAGCTTCTAACTTCCTTCGGTTCAATGCTGTGTGTCCCCACTGTGCAGAGAACCCTCTGGGAGGATGGGCGTGTTCTATCTCTGTGCTACCCAAGGTAGCCACTGGCCACAGGGAGCCATGGAGCACTTGAAATGTGGCTAGTGCTACTGCAGAACTGAATTTTTAATTGTACTTAAATTGAAATATAAATAGCTGTGTATAGCTAGTGGTACAATGCCTAAAGTCTTTCCAGAAAGTTCTACCTTTGCAGCAGTGACTGAGGCCCAGTCCCCCCTCCAGGAGGCTATAGTCTGAGGCTATGAGGCGGGGGTAACACCCATCATCTTGCATTTCTCTAGAACCCCTTCCTTACCCCTGAGCTCACGGCTGCTTGCAGAGGCGAGACCCACCTTCCTGGACCTTTAAAGCCACTCCTAGGAGGAGATGGACAGAGGGTGTCAGGGTCCTGGGACAGTGCTGCCTGTCCTGGGACAGGAGCTGGGTCCTGGCTGCACCCACCCTGACCTGCTCCAAGGCTGATGGCAGCCTACACACCCTTCTGGGACTGGGGGTTGGCCCAGGTGACCTCGAAGCTCCTTCACAGCCAGGAAGTTCACTTTCTCTTTGATAAATGCTCATAAGGAGGACTGGAGCCTGGCAGGGAGACACCCCACAGGGCTGAGGCTGGCAGATGAGGAAGCCCTATGGGCAGAGGACAGCAGAGGAGGGGAGAGGGGAGGCTGGCCTGGCCACCCAGTCCTAAGACAAGCACGGAGTGTCAGCGTGGGAAAGAGCTGGGGCCGTGGTTGGCTCTGACAGATGTGGACGTGCGCAAGTCTAGACTGCAAATCACTGACGGGTGCTTGGAACCCAGAGGAGTGGGGCTTAGGAGGCCAGATATGCTCAGAGACTTGCAAGATCCTGGGACAAAGGAGAAGGGGTAAAAGCAGAAGTGGGGAGGCGGACGCCCAGGCCCAGGGGGCCCAAGGTGATGGCCTCTCTCCACCCCCGCTGTACAGGATATCATGCAGCAGCTCACACTGGCAGAGTTGAGCGACCTCATCTGGACGGCCATCGACGGCCTGGGCTCCACCAGCCCCTTCCGCGTGCAGGCAGCCTCCGAGATGCTGCTCACAGCCGTCCAGGAGCACGGGGCCAAGCTGGAGATCGTGAGGGCGCTGGGGCTGGGCCAGGAAGGGCCAGGAAGGGCCAGGGGGCGGAGGGCGGGCCCAGCAGTCAGCATCCAGGGCTCAGGTCCTTGAGCCTGATGGGGGAGACACAGATCCCACCCTAGGAAGCAACTAGTCTGATGGTTTTGAATGAGCGAATGAATGAATGAATGAATGGCCCAAGCAAGTCCCCTGGGTCCTGGGTGGTGACTGCGGGGTCTGAGCAGCCTCTGTGTGCGGAATGGTGGGAAAGGAAGGGGACAGCACAGACCAGCCCCTCGAGGAGCTTGAGGTCTCGGGGAAAACGGACACACAGGCAGATGTTGCCTGGACAGCGTATGGGGATATGATGTGGGGGAGGAGGACCCTGCAGGGAGGTGAGGGGTGCACCCCAGAGAGAGGATGCCCAGTGCCAAGTCCTGCAAGTGGGTGAGCTCAGACAGGGAGACTGGCACTGGGCATTAGGGATGAGCAGGAGAGACCCCAAGGAGAAGGCAGGGTGCCCCAGGCACAGGGCACCCCATGTGCAAAGTGGCATGTTTAAGAATGAGATGGGAGGCAGGGGGCCTGGACCTTCCAGTGTCTACCTGGGCAGTGTGGACAGCATACAAAGACCTCAAATGCCATGCAGAACATGGCAGGACCTGTCCCCCCAAGACTGGGACTTCTCTTCAGACCAAGCATCCGGGGCAGGGCTGTGGCCCGCCACCCAGATGGCTCAGGACAGGGCCATATCTGAAGGGGCTCTGTGCTCATCAGGGTGAGACCTCCCTCTGCCTTCAGGCTCCCAGGGCAGGGCTGGGCCTCCCTGCCAGACCTCTCCCTCTCTGCACAGGTTTCCAGCATGGCCCAGGCCATCCGCCTCCGCCTGTGCTCTGTCCACATCCCGCAAGCCAAGGAAAAGACCCTGCACGCCATCACCCTGCTGGCCCGGAGCCACACCTGTGAGCTGGTGGCCACCTTCCTGAACATCTCCATCCCCTTGGACAGGTGCCTGCCCCTCTTGCCTCACTGCCCACTCCCCATCCTCTCCCCAGGCAGGGGTGGTGACCTCTGCCCTCCTGTCTGCCCCCGCCATGGCCCACAGGGACTTCTATAGGGCTGGGTGCTTGGAGGGAGCCCACATCTGTTCATCATTGCATACCTCCTGGGCGGGCACATGGGAGGCACTGCTCACTGTCTCCTGTCCTGGCTCCACATGAAACACCTGCCCCAGCCAGGCCACACTGTCACCTGATGGAGAGGCCACAGGACCCTGGGTGCTCCTGGCAAGACCCCAGCCCACACTGAAGCCTCGCCGCCCAGCAGCAAACCCCTCTGTCTCTTCTCATCTACAAACACTCTATTCTCCTTCCTGCCCCTCTACAGACCACCCCACTATATCCGCCAGAGGCCATCAAAGCCCTCTCAGGTGGGGCTGGCTTTTCTCTCACAGCCCTCAGACCCCTGGGCCTAGAGATGGGCTAGGGTCCTTGTCACTGCTCATGGCCCTTCCTTCCCAAAGTCCCAGCTCTGCCTCCCAAGTCCTCAGTCCATACCCCCTGCCACCTACCTACCATGCACCTGTCCTGGATGGCCCCTCGCTCCAGTCAGGGACACCCCCTAGCTCACTCCCCATGCCTGACTCCTGGGGGATTTCCCTGTCTTCCCCTCACCCTGACTTCTCCAGGCCTGGATCTCCTCCCTCCCAAGGACCTTGTCTTCCATCCCCCACAGCCACCCACTCCCCCGGCCATCCCTTGGTGTGACCATCACCAGCTTCAGGCACTCCCACCTTTACAGCTCGCCTCCAGACCCAGCGAGCCTTGTCCCCAGGACCTGCCGTGCACTGCCCTGCACCCCTCTTACTCCCCCTCACCTGTCCTCACTGTCACCCTCCTTCCAGCCTGGGGCACACCTGGCAGTGAGACAGTGACTCCCGCACACACACAGGTCCCTGGCCCCAGCTGCTGGCCTTGCTCCCATTTCACTGAACACTCAGAAGCCACCAGAACAGGGGTGTCATAAGCTCCCAGAGCCCAAGAGTTGTTTCCAGGAAGATGTCTAATTTCCATGTGGAAGCGCATTTGTGGTTCTGTGAATAATTTCTAGTTTTACTGCACTGTGGTCAGAGAGTGTTGTCTGTAAAGTTTTTACTTTATGAAATTTACTAATCTTTTAAATGCTTTTTGTGAATGTCCCATTGGCACTCAAGAAGGAGGTGTATTTTCTGTTGTCAGGGTGTAGAGTTTGAGATACCGGCATATCTCAGGATATTACGGGTTCGGTTCCAGGCCACCACAATAGAGCAGTCACGTGTGCCTCCGTGTTTCCCAGTGCACATAAGAGTTCTGTTTATACTATACTGTGGTCTAGTCAGTAGACAATAGCATTGTGTCTTTTCAAAGAACAATGTACTTACCTTAATTTAAAAATGCTTTAGTTCTAAAAATTGCTAATGATCATCTGAGCCTTCAGCAAGTCGGGATCCTCTTGCTGGTGGGTGGTGAGGACTGCTGACTGGTCAGGGTGGTGGCTGTTGAAGGTTCAGGTGTCTGGCAAGTTCTTAAAAATAAGACAACAATGACGTTTTAGCATCAATGGACTCTTCCTTTCCTGAAAGATTTCTCTGTACCATGTGATGCTGTTTGATAGCATTTTGCCCACAGTGAAACTTCTTTCAAATTTGGAGTCAATTCTCTCAAACCCTGCCACTGCTTTATCAGTAAGTTTATGGAATATTCTAAATCCTTTGATGTCATTTCAACAGCATCTTCACCAGGAGTAGTTTCCATCTCAGAAACCACTTTCTTAGCTCATCCATAAGAAGCAGCTCTTCATCTCTTCAAGTCTGATCATGAGATTGCAGCAATTCAGTCTTCCGGCTCCACTTCTAATTCTAGTTCTCCTGCTATTTCTACTACATCTGCAGTTACTTCCTCCACCAAAGTCTTGAGCCCCTCAAAGTCATCTGTGAGGGCTGGAATCAACTTCTTCCAAACTGCTGTTCATGTTGCTCTTTTGCCCTCCTCTCCATGAATCACAAATGTTGTTAATGGCATCTAGCATGGTGAATCCTTTCCAGAAGGTTTTCAATGTACTTTGCCCAGATGCATCAGAGAAACAACTATCTATGGCAGCTACCCTCTTGCAAAGTGTATTTCTTCAATAATAAGACTTGAAAGTCAAAATGACTCCTTGATCCACAGGCTGCAGAATGGTTGTCGTGTTCACAGGCAGGAAAACGACATCGATCGCCTTGTACATCTCCAGCAGAGCTCTTGGGTGACAGGTGCATTGTCAATATGCACTCATATTTTGAAAGGAATCTTTTAGTTCTGAGCAGTAGGTCTCATCAGCGGGCTTAAAATATTCAGTAAACCATGAAGTAAAGAGATGCACTGTCAACCAGGCTTTGTTGTTCCATGTCTAGAGCACAGGCAGAGTGGATTTAGCATCGTTCTGAAGGGCCCTAGGATTTTCAGAATGGGAAATGAGCATTGGCTTCAACTTAAAATCACCAGCTCCATTAGCCCCTAACACAAGAGTCAACCTGTCCTCTGAAGCTTTGAAGCCAGGCTTTGACTTTACCTCTCTAGCTATGGAAGTCCTAGATGGCATCTTCCAATAGAAGGTGGTTTCTTCATTGAAAATGTGTTGTTTAGTGTAGCCACCTTCATCAGTGATCTTAGCTAGATCTTCTCGATAACTTGCTGCAGCTTCTCCACCAGCACTTGCTGCTCCATCTTGCACTTTTATGCCGTGGAGATGGCTTTTTTCCTTCCACCTCACGAACCAACCTCTGCTAGCTTCAGACTTTTCTTTTACAGCTTCCTCACCTCTCTCAGCCTTCACAGGGTGGAAGAGTTAGGGCCTTGCTCTAGATTAGGCTTTGGCTTAAGAGAATGTTGTGGTTGGTTTGATCTCTTCAAACCACTAAGCAATAAGGGCTGTTTCACTTTCTTCATATGTGTGTGTCCACTGGAGTAGCACTTTTCATTTCCTTCAATAATTGTTCCTGTGCATTCACAGCTTGGCTCACTGTTTGGCAAAAGAGTCTTTGCTTTGGGCCTATCTTGGCTTTCAACATGCTTTCTTCACTGAACTTAATCATTTCTAGTTTTTGATTTAAAGTGAGAGAAATGGGACTCTTCCTTTCACTTGAACACTTACAGCCCATGTTAAGTTATTAATTGGCCTAATTTCAATGTTGTTGTGTCTTGGGGAATAGAGAGGCCCAAGGAAAGGAAGAGAGATGGGGGAACGGCCAGTGGGTGGAGCAGTCAGAACCCACAACATCTATGGATTCAGTCTGGCATCTTATATGAGTGTGGCTCATGGTGCCTTAAAACAATTACAGTAGTAACAGCAAAGATCACTGATCACAGATCACCATAACAGATTAATAATAATGAGGATGCTTAAAATACTGTGAGAATTACCAAAATATCACACAGAGGCATGAAGTGAGCACACGCTGCTGGAAAAATGGCACCAACAGACTTGCTCGACGCTGGGTTGTCACAAACCCTCAACTCGTAAAAAATGCAATATCCGCAAAGTACAATAAAGTGACGCACAGTAAAACGAGGTGTGCCTCTATATGTATAAGGTTTACCTTGATTGTGTTGTCGAGGTTTTCTACGTACTTAATTTCTGTCCTCTTGATCTGTCTTGGACTGAGTGTGTGTTAAAGTCTCACTAAAGAAACATTGGTGTGTCTCTATCTATACTTTCAATCCCTGGACTTTTACTTTGTGAAGGTGATTGCCATGTTATTTGGCACATACATAGTCATAAGTATTCTATATATTTATGAACCATGACTTTTACTATTGAGATGCCCTGCTTTGTCACACTTAATGTTTTGGGGACTTGAATTCTACTGTCTGTTCAGAATCATTAACCTGCTTTTTTATTTTTCCATTTGCCCAGTATGCATTTCTCTACTTCTTTATCTTAGCCTTTGGGAATCCCTTTGTTTTAGGTCTCCATCTTATATACAGCACAAAGTTTGTCCTGATTTGTAATCCAAATTGAAAATCTTTTGTAATAGGTGAGTGAAGCTTGTCAATATTGATGCGATTGATATGTTTGTCTGTCATGACATTTTGTAGTTGTGTGTATTTCATGACATTTGCTGTTTCTTTTTCTACAAGAGGTGCATTCTTTGCTCTTCAGCTTCAATTTTGTTTTAATCTAGGAAATGTATTTTCATCCTAGTTGTTACCTTTGTGCTCCTAACTTATTTTAATGCCCTTAGTCGCTTAGTCCCCATTTTATTATTCAGCCCTTTAACATCAGGTTTATCTTTGTGTGTGTGTGTGTGTGTGTGTGTGTGTGTGTGTGTGTGTGTGGCAGAGTCTTGCCCTGTCACCCAGGCTGGAGTGCAGTGGTGCAATCTCAGCTCAGTGCAACCTCCGCCTCCTGGGTTGAAGCAATTCCCCTGCCTCAGCCTCCCAAGTAGCTGGGATTACAGGTGTGCACCACCACGCCTGGCTGATTTTTGTATTTTTAGTAAAGACAGGCTTTTGCTATGTTGGCCAGGCTGGTGGTCTTGAACTCCTGACCTCAGGTGATCCACCCCCTCCTCGGCCTCCCAAAGTGCTGGGATTATAGGCGTGAGCCACCGTGCCCGGCCAGGTTTATCCTTTTTATTTGATACTGATGCAGGGCAGGTGAGCCACAAAGGTGGGGCTTACCCCAGGAAGGTTCTTAGCTTTGCCCAGGAAAAAATTCAAGAGCAAGCCCATGGTGTTAGACAGCAACTTTGATTGAAGCGGCCCTGCACAGCAGCAGCAGAGGCCTGCTCCTTGCAGAGCAGGGCTGCCCAGAGGAGCAGCTCAGAGGCACTTCTGCAGTTAATTATGTGCAAATTACGGGGTAGGTTATGCAGAAATTCTTAGAAAAAGGGTGGTAACTTCAGGGTCGTCAGGTCATTGCCATGGAAAGAGGTGGTAACGTCCTGGTGTAGCCATGGCAATGGTAAACTGACATGGCGCGCCAGTGGGCGTGCCTTATGGAAAGGTGCTTCTGCCCTATCCCTGTGATAGCTAGTCGTCAATTTGGTCCTGTATCCGTGTCCCACCTCCTACCCCAATACTCTTTAATTCCCACCTGTTTTCTGCACAACAATTAGTGAAATTGTTCTATTTTCCTCTTTCTGTCTCCTTCTCCCATTTTTCAGTTACATATTTGTACTTTGTCAAAACATTGAACATTCACACTCTACTGCTCTACCCTCATCTCCATACTTTGTGTTTACAGGCACACCATCAGTTCCTAGGCTGAAGTTTTCCAGTCATCTTAGTCTGAAGAAGCTCATCCTCCAAAAGATTCAGAATTCTTTAGGTTCTTTTATGTTGAAAGTTCTTTATTTGAAGAATGGTTTGGCTGGATATAAAATTCTTTGTTCACATTTTCTTTTATTATTTTTTAAATGCTGTTGCATCGTTGCCTTGCGTTGTTTTTTAAAAGTTAATGACAATAGGGGTTTTTTTGGCGTTTGTAAGTTATTTGCTCTTTTTGCCCAGAGACTTTAAGATTTTTTTGTAATCTTTGAAATCTAATCATTTAGTTAGGAAATGTCTCAGAGCTGATCATTCGGGGTTAATGTTCCCAGGCACCTGGTACCTCCTTTGATTATGTAGATTGAGATCTTTTTTTTTTTTCAAGAGAATTAAATCATTTATTGATTACACATGATAATGGATGATACACAAGCTTCATTCCCATCTATAGTTTTATCTGGTACCATTATTCAATTTACATATATTTCATAGGATGTGCCAACAATCATTTTTATAACCAATTAATTCCATGACTTTTCTTGGGCCATCCCTTTTAACGGTGAACTTCAGGTGACAACAGTAACTGTCAGTTCAACTACACCAAGGTTTCTGAAGACAATGGCATCTCCACCCAAGCAGGTTGTACATAAATTCCACATAGAACCTGGCATCACCCTGAAGGAATTCTAACTTCACACTGTTGGGGAAATTTACCAAGATGGCTTCAGAGTAGACTAACTTTACACAACACATTAAAAAAAAAAAAAGACATTTATTCAGCATCACGATCAGACTATTACATTTAGCAATCAACAGCATGGGAGCAAAAAAAAAAAAAAATCTGCATTAAAACCCTTTGTTGGAAAGCTTTACACTTTCCACAGAACAGAAACTAAAATAACCTGTTATACAATTAGTCACAAATACAGTCCTCGAGTTTTTTTGCCCATACACATGAGTATCTGCCTAAAACATGTCTTCTTTGTAGCAGCTAGGCCCTGCCACCACAGTGCTTGACCAAGTTCACAAATCTGTTGTAACCCGTAGCTTCCCTGTCACGTCTATGGCTCTCCTCTCCTGCTAAGCTTTGTTTCCTAATTAAAATCTTCTGCCACTGCCATAGCTACCGCTGCTACTGGAACCACCATAGCCACCTTGGTTTCGTGGTTTTGCGAAGTATTGGCCTCCACCACCATAGGAGCCAGAGCTTCTGCCTCCAAAGTTTCCTCCCTTCATGGGGCCAAAATTTGAAGACTCGTTGTTCTAATTGCCAAAATCATTGTAGCCTCCAAAATGGCTTCCATCATTACCAAATCCATTATAGCCATCCCCACTGCCACCATATCCACCACCACCATGGCTGCCACCAAAGCCACCATAGCCACTGAAGTTTTCTCCATGACCAAAGTTGTCATTCCAACCAAAATCACCTCCACCACCACCACCAAAGTTTCCAGAACCACTTCGACCTCTTTGGCTGGATGAAGCACTCGCCATCTCTTGCTTTGACAGGACTTTCCTAACTTCACAGCTGTGGCCATTCACAGTAGGGTATTTCTGAATGACAAGCTTATCCACAGAGTCATGGTCGTCCAAGGTTACAAAGGCAAAGCCCCTTTTCTTGCCACTGCCTCGGCCCGTCGTGATTTCAGTCACTTCAATTTTCCCAAATTGTTCAAAATAATCCCTTAGGTGATGTTCTTCTGTGTCTTCTTTAATGCCACCAACAAATATCTTTTTCACAGCTAAGTGGGCAACTGATCTTTGAGAATCCTCTCTTGAGACAGCTCTCTTTGGTTCCACAGCTCTTCCATCCACCTTGTGCGGCCTTGCATTCGTGGCTGCATCCACCTCCTCCGCAGCAGCATAGTGACAAACCCAAAACTCCCGCCGGAACGCTTGGTGTTGGAATCTCTCATTACCACACAGTCCGTGAGCATTCCCCATTGCTCAGAATGGCTCCTCAAGGCTCTCATCTGTTGTTTCAAAGCTCAACCCTCCAATGAAGAGCCTCCTCAGCTGTTCGGGCTCTTTAGGAGACTCTGACTTAGACATGACAGCAGGAAGAAGAGAGACTTTAACGATGCTTCTTCAGGGGCGTCCACGGGCAGAAGAAAAAAAAGAATTGAAATTTTTTTGAGGTTGCTATTCTTGGAAAATTTTCTTGGTTACAGTTTTAAATATTAGTCATGTTCCATTGCTGTTTTTCTTCCTCAGGGACTCCAGTAATACAAATGCTATTCCTCCTGTCTTCCATTTTCACTACTTTCCCTCTGACCCCTTTTACTCTTTCTTAAATTCACTTTCATTCTCTTGGTTGCTTTTCTTGTTTTCCTAAATGCACCTTATTAAATTATCATTTGAGTCTTATCTCTCTTGGACACCTTGTACTCTTCCTTCATTTCTGAGATAATTTTTTCATCTCATCCATTTCTTTCCTGAAGTCAATCAACTCTCTTTTCAGATCCTGTTGGATTTTTTTGTCCTTTTTTGAACTCATAATTCAAGGTAGTTTTCACATTTTTAAATGCTTATTTGAGCATATGTAATGACACGTAGAATGAATGTTGTCTTAGGGTTTTTTTCCTGCATCGTGATTTTTTCCAGGGGGAGTTCCTTATTTTGTGTGTGCTGATTTTTGTTTTCTCATTTTTTACAATAATTCTATGGATCTGTTCATTTTGTTCCTGTTCATGTTTGTGTTCTTTGCGTGTTTTATATGATTTTAAGTTCAATGGCACCCTCTTCTGTCAATACAGCAAAGTCCAGATAATTTAATAGACTGTTTGGGTGGTAAGCAAAAGGATTATGGATCCTCCAATGTTTTGGTTCCATTTCTATTGCAGGGCCATACATTTTTCCCTTTTACCTCTTTCCCTATCACCACCTAATCTCCAAAGGATACCTCTGCTTTCTTTTTTGCCCTTTCCTTTCCCAAAATCTGTGCATTTTGAAGACCGCCCTCCAAAGCAGGCAGACTTTTAAGTCACTGCTATGTGATTGGGGCTCTGACACTTGAACTTTTTTTTTTTTTTTAAGACTTAGGGTGGACTTAGTCTTCTAGAAGGTGCTTTAGGCTTTATATCAATCTCAAGCCCTGTTGCTAACTCCTCCCTTCCCTCTTTCCCCTCAGTTTCTCTCAGCCTGCCTTTATCAAAGCCTTATGGTAGAACGGGATAGGGTGGGAGCAGTAGAGATTTCATGCTAAGGTTGATACTCTTCTCTTTGTGCTTAATTTTGAAGTTTGGGAACTCTCTGAATTTGCACTGGAGTCATAGTTTTTGTGCATTTTTATTTCCCTTCTTGTTTTTCTGTTGTATCTCAAGGAAATTTTGGGAGGTGGAGGCCTAGGCAACAGGCATCGTCTTCAGCTACCTAGAAGTTTACAGTTCTATTTTATGTATTGGAATTTTTATCTTATTTCCTCAATTCTAAGAAGCATTTTTTTTTACATTTTAACATTTATGAAATCGGGGTGCATTTTTCACTGATGGTGCCTTACACCTGGATTTATATAGTTTTCTGCCAGGCACCTGGGGGCACTGTTAGTTTGAGACCACTTTCAATTTAAAAGTCTCTGCTTGAGATTTTATTGGGCCACATTGGTGTGAATTCAGGCATCCAAAGAGGTTTGGGTTCAAATCCTCAGGACATTCGTACCCCTTCCCACTTCCACCCAGTGTGCTGACTGAAGCATGACAGTTTTCTCGATTTTTCTTTCTGCAGGGCCGAGTTTTGTTTGTTTATTTCGATCACCCTTAAACCGTACATGCAGACCTTTGGGTCCCAGCTCTATGTTGGGGTCTCCTATAAGACTCCCATCTTGGCCATTTTTTCTTTCTTAGAAATACGTGAAATCATGGTGGGGTGTGTCCTAAAAGTATAAACAGAATTGTACAATATGTAGTCTTCCAATATTCTTCTGTTGTTTGGCTTGGGTGTTTGTTTGTTTGTTTGTTTGTTTGCTGAGACAAGGTCTTGCTTAGTTGCCCCGGCTGGAGTGTAGTGGTACAATCATAGCTCATTGTAACCTCAAACTCCTGGGCTCCAGTGATCCTCCCACCTTAGCCTCATGAGTAGCTAGGACTACAGGCATGCATCACCACACCTGGCTAATTTATTTTTTTTGAAGAGATGGGGTCTCATTATGTTGCCCAGGCTGATCTCAAACTCCTGGCCTCAAGCAATCCTTCCACCTTGACCTCCCAAAGCGCTGAGATTATAGGCATGAGCCACCATGCCCAGCATGTCTGGCTTATTTTTTTCCTCCAATATGATGTGTCTAAGATTCATTTTAACATGTTGTAGTTCATTCATTTTTGTTGCTGTATAGTATTCCATTTTATGAATGCCAATTATTCTTTTTACTAGAGGTCAATATTTGGGTCAATTCCTGTTTGGTACTATGGTTAGCAACGCTGCAGTGAACTTGCTTATACATGCGCCTGGATGTACATAAGCTCTCAGTTTCCACAGTGTATGCATCTAGGATGGAAATGTCTGCATCATAAAGCTATACATATATCCAACTCTAATACATAATGCAAAATGTTTCCAAAGAGCTTGTACTGATTCACACTCTCAGCAGTATTTTTTTTAGAGTTCCCGTTACTCCGCAGTTTACTAACACTTAGCATTCACTTTTTAGCCAGTAATCAAAGTTTTAGTCAGTCTGGTGGTGCTATTAATCAGTATTGTGGTATTCGTTTCCACTTTCATGATTAAATAAAGAAGTTGAACATCTTTTCATTTCTTTTTAGCCTCTTTGGTGATATGCCTATTCAAGTATCCTGCACACGTTTCTATTGTGTTGTCCGCCATTGCTAATTTCCATTCCCCTGGCTCACCCTATCTAAGGTTCATCATTACTTTGCTTTCCTTTTATTTAGTTTTATTGCACCTATACATATTCCTAAAAGTACTTTATTGTTTTTCTAATTTCATATAAATTATAATTTCATGTGAGTTATAATTTTTATACTTTCATATGAAGGGCATTCTGTTGCATATACTTGGAGATTTCCATTTGCCTAATATTACTATAGTTTTTTAGAGTTTATATTGTCTAATATTAAGTGTCTAGTCATATAATAACACCAGTTTTCTTTTGTTGATATTGCATAGTATGCCTTTTTCCAGACTTTTACTTTTGCTATTTCTACATTCTTTTGTTTTAGATGTGTCTTTTGTAAACAGCATTTAGTTGGGTTTTTATAGCCTGACGACCTTTGTCTTTAATTGAAGCATTTATTCAATTTACTTGTAATATAATTGTTTATATATTTGGGATTGAATTTACCATCTTTACTTTCTTTCCAGACCAAAAAAAAAAAAAAGAACCTTCAGAGTCTTCAACTGACTTAACACACTCTCAATTTTAATGCCCTTGTTGTTTAACTCTGTATATTTTTAAATCTCACAAGTCAATATTCATTTAGAGTTGCCCCCATTTTCACTATTTTCTTTGCTCTTAATTTCTTTTTAAGCCTCACACCCCTCACCTGAGGCCATTTTCCTCCAACCTAAAGCACATCCTTTAGAACCCCCTTTAGTTTGGGTCTGCTGTTAGCAAATGCTTTCAGTTTTTATATGAAAATGTCTTTATTTCATCTTCAATCTTGATAGACACTTCACTGGGTATAGAATTCAATATTGGCAGTTATTTTCTTTCTGCACGCCAAGCTAACATCCCACTGTCACTGGCTTCCATTGCTGCTGTTGAGAAGTCAGCTCTCAGCAGGACTGCTGCTCTTTTCATCGTGCTATGTGCTTTATCCTGTGACTGGTTTTACAGTACCCTGGTTTTTTCTGGTTTGGGAAAGTTTGTTGTTTTGTTTGTTTTTATTTGTCTGATAAGTCACCACAGTGTGTCTAGGAATGGATTTCTTTATGTTTATCCTGTCTTGAATTCCTGTTCTGGAATATTCTGGTCCTGGAAGAATCCCAGCCATTATCTCTCCACATAGTGCTTCTCCTGCATTCTCTCTCACTTTCCTTCTAGGGCACTGATTAGGCACATGTCAATATCTTACCATATCCTCTATTTCACTAGATCACTCAGAGTGCTGGGGGGAACAGATAACACACTCAAATTGGTTGAGGTGGAAAATTTAATAAAAGAGCTCTTGGACAAGGGGTAGAGTTTAATGTGACTGACAGGGGAAGGGCCAGTGCCCCAGGAAAAGTAACAATGCTGACTCATTGCCACCTTCTAGACCTAAAGGGGCAGGGAATGGGAGTGCTCCCAGAACCAAGGATGTCTATATGGCTAGACCACAGGACAGATGGACACGGCAATCCTGTGGCCACCCACAGGGAGAGACTCTGCGGTATAAATACCCTGACTTCCCTCCACTCCCACCTTCTGACCTCTTGCTAGTGCTTACCATTAGCCAAGTCAACTGGAAGCCAAAGGTCAAGAGAGCTTCTTGATGCAGTGTATACAGGTCAGCTTCCTGGGGCATGAGGCAGGATGGGGAGCAGCAGAGATTATATCTGCAGGAGCAAGCGGAAGATATTCAACACAATTTCTTACTTCCCTTCTGCTTCCCCATATTTGTGTCCCTCATTGCTGAATTCTGTCTAATTTATTTTGAGTTATCTTCTAGTTCACTAATTCTCCTTTAACCATGTCAATGTGATGTTAACGTTTTCCATTGCATTTTTTTTATTTCAGATTTGGTATTTTTTATTTCTAAAATGTCATTTTGGTTCTTTTTCTCACCTGCTCTATCACTTATAGGTTCCTAGTCCCTGAAGACATTTTTAAGCTTGTCTTTTATTTCTGTATTCATAATCAAATATTTGTTTCATAGTTCATACCTGACGATTCTAATATCTAAGTTTTCAGATCTACTTTATTTGTTATTCTTGCTGTATGTTACCGATGGAGTGTGCCTTCCTCATGTGTCTGATTATCTTTTGACTACATACTGGATGTTGTTTTTGGAAAAAAAAAATGTAGGAATGATTTGGGGCCCACAATTAAGGTATTTTCCTCCAACAAAAACAACTTGTCTTTGCTCTGCCAAGCACCTAAGGATACCTAAGGTAAGCCCGTGATTACCTTAAGCCAAATCCAGTGCTTCAGATTCCCTGGATGCCCCCATTCAATTCAAACGTGGCTGAAATTTGCTTGGGTTTTTCACACCTGCTTAGGCACCAGTCTGAAAGTGGCCAAGGGTCTCCTATGAGATTAACCATGTTGTGCAGTCTGTGAGCTTAGGTCTCTGTCCCTTCATCCCACAAGGCTGTCAGAACAAAGGATCTAATTTTCCAGAATTGTCAGATGCCCCCAAGGCATCAGTAGCTTTCCTGCTCCCAACCCCTCAGGGTCATCATATTCCCCACATGTTGGCCTTGCAGTTTCTTACAGTCTTGTCATCTCTTTAATACTCTCAGGACCCTTGTTTATGTTTTCTTTTCTTT